>NC_000020.11:41163203-41466234 GCF_000001405.40 Homo sapiens | reverse complement strand
ACAAACTGTGTGTGTTTTTGTTTTTGTTTTTTTGGGATGGAGTCTTGCTGTGTTACCCAGGCTGGAGTGCAGTGACGCAACCTCGGCTCACTGCAACCTCCACCTCCTGGGTTCAAGCAATTCTCCTGCCTCAGCCTCCGAAGTAGTTGGAATTACAGGCACGCGCCACCACGCCCAGCTAATTTTGTATTTTTAGTAGAGACAGGGTTTCACCATGTTGGCCAGGCTGGTCTTGAACTCCTGACCTTGTGATCCACCCACCTCAGCCTCCCAAAGTGCTGGGATTACAGTCGTGACCCACCACGCCCGGCCTACAAACTTTGTTTTTAAATGGTTACCTTTAGAGAACAGGATGGAAGGGACAGGGAAAGAAGCTGGTTTTTCCAAATATGCTGTTTTGTGTATTTGACTTTGGAACCATTTTAAGCATTTTACTTCATTATTAAAACAAAATTAATTTTTTTAACCTTTTTTAAAAGTTGCAAAAATTATGTAGAATTCCAATGTACAGTTCACCCAGCTTCCCTTAATGTTGACATTTTATATAACCGTAGTATAATGATTGAAACCAAGAAAGCAACATTGATATGATACTCTTTAACTAATCTACAGACCTTATTCATATTCATTCCTTCAGTTTCCTAGAAATATTTTTTTTCTGGCCCAGTATCCACATTCCATTTAGAAGTTGTGACTCCCTAACCTTCTGCAGTCTGTGACAATTCCTTTGTCTTTCCTTATCTTTCATGACCTTGACACTTTTGAAGGGTACTGACCAGTTGTTTTGTGGACTGTTCTCAGTCTGTATTTGCCTGATGTTTTCTTATGGTGAGATACGAGGTTATGCATTTTAGGCAAGAGTACCATAGAAATCATATTATGTCCTCCTCAGTGCATTGTATCAGGGGATGCGTGATATGAATACATCTTATTACTCGTGATGTAACTTTGATTACTTGGTTAACGTGCCATCTGCCAAGTTTCTCCACCATAAAATAACTGTATTTATCTCTAAAAATTAGTATCTTCTGAGTGAATATTTTGAGACTCTATCCTGTTTTTCATCCTACTTCTGTCCATTAATTTTAGCTTCCATCAATGGTTCTTGCTTTCAGTAAATTATTACCATGGTGTTTAGCTAATGGTAGTTTTCTATTCTCATCATCCCTTCTACATTTATTAGTAAGAATTCTATTATAACGAAGTTGTCCTTTGTCTCCCATTTATTTATATCAGTATTGACTTGTGGATTTTGTTTTATTTTATAATCCATTACTCTATTTATTTTGTTTTCAGGTTGTCCAGATTTGGCCGTTGGTAGCTCCTTTACATTGGCTTCTGTGTTTTTTTGACATGCTCCCATTGTTTTTTGAGTGCTTCCTTACGGTTCAAGTCCATGTTACATTTTTCGTGCCCCCACGTTGGAATTGACCATTCTCCAACGATCCTTGCTTTCTTTTACTTGAGAACAGCATTTAGAAACCAAACTCTGGCTACTAGGTATGCCCACTGCTACTAGATTGTTATTGCTTCTAGACCCTCTGTGCACATGGAGCTAGGAAACAGATGTATGCATACTTAAGCAAGCACTCATACCACACAGCTATATTTATTCTGTATATATTCATCCATAGTGAATTTTCTAATTACAGTGCAGCATCACAGGGTTCATTATAGTCTCCTCCTCTTCCTTATTTGTAACTTCTTTCTCTGGCAGGATGAAGCCTGGACCTTGTTATCATAACACAGTATATTTATTCATTTATTCCATCCTAGTATACACATCAAGTAGTTTTAGAATTGCTAACCCATATTTTGTGAAAAATACATTTACCAGAATATAATGTTGGTCTATAGTGGGTTTTTTGGTCTTTAGTATTACAGTATATAATCAGAATACTATTTGCCAAAGTTGCTTAGTTTAGTTATTTTCTTCACGACCTGCTTCAGTGTGGTTAAATTAATAGGGGGAAACATCAATTCCTAAAACTCAAAAGCAAAATGAAACAATTGAATCTAGCTGTGTATCAAGTGAATAGCTTATAACTCACAGAAAAGGATTATTTCAAGGGTCTGTATTTCATATGTTTATACATTTTTATTTCTATATAATTTCATTTTGCAACTCCAGTGTACCCTTTATCCAGATTCACCAGCTGTGTTTACATTTTGCCTCGACTCTATCATTTTTGCCCTTTCTCACTCTCTCCTTTGTGTCTCTGTCCCTTTCTTTCTCTGAGTACATGCATAGACACACATCACTTTTTGTCTGAGCTATTTGAGAGTAAGTTGCAGGCATTGTACCCCCTTGTCCCCTAAATACTTTCAGTGTGTATTTCACTAAGTACAAGGACTTTCTCTTGTATATTCACAGTTCAGTTCTCAGAATCAAGATATAAAAATACTATTCTCCAATCCACAGTTCATATTCAAGTCTTATCATTTGTTTCAACATATTTTATAGCTGTCATTTCCCCAGTCCAGGATTCAATCCAGGGTCACCCATTACCTTTAGCTGTCATGTCCCTTTAGTCTTAGTTAATCTGGATCAGTTCCTCAGTTTTTCTTTTTATTTTATGACCTTCAAGTTTTTGAAGAGTACTGGCCAGTTTTTTTGTAGGTTGTCCCTCCGTTTGGATTTGTCTGTATTTCCTCAGGATTGGATCTAGGTTTAGTACTACTACAGAACTGACACAGCCATCTCAATATATCACATCAGGAATAACATGGTGTCCATTTGTCTGATGATGGTAACTTTGATCACTTAGTACAGTGATATCTGTCCGATTTCTCCACTTATAAAGTTTCTGTTTTTCCCTTTGAAAATAATAAGTAATTTTGGAGAAATAAATTGGAACTGTACCTGTTCCTCATCAAAGTATCACCCATTGGTTTTAGCATCCATTGATTATTTTTGGCTGAATCAGTCATCACTATGATGGTTACAAAGTGATGATTTTCTAACTGTCGCTCTGCACTGGTTAGTTAGCATTCTACTATAAGGAAGAGTGTTCCCTTTTTCTCCCATTTATTTATTTTATGTCAATATGAATACATGGGTTCTTTTTTTATTTAGTGAGTTATAATCTGTTACTATATTTATTTCGATGTTCTGTTCATATAGTTCTAGACTTAGCCAGTGGGAGTCTCTTCGAGCTTTAAGTGTTATTCTCATATGTCTCCCTCGTTCTTTGAGTAATTTCTTACATCTGACACAGTAATATGTTTCAGGCTTAGTCTATACTTTCTCTACCACAGCCCTAACTACAGTTAGCCATTTCTCTAGCACACTGTGGCTCTGTTGTATAGGTAATGGTTTTTAGCAATCAAGATTCAGGAGTTGGGTGTGTTCATTGCTACTGCAATGATGTTTCTTCTAGGCCCTCTCAGTGGACATAGCTGGAATACACACAGAAAGAGAGACTATAAATATGCATATGTGTAAATATATGCATTCATTTGTATATGTGTGTATAGACACAAATGCATACGTAAACATGCATATCCGTATCTATTTCTGTACCTTTATGTATATGTATGTGTGTATATAAATACACATGTACACCTAACCATGAGTTAATACTGATACCTCCAATTCATTCTAGCACCACAGAGTTTATTTTAGTTTTCCTCCTTTCCATATTTATAATTTCCTTCTCCAACAGTGAAAGCCCTTACTCCTGCTACCCCCGGTATCTTTACTCATTTGCTGAAACCTAGATTAAACAGAAAGTAGTTTCAGGATTGCTAACCTTGCAACTACAGAAAATAAACCTACTTTCAAGTGTGTATTTAAAACACTATACATACTTAGCAGGATATATCCCTAAGTGGCTGGGGAGAGAAAAATCTTGAAATTTTTTGGTAATTATGTTTTGAGTGAGTTGTAATGGTATTGGTTTTCTGAAAATGTTATATTGTGGGACAAATCAAATGAGTACTGATATTGATGTGGTTGAAAATTGAGTTTTTCAACATGATTAAAGAAATACAGATGTGAGGTTGATGAAACTAAAATTCTTCAATCATAATTTGAACTAAAAATATCAGTATGACCTCATGATGTATTTTGTCTTATATATGCATATGTTTATATACACTCTACACACACAAACACTTCCTATATTTGCCCACTGAGTAGGCACTAGAAACCATGATCATCCCTAGTAGCAGGGACCACCTCTAGGGTATCCAGATTGTTGTCTGTAAGTTTTCTACCCCTGTCTATGGCTGGACTGTTTCTTAGCCACTTGCCCTGCAGCCTGGCAAGAGAGAGGAAAAGTTAGTTTTTCCCATGCTATGAAGACCTTTGCTCTGGTCTTCCTGGTGGCCCTGCTGTGCACAGAGACCCCAGGGTCTGTTCTGTTGCCCATGCTTGGTGGCCTCACACATAAGCTCTTGCCTGCCAGCTATGTGCTCCTTCCTCAGTGGGGTCTGGGTCTCCCCGGAAGTGACCAGGATTGTTGAGTCTAAGAAAGTGACAGTGGAGAACAAGTTCTGCCTTCCCTCCTGCCCCCAAGAACAACTTGGTAAACCAGGATGTATTGGTTCATTTTCACACTGCTGATAAAGACATACCGGGGACTGGGACGAAAAAGAAGTTTAATTGGACGTACAGTTCCACATGGATGGGGAGGACTCAGAATCATGGCGGGAGGCGAAAGGCTCTTCTTACATGGAAGCGGCAAGAGAAAATGAGGAAGAAGCAAAAGCAGAAACCCCTGATGAGCCCATCAGATCTCATGAGACTCATTAACTATCGTGAGAATTGCATGGAAAAGACCAGCCCCCATGATTCAGTTACCTCCCTGCTGAGTCCCTCCCACAGTGTGGGAATTCTGGGAGATACAATTCAAGTTGATATTTGGATGGGGACACAGCCAAATCATATCACTCTGCCCCTGGCCCCTCCAAATCTCATGTCTTCACATTTCATGCCTTCCCAACAGTCCCCGAAAGTCTTAACTCATTCAGCATTAACCCAAAAGTCCACAGTCCAAAGTCTCATCTGAGACAAGGCAAGTCCCTTCTGCCTATGAGCCTGTAAAATCAAAAGCAAGTTAATTACTTTCTAGATATGATTTGGATACAGGTATTGGGTAAATACAGCCATTCCAAATGGGAGAAATTGGCCAAAACAAAGGGGGCCCATGGAAGTCCAAAATCCACCGGAGCATTGAAATTTTAAGGCTCCAAAATGATCTCCTTTGACTTCAGGTCTCTCATTCAGGTCATGCTGATGCAAGAGGTAGTCTTGGGCAGCTCCACACCTGTGCCTTTGCAGGGTACAGCCTCCCTCCCCCAGCAGCTTTCTTGGGCTGGCATTGAGTGTCTGTGGCTTCTCCAGGCACACAGTGCGAACTGTCAGTGGATCTACAGTTCTGGGTCTGGAGGATGGTGCCCCTCTTCTCACAGCTCCACTAGCCAGTGACCAAGTAGGGACTCTGTGTGGGGGCTCCGACCCCACATTTCCCTTCCGCACTGCTCTAGCAGAGGTTCTCCATGAGGACCCCACCTCTGCAGCAAACTTTTGCTTGGACATCCAGGCATTTGCATACATCTAAAATTTAAGTGGAGGTTCCCAAATCTCAATTCTTGACTTCTGTGCACCCTCAGGCTCAACACCACGTGGAAGCTGCCAAGGTTTGGTGCTTTCACCCTCTGAAGCCACAGCCTGAGCTGTACATTGGCCCCTTTCAGCCATGGCTGGAACAGTTGGGACAGGGCAACAAGTCCCTAGGCTGCACACAGCACAGGGACCCTGGGCCCAGCCCACAAAACCACTTTTTCCTCCTAGGCCTCCGAGCCTGTGATGGGAGGGGCTGCCATGAAGGTCTCTGACATGGCCTAAAGACTTTCCACATGCTCTTGGGGATTAACATTAGGCTTCTTGTTACTTATGCAAATTTCTGTAGCCAGCTTGAATTTCTCCCCAGAAAATTGATTTTTCTTTTCTATCGCATAGTCAGGCTGCAAATTTTCCAAATTTTTATTCTTTCCTTCCCTTATAAAACTGAATGTTTTTAACAGAACCTAAGTCACCCCTTGAATGCTTTGCTGCTTAGAAATTTCTCCCACCAGATACCCTAAATCATCCTTCTCAAGTTCAAAGTTCCGCAAATCTCGAGGGCAGGGGCAAATGCCACTGGTCTCATTGCTTAAATGTAACAAAAGTCACGTTTGCTCTAGTTCCCAACAAGTTCCTCATCTCCTTCTGAGACCACTTCAGCCTGGACCTTATTGTCCATATCTCTGCCAGCATTTTGGGCAAAGCCATTGAACAAGTCTGTAGGAGGTTCCAAGCTTTCCCACATTTTATCTTCTTCTGAACCTTCCAAACTGTTCCAACCTCTGCCTATTACCCAGTTCCAAAGTCGCTTCCGCGTTTTCGGGTATCTTTTCAGCAACGCCCTGCTTTACTGGTACCAATTTACTGTATTAGTTCATTTTCATACTGCTAATAAAGGCATATCCAAAACTGGGAACAAAAAAAGGTTTAATTGGACTTACAGTTCCACATGGCTGGGGAGGCCTCAGAATCATGGCAAGAGGCGAAAGGCTGTTCTTACATGGCGGCGGCAAGAGAAAAATGAGGAAGAAGCAAAAGTAGAAATCCCTGATAAACACATCAGATCTCATTAACTATCACTAGAATAGCACTGGAAAGACTGGCCCCCGTGATTCAGTTACCTCCCCGCTGGCTCCCTCCCACAACACATGGGAATTCTGGGAGATAAATTCAAGTTGAGATTTGGATGGTGACACAGCCAAATCGTATCACAGAAATATGCAAATTTTGGGCACCAAGATGAACTTCAAGCTTTCTTATTGCAAGGAGGACCTCTGTAACACAGTGGGCCAAGTGGCAGGAGGTGCCTGGGATCCACCCTCCTTTAGCCCTGCTTTGATGGCCATTTCCTGTACCCCCGCCCCAGTGGCCTCTCTTCTGTCCCAGTACTTACTGGGCTTCTTAGTGTTTGGGCCGCTTTAGTACTAAGTATAGGAATTCTGGTGTCATTTTCAGCCATGAGGTTAGGGGAAGAATGTGGGCAGGGCATGGGTGGGGGCTTCCATATCCAGGGATTCTGGCACTGGGTGAGTCCCTTATGGGCAAACATAGGATTCCTGCTTAGACTTACCCCTTTCTCTGGGCCCAGTAACTTCAAATCCAACTCAAACAGCCTGGCCTCTGACACAGGGGACCCATTGCTTGCAATTCTGGACTCCAGGATCAAGATCACGGGGCAGGAGCAGAAGTCCAAGGCTCCAGACTTGCTCTGCCACTAACTCACAGAGGAGCAAGGGCCACATGTCTTACTGCTCTGGGCCAAGATAAGGAAGGACCTGGGGTGTCCAGTGATACCTGCAGGGCTCACTCACATGGCATGGCCACCTCTTCCTCTCAGTGTCAGTAATCACCCCTCTGCTTGCTTACTCAGGGAGAAAAAACATTCCCGCTAAAAGAGACTAGGACTTCTGGAAACAAAATGGCTGAAGCCAGGTCTGGACAGGAAATGTACAAGAGGAGTGTGGAATATGTTGAAAGCAAGGGAACTATTGAAAGACTACCAGTCTTTGATATAACATACAAACATAAATGTACACATATCCATACCTATTTCTATATCTGTGTGAGTATGTGTATGTATATGTGTGTATATATACATATACACCTAACCATGAGTTCATACTGATACCTTCAGTCCATTCAAATACTGCAGAGTTGATTCTCGTCTTCCTTTTTTCCACATTTGACTAGGTCATGTTGAAGGAACTCAGGAGCCAACTTAGAGAGGCTCCCATGAGCCAAATGTGAACAGCAATAAGAATAATAACTGCAGTGCAGTAAAACATGGCAGATATATTTAAGTGCATGCCTTCATTGTATCCCATAAAGAAGTAATAAAAAAAATTTCATTGGTCACTTTTTGGGATGTTATTTTGGAAACTGATTAAATAAAGAGAATCAAATATTTAGCTTGTCCCTCCTATATGAACTGTACATTAGGGTAGCCCCTGATGAATTAACAGATCTAGGCAATGATCATCAATTCAAAAGAAAGATGACCAGATACCATCTGCCTCTTGGTGTACATTCAGATGCTCAAATCTTAAGCTGATCAGGTTCCAAGGTAGAACTCCTAGTTTAGAGAAAATACAGGAAATAAAGGTACCTGTTCAGTGACACAGCAGAAATGCAGTTGTTTTTAAGTGTGACAATGATAATAATATATATTTTACAAGAGTTTGTATCTTTAGAAATGTGTATTGAAATATGTAAGAATGAAACAGTATGATGCTTAGGATTTATTTACTTCCTAACAATCTGGGAGGGTGGAGTGTGGTAAAAATAAACGAGATTGTCCGTAAGAGGTCATTATACTTCCCTATATTTTGATCTATGTTTGAAAATTTCAGTAGCAAAATTTTAAAAATAAATTTTCAGTGCTACCAGCTCTGAAGCATATCTTCCAAGAGGACAGGACAGCATCCTGGGAATGTGTGCCACTCACAAGTTGCCTTGCACAGACCACAGCAGGGCGGGGGCACAGGATGGGACACCATGTCCTTCTCATTGCTTTATCCCTGGCACGCAGTAGTCAGTACACAATGGGAGAAGAAATGAGTGGCCACGGAGGGTGGCAGCCAACCTTTGGGTATAAATTCTGTTCTGAAATCAGTCCTGTTACTTGTAACCGAGAGTTGGCCACTCACACCACATGACATTTAAGCACTCCCCTATTCCCAGGGTTGCTGCCGTTTATACATACGGTGACGTGATGCATATGACTCTTCTTCTTCCCAGGCTCAGGCCCGATGTCACCGCATAGGCCAGAGCAAAGCTGTGAAGGTGTATCGCCTCATCACTCGAAATTCCTACGAGCGCGAGATGTTTGACAAGGCCAGCCTAAAGCTGGGGCTGGACAAGGCTGTTCTTCAGGACATCAACCGAAAGGGCGGCACCAATGGGGTGAGTGTGATGGGCCTGCTCTGGAGTCTTAAGGAACATTGGTCGCACAGCCCAGACAGGCTTCTCTTCTTACAGCTGTTTAAGGGTTCACTTTCGCTGCATTGAGCCAGCCCTCACATCATTATTGGGTAATTCCCTACAACAGGGCATCGTTAAGAGTCAGGTGTCTGTGTTTTCTGGGTGGTTAAAGGAAATCCGTAGAAGCAGTTATGAGGTAGGATTGCCCAGCTTGGTGTAACATTTCAGTAAACAGAGTTTTTAACTGTGCCCGTTAGAAGCCAGTAGATCTTAACATTGTATTTGTTACTGTGCCTTATCTCATACCTCAGACTTTGAGCTTTGAGAGTGTACTGGGACCAATTTTATCTATGTCCCCTCGGCCCCTAACAGTGCTCGGCATATTAAAAACATAAAGTGCTGGATGGTCAGTAAATGAATGAATAAATTAGCAGCTTAAAATAAGGCAGTTAAAATATTTTTCCCCCTTTGGGGGCATAAGAATTACAGCTAAGATTCTTAAATTGTCCTAAAGTATCTTAAAGTATAGGCAAACAAAGCAGAATATTTCCTTAATCTCTGGGCTCAGGGCATCAAAGATTGGATGCTTAAACCTTCTAAATGAGTTGTCTTTAGTCCAGATGTTCCATATCCTCTTAGCTATGCATATGTTGCTAAGTATAATACTTCAAGTTAGTCATGCAGAGAGTCATGGAATTCCCTCTTGTGATTGATATAAAGAGAACCAGATTCTTAATTAGAACCAGAAAAGGGTGTTTGGGACCCCATTTCCTGTTTTTTTTGAGAAGATCACATTTATCATGGGATCATTTTTTTTTTAGTTGAGAAATGACCTCATTTACAATACTAATATACATATTTATTTAATAATGAATAAATCATTGTTCTTCTGCTTGTTTGGTACATCTGGAGGTTTTTAAAGATACAAGCTCTAACTAAAATATAAAGATGTCAAAAGTACCATCTTCAATGATGCATAGTTATAGTGGCTTGTGACATCTGATAATAACCAACATCCTGAAGAATGTTAGGGACCTTGGATCATGTGCTGAGCTTTATTTCAGAGCTGCCTATAGAGGACTGTCTGCCTGCCCTCCCCAGAGTATCGCATCTGGGATTTCACTAGCTGAAGTTTGTTGCCCACGTCCTTTGTTCTAACATGTAGTTCATGGAGGAACTATGCACTGAATCACAAAAACCAGATTTGAGGCTGTTTTTCTCCTATACATTTTCCACTTTGTGAGTAGCCTTTGGTGACCTGTCCAGGTACAGCAGCTCTCAAAAATGGAGGTGGAGGACCTACTCCGGAAAGGTGCTTATGGAGCCTTAATGGATGAAGAAGATGAAGGCTCCAAGTTCTGTGAAGAAGACATAGACCAGATTCTGCAGAGGCGAACGCACACCATCACCATCCAGTCTGAGGGGAAAGGGTCCACTTTTGCCAAGGTACAGGGCCTTCTCTCCAGAGCTGTTGGGGGTGGGAGAGAAAAAAAAATGTTTATTCTCTGAAACCCATTAGCAGGGCTTCTGTTTCTCTGAATGCAAATCCTAGAAATTGGCTGCACATTTAGTCTGCGTGACTATCTAAAGATATAGATCCTTAGAGGAAGGAAGTCTGAATAGGGAGTCAGGGACTATACCAAGAAAATACCACTCCTCACCTTTGAGAGCTGATCTTTAACAGACAGAATAAACACTCCTATTCTCAGTTGGCTCTGTTTGCAAGGACTGCTCTGAAACCTTCCAGTGGACATCTTGATTCCCTTGTAGAGCACTTCTTGATCACTGATAGAGAGTGGAAGCTCCAGTGAACACTCCATTCCCCAAACTCAAGCAATTTGTTTGTTTGTTTAATGGGAAAGAGATTTTACGTAAAATTCCCAGCTTCTAGTCTGGGTGCCTCTTTTCTCTGCTGTTTAGGCCACTGGATTTAAAACTTAGCAGATCACTCTCAGGTTTCCCTAGCCACAACCACTGCTGATTCCTGTGTGAGCTTTGTGACCTGTTTGATTAAATCTCCTGTTTGGTGACACCTGAAAGTTTTTTAGTGGGACGTTCAGTGTTTTATAAGGAGGATATGGGTGAACCATCCCTTGTCTCTACACCTCATACTGCCCAGCCTAATACCTTTTCCATAGCAGACATTTGGTAACTGTTGCACTGAAAGAAAAATCTAGAAAAGTTTTAAGTGTTAACTCTTTCATAGGAAACTAGACACCAAGTGTCACATTGCCATTGTCTTCCGGGGTTTGCCTTCCTGCTTCCAAGCTTAAGCTCCAAAAAAAAATGATCCCTTCAGTTGAAATTATGATTTCCTCACCCAATTTTTAAAATAAAAGGTAAAAAAAGAATAGCCTTGAGATTTTCAATTCATTTTGGAAGCTCTGTTAAGGGTTTGATTTTGAATGCAAATAGATAATATACTTAGGTTTCTCTTGAAGTAACACTGGTGTTTTATTAGTTTGTATTGTGTTCAAGCACAGTTTATTAATTCTTGTCTTCTTCACAGGCTAGCTTTGTGGCTTCAGGAAACAGAACAGATATTTCCTTAGATGATCCTAACTTTTGGCAGAAATGGGCTAAAATAGCTGAACTAGACACTGAAGCAAAGAATGAAAAGGTACAGCAAAATAATATTTTATTCCATGGAACATTCACTTATGTCATACATGACAATAAATTCCTACACAGCTCAAGTCATTATTTACTCTTGAGTCTTGGTTCTTAAATGGTATTTGTACCATGCTTAAAATATGCCTGGCACATAGACATCACTCAATAAATCTTAACTGTTGTCATTTTTAAATGGCCATTCAGTCTGTTGGGCACCTGGGAAATTAGATGAAGGCAATTAGAACTGGAACTGGATACACAGGTCAAGTTCAGGCCTCTGCCTCAAACCAACATTCTATCCCTGGCATGTGACTATTTTATTTGTATTTCAACACTTTCTGTGAGAGAAACTTCACACATAATAGAGGGAAAAAGCATGACAAAAGTTTGTTGGCTTTACCTCCATTCTTTCAGTGTCTCATGTTTTCTTAATTCTGAACATGAGAAAGAGAATGGACTTGAGAGTGAAACCAGAGTATGCCTTCGGATGAAGCTTTTGACCCCCGCTGAGATTAGTAGAAGAGGAGGTGGTCAGGCCCACACTGTGGGGTTACAAGGTAACATTTGTGGGTATAACTGGCACCAGTGCCCAGCCCACTGTGAGGCACCCCTTAAATGTTGATTTCCCGTCCTTCATCTCTGACCCTGTCACCTCACTTCAGGATGAGTGTCTTCTCAGGTGAGTATTGAACTCTCATGGTTCCACAAAGCCAGGAGACAGTCCCTGCTTGTAGCTAGCTAATTCAGTAACCAGCACCCAGCCAGAACGACCACAGGTTGCTTAATCCACCCTCTTTTCTCCTATAAATAGAAATGCTGATTTTCCTCTTTTAAGAAGATCCTGCAGTCCCCTTTAGTAACCTGTTCTAAGTGTTTCACAGTGTCGCAATCAAGAAGCTACTGTGTGTGCAGGACACTGGGTCCAAGCAAGGGGAGAAAGCACTGTGGCCCTGTAGCCAGGCAGAAGCAGTTGGAGCCTTCCGTGTTGGGAAGCACGGTGATCAGAGCAGGGATAACACGACATTTGTTATCTGGGCTGTGTGGAGGAGTAGTCAGGAGGCTGGCCTGGCTTGGGGAAGAGGTATGGGGGAAGGAGTGAGGAGCAGGAAGCAATGGAGACTAGAGAAGACACATAGCCAGGGGAACCATCAGAATGACCGAGGCTCCTGAGCTGGAGATGGTATTGTCAGTGAAAGGCAAAAGGTTAGTGGATAGAACCAGTCGAAGGCAGATAAATAAAGCAGGAATATGCGTTTGTCTTCAGAAAGTTGCTGAGCAGATGGAATTCTCTAGCTTGTCTTGTCTCCAGAGTGCAGACTGCTCTCTGCATGCTGGGCAGAACAGCTGGGTCTTCACTACTCCAGTCTTTCTTGGCTAGAGCCGACACCACTTTGGTCACTGGGGGGGGGCCTTGCCTGCCCACACCCCGGGTAGAATGACTGCAGAAACAACAGATGGTGACAAGCAGCACTGGGGGCCAGGGAGCACATCAACTTGAGCAAGTCCCAGAGAATCTTCTCTGCTTGTCCTGTGGTCATGGAGACAGCAGGTGTGCTGGGAATAGCCCTTCGTGCTGGAGGATGAGACGGGGCATGGTTCTATCCCAAATGTGTCCTGAGGATACACTTATGCTTTGTGAAAGGAGTAGAGAAAAGAGGACTTTCTTCCCAGTAGTCCTCTCCATTTCTAGGAAAGCTTAGTGATCGACCGACCTCGCGTGAGAAAGCAGACCAAACACTACAACTCGTTTGAGGAAGACGAGCTCATGGAGTTTTCAGAGTTAGACAGCGACTCAGACGAAAGGCCCACGAGATCCAGGCGCCTCAATGACAAAGCCAGGCGCTACCTCCGAGCGGAGTGCTTCCGGGTAGAGAAGAACCTGCTCATCTTTGGGTGGGTATTGGCTCTGCTTAGTTTTGTTGTTATTGTTGTTTGTTCCCCTCTGTTTTTCAGTCCCTGAGATTTGTCTAGGATGTCTCTCCAGTCACCTTTGGAATTATAGGGCAAAGGGGGATCTGTTGGAGCAAGAGAGAACTGTGCCTTCTGCCCAGAATCCGTCTCAGTCACCGTATGCTCCGCAACCACAATGCAGACATGCCATGATTTTCTCATATGCCTGTCACAACAAATCTCTGGTCCTAATTTGCTGTCTGGTACTGATTTCCTGCTTCCTCCCACCCCGCAAGGATATACAAGGAGTCCACACAACACATGTTATCGCCAAGGCATGATTCGTGCAGGGCTTTGGCTCTGGTAGAAATCAAAGGTTCAGCTGCCATGAGCTCATCATTGCTTTTGAATAGTGCTGTTGGACTCTTTTTGATTCCAAATTTATTCCCTGCTCCCAGTAGTTTGGTCCCTCCCTTTTTAACATTGTAGTGGCCATATGAAGCTCTCAGTGTCCAACGTCCAGGTCACTTTAGTGATATTCGGTGTGCTACAGTCAGGTGGTCCTCAAAGGCCTTTCGGGACAAAGCCCTTGGGATGATTAACAGACCTACAGAGAACAAAAAGCATGTATGGCTCTTGTTTCTCCTCCTGTGGGGAGGCTGCCTGCATGGCCTGGTCCATTCTCCCTCCAACACCTGTCTGTATGTCCACTGTCAGCTGGGGCCGGTGGAAGGACATCCTGACTCATGGCCGATTCAAGTGGCATCTGAACGAGAAGGACATGGAGATGATTTGCCGTGCCCTCCTGGTGTACTGTGTCAAGCATTATAAGGGGGACGAGAAGATCAAGAGTTTCATTTGGGAACTGATCACACCTACCAAAGATGGGCAAGCCCAGACCCTCCAGAACCACTCAGGTGAGAGGTGGCAGGGCCATGCCTAAGAAGCACGATTCCCATGCACTTCATCCCCTCTTCCTCTGCGGGGCCGTATTGCTGTGCTTTGGGGGACTTCTCTTTCTCGGGTGTTTTTCAGAATGTTACCAGTGGGAAAAGATGTTGCTTTCGTTTCTGCCTCAGAATCTCCCAGTGTTACCTGTGATATTTTGTTGAAGTACAACTGGACCCTCTTAAAGTTTCCCACATCTGGTCCTGCCCACTAACCTGAGTCTCACACAGACTCCCCCTCTGAATTAGGGATGCACAGTGACTTGCCTTTTGCATTTCACCATCCTGTCCCTGTCCCACCTCTGTCTGTGCCTTTTCTTGTGCTACATTCCTTCCCTATCCTTGGCTAAGGCTCCCCTTGAAGTTTTAGGTCAAATGTTCCTTTTCTCCCAGCCAGGTTGTAAGTTCCCAAAGGGCACAGGTTATGTTACACCTTTCTTAATCCTCACAGGGTACTTGGGAAATCTTACTGACAAACTAAATGGTCCTGGAGTTTATTTGTTTACTAAGGAGGAGACCAAGTGCATGGCCTTCCTTCCTACCACCACCACCTGTGGGCTAAGGAGTAGGGTCTGCCATCCAGAGCACAGCCCAACTCTGTTCTAACAAACCCCAGCCCAGCTCTTCTAAAACCCGTGTGTAACACCCCCCTTGGCTATCCACTTGCCCTATGCTGTCTTTCTGTTTCAGGCTTATCTGCCCCAGTCCCCAGAGGGAGGAAGGGGAAGAAGACGAAGAACCAGTTGCTAATCCCAGAGCTAAAGGATGCAGATTGGCTAGCCACCTGCAACCCCGAGGTGGTCTTGCATGATGATGGCTATAAGAAACACCTCAAACAGCACTGCAACAAGTGAGTGTCCCTCCTCCCCATACCCTGGTGGCAGCCCGGCTCAGACTGCTTCGATTCCTGGGAACCCCACAGGGAGAGCACTTCATGCTCTTGTGCTACTTCTGTGCAAGGTCTAGAAAGACAGGATGTGTTATCTGTGGTCTAAGCTGGCTCAGAATTCATGTTACAGCTCCTATAACTCCTTTAACAGTACCTCTGCTCTCCCGCAGAACCTGGCCCCTCTGCCACTGCATTGTATATACCCCTGAGGATTTTTCTATTTTGACTCTCAAAAACCAGTCAGGTCATCCTCTGCCCCTGAGGTCACATTAACAAGGGCAGAACATTGTGGCCTTGGTCGCTGCCACTCTCAGCCACCTCTTCCAGTTTGCTGTTGCCATTCATGGCCTTCAGTTATTTGATAGGCATGCATTTGAGATAGTATGCTTTGTATCTGTAGGCTAACAGCTGGGGTCGGGTGGGATGGAGACAGCAAAAAAAAAAAAAACTGATTGAAAAACAAAACTTTGTTCATATTTAGTTTAGTCTTGGGGACTTGGGGCATTCAGCGACAAAACAATGGCAAGTTTGCATGTGGATATTTGCACCACTGTGCAATGTATCTGACCCTTGGAAATGATCTAATTCATGTCAAGGTCATGCAAGAGTTATCTTCCCAGCATTCCTGGTAGGCAGTGTGAGGGCCTCCGGTCGCACACCTCTGGTAATCAAGAGTTTATTACTTTATAGGTTAAGAGCTTTTGCTTGGGTTTTCCCGTCTCCCTATAACATCTTCTTAATGATTTTGTAGTTGTTGGGTTGTGGGGTGTTTTGTTTTGTTTTTTTTCTTTTACAGATAAAGTATAATCCTTTCCCTTGATCACCTCAAATATTTGAAGATAAGTCTCATGCCCAATACTGTAATAAAAACTAATGTACACAAAAGTACAAGCTCTTCAGAGACAGCAGTAAGCACTCAAAGTGTTGTTATTATTAGTACTATATTATTTTAGGCATGAAATTGTCATCAAAAGAACCTTTAAAAAGTTAAAAAGCACTGCTTCAAATCTAAGCTAAAAGCAGACAGGATAATGGTTATCCACTGGGGATGGGATGTAACTGTAAGGGAATACCAAGGGGACTTCAGGGAGAATATTCTGCTTCCTGATCTAGATGCTGAATACACATGTATGTTTTGTTTGTAGGAATTCATTAAGCTATACATGTTTGCAGTGTGCACATTATGGAAGTATATTTCACATCAGTAAAATACTTTTAAAAAGAAAAAAGGATATGTCGCCACCCAAAATATTAATGGATTGTTTTCTTTGGCTAAACCAAGGGTGTTACAAACCTGCTGCAGTTGTGTGTCCCTTTGAGTTCAGACACCAGCTTGGAGGAGGGGGCTGGCTATAAGGAATTGTCCATCCATCCTCTGAATTGATTTCCCTTCCATTTGGAGGAGAATTGAATACTATTGGCTTTCAATTCTGTTCTCTCATGCTGCAGATATTGTTAGACGTCAACACATTTGTTTCTCTTTATAGAAATGGAAACAGCTCTCCCTGTCTTAGGGAGACAGACATTTTCAGGAAAGCCCTACTCTAATTGAGCTAAGTCTCAGCAGGCAGGACTCTGACATTCTGTTCCACTTTTTACTAAAGCTGACAGCTACGACCATCTACAAATTAAGGATTGGCAGTGGTTGTAAATTTTTAAGAGTTCTTATTCTCTGGGCTTTAAAAATAAATAAATAAACAAACAGGTTGGGTGCAGTGGTTCACGCCTATAATCCCAGCACTTTGGGAGGCCGGGGCGGGTGAATCACCTGAGATCAGGAGTTCAAGACCAGCCTGGCCAACATGGTGAAACCCCATCTCTACTAAAAATATAAAAAATTAGCCGAATGTGGTGGTGGGCACCTGTAATCCCAGCTACTCGGGAGGCTGAGGCAGGAGAACCGCTTGAACCCAGGAGGGGGAGGTTGCAGTGAGCCAAGATCGCGCCATTGCACTCCAGCCTGGGCGACAAGAGCAAAACTCCATCTCAAAAAAAAAAAAAAATACTCTCAGAATTATTTGAGTTGATTGACAGCTGAGATGAGAAATGTTATACCAGAGATAATAAGGGTTCTTTCCAATCTATAAGTTCTAACTTTGTGTGTTTCCACCTACAACTTGAGCCCACAGTGGCACTTTCTACCCAGATCTAATAGGTAGAAATGATGCTTTCTCAGAGGCCTTACCCCTTTGTCATAGTCCATTTTCTGCTGCTATAACAGAATACCACAGACTGGGTATTGGCTCATGACTCTGCAGGCCGGGATGCCCAAGAGCACGATAACGGCTTGTGGGCAAGGGTCATCCGATGGCGAAAGGCATTACTTTTGTTATATACCTATAGCACCCGGCATGATGCAGAGCATATAGTAGTTGCCCAGCAAATACTTGCTTAATTGCTTTGTCTGAGACATGTTTGATGCATTCCCTTGGAGCCTGAGTGTGGTCCATACAGAATAAAAATGAATTGAGCACCTCAGAAGAGAAGACATATTGCCACGAAAAATAGACACTTGCCTTTATTCATTTATTCATTTAACTGTGTACAAGTGAAACTGTTTGAAAACACCACTGTTCACCCTGCTCACTCTTCAGTAGCTGGCCTCTCGGAAGCCACCTCTGCCTAAGAGGTCACTGTGGCCACATGGAAGGGGTGAGTACTCTTAAAGATGAGAAGAGCTGTCTGTTCCTGCTGCCTCCTGTGGCTCACAGGATGATCTAACAGATAACTGATGTGGTCATTTTTTTTTGTAAAATAGGAATGATCATAATAATGTCTGCCATAATGTTTTGTTTTTCTAGTGCCTTCTCTTCTATTACTTCATAATATTAACTACATGGGAATGCCCAGAATTTCCCAGTGTTAACTTGGGGATGTGGTTCACAGACAGTTATGGGTTCTAATTTGTTTGCATTAATGTGTTCACCTTTCATAGAGTACTTTTGCGAGTCCGGATGCTGTACTACCTAAAAGCTGAAATACTGGGAGAAGCAGCTGAGAAAGCATTTGAAGGATCTCCTGCCAGGTAAAGCAAATGAAACTTAACATATCAACGTTAAAGAATTGACATAAAATGCCTATTCATGGAGCTGGCCAAACTTGCCTGTGCTTAAAGAGGCCCATGTTCCTCCTACCCCCTGCCCAGGACCGGTGTCCCAGATGGGAGAACAGGCAAGTAGAATAAGGACAATTCATCAGGTCATCTACAAATAAAATAAAGGAGAAAACCATTTCTTAGAAACCTAGCTTTTGGTGAGTTAGTTCATTTTATTTCCCTCAAAAGTGTTATAAATTTTCTTTTAAAACAGTCATTTACTGTAGAACGAGTGTCGGTTACTGATCTGACATGTATAGACTGGAAGTTTTACCCACCATCCTGTTCTTTGCCTTAGTACTCATATACATATTTTCTTTATTTGCTAATCATATTAATAATATGTGCGGCCTATTCATTTTGTTGCATGTTAGTTTTGCAAATTAGTGTTTGGAAAGCTATAGAATCCTGTGGGAGTATCCCAAGATTTCCAAGATTGAGGCTACCAGGTTCTCAGCTTCCACTTAATAAAGCTGTCAGAAAGCCCCAGTTTATAAATGGGATCACCAGGTGCAGTTTGCTAGCCCTGTGCACACCTGTCATTCCTACAGAATACCAAGAGTGCTGATATTTGGACTTTGTGTTGAGATTACCTGGGGCCGTGGTTTCTTCTTTCTCTTGCTTTCCATTGAGCAATGCTAGTGTCTGTAGAGGTCATAGGAGCACTAAAGTAAGAGAGAGAGGGACATAGACAACCCGACCCATGGGGCAACTTGTAATCAGAGCCAGGCTCCTCAGCAACTGTTACCACTTTCTATGCCTTTCAGAGTCACTATTGTAATTTCCAGCAGGGATGGGGAGGTTGTGTGTTTGGTAGACAGGTTCAATTTGAGTCGTATAAATGCAGCAGAATTCCACCTGATAATATCCATCAAGTGTTACCTGGCAGAAGTACTCTGAACTTACCGCTGTCATGTGTAGGAAGTCATAGGTGGTAGCTAGGTAGAACACAGAGAGAGTAAGTCTGCTGCCCACCCTCTTCCTTCCTCTGCGTTCCTCTGTCTCTTACTGCTGCTCTTCAGGTTGAATACCTTCTTGTGGAGAAGTTGCCATGAGGCATGAACAGCAGTTCATCCCATAAAAGTCATTCAGCCATGGCACTGGGCAGGCAGAGCCATGGATCCCTGGAAAGGTGGGGGTCAGGAAACACTATCCCCACAGAGGGAGCTGGGACTAGTAGGGAGCATTCGGTCCTGTGTCACAGTAAGAGTCTGACGGAAGAAGAAACTTCAGAGGCAGCTGGAGGGGGAGGGAGAAGCCATCCAGATGCATGCTATTCCCTAAACCTCAAAGCCTTAAAGAGCGAGGACTGTACTCAGATGAATGAAGACAGTGAACTTAGGGTTTATGTGAGCTCTCCAAACACGTTACAGAAACTCAGAGAGGGGCTAACACCTGCATGTCTGTGCCCTGGGGTGAGTTATGTGCATCCCTTTGGCCAGGAACAATGCAGTTTTTGATCAATTTTGATCTAATAGACCACTGCCAGGAGGTGCCACCTGTTATGGCACTTACCCTCTGAAAGGCCCTCCTGATATACCGACTTGTTCCAGTGTGGACTCTTGGTCTTAAATGGTGCGTAAGATCTCTACTTGTTGAGGCAACATACTGAGCCACGATGATTTGGGCACTATTTTAAACATACAATCATGTATGAATTCAACTCTTGGGGAAGCTCTACCTTCAGATGTCCAATATATCAATGGCCTTTGCTGTGGTTCACATAAGGTGCACATTAGAACTCTATACATATGGATCCCAAGATGCCACCCTGGACCAACTGACATTGCGTTCTCCAAGAGGTGCTTCAAGACTGTGTCAGTCTGTCAAAGGTAGAGCCTGGAAATCAAGTACTTATGCTTAAATCACTGCCTAAGTGATTCTCATGCAAAGCCCTGGTTGAGAAACAATGACCCACAGCCTTCCTAACCCTTTTGTTTATTGTTACTTTAGCATCTCAGCATGCCAGTAGGACTGTGGCCTAATACCAGGGTTGGACCAGTAGCTTTTGTGTTGTTTTGAGTCTACACCCTTCCTTCCCTAGGGAGCTGGATGTACCTCTGCCTGACATCGACTACATGGAGATCCCAGTGGACTGGTGGGATGCTGAAGCCGATAAGTCACTTCTCATTGGCGTGTTCAAGCATGGTGTGTATTTCTCTGAAGGCGTTCCCTTCTGTATCAGTTTCCCCCAGGAAGGATGAGTTCAGCCCCTCCAACTAAGCTCGGCATGTTCCTGCAAAACTCTATCATTCTGTTACACATTCATCTTAAAAAGTAGAGCTTCACAGCTGCCCTCTTGGAATTTCCACCAGATGAATGTATGGCTCACAATAATACTGCGAATTTTATATTATTGAGGAACATTCAGGCCACAAAGAACCTGTTTGGTGTATATCTTCCTCCCTCGCCTGTCCATGCTGTCGGATATGGGACTGCCTCTAATAGTCCCAGTGCATGGCACATAGTAGACACCTTGAATGAAGGAGTAAATAAATGGCGGGAAATGCTAAGTTTCAGCATTTCTTATATATGCAGAATTATAAGGTCATTCTCGATAATCTACATCTTCCTAGTGTGTATCTTTTACCCCACTGGCATTTTAAAAACTAAGCATAGAAGATAGCATAGACTGTCTTTTTAAAAATGTGGTAATTGAGCCACTAAAGGGGACTGAGAGGTTTTTTAAACACTTGGAAAAACTGAAGTAAGTGCTCCCTTTCTTCACCTCTGGCAGTGTTTGAAACAACTGCCCTTGCTTTCAGCCAACTGCCAGCCATTAAAATGAATGATGAAAGTGTCAAGTGATAGTCACCCATAGTATGCCTGATACACACTTTCCCTGCCAGGTGAATCAACAGAAATTTTAAAATGAGGAGCAAGGTTTAAAGTGAAAAGAGTTAGGTATACCTGGCTTTAGCTATCAACTCCACTACTTACTAAAATGTGTGACATTGGGCAAGTCATAAGCTTCTCTTATTTTCTCACTTATACAATGGAGGAGGTATAGTATCAAAACAGCCTACCTAGGGGTTGTTTAAAGATTAAATATTACATTAAATGTAGACCACCTAGAACAGTGCTTGGTACATAATAGGTGCTGGGTGCTATTCCACTCTCCCATATTACTCTGCCTTTGGAAGGTTGTTAACTTTCTAATACGTATTCTTTAAAGGGAATTCTTCAACTTTTACAGGCTAACCAGCTATATTTAAGTAACAACCATGCCTATACATATTTTAATTTGGAATCCACTCAAAACTTGGATACTGGTATTGAGAATGCAGGCTTCAGGTGGTGCAGTGCTGCTGAGAACCCTTTGTCAAACCGCCGGGGTTAGGCTAAAGCGGTGCTGTCCGGTAGAACTACATGCAATCATAGACATGCCCTAATTCTGCACTGTCTGCTGTGGAAGCCACTAGCCCTGTGTGGCTATTGAGCACTTAAAATGTGACTAATGTAACTGAGCAAGTGTATTTTTATGTACTTTTAATTAATTTAAATTTAAATAGCCCCATGTAGCTAGTGGCTCCTCTGTTGGACAGTGCAGGGATAGAACTCAGCTCCAAAGTAGAAGGAAGTGCGTGATCTCCCTGTTAGTCACAAGGTACCGCAGTGCAACCCAGACTTGGTTTAACCTAGTTTTGGAAGGACCCCAGAAGACAGTAGGCTGCTAAAGGCAGCCAGATTCCAGAGCATCTGAATTTGGTTTGTGGGGGAAGGCCTAGTGACCCTGAGTCTCATTTCAGTGGTGGTTTTAGGGCACATTGCCAAGTCCCTGCATGGCAACAACATGCTGAGAAAAGAGAACACATCTGAAGTCCCAGAAGTATGGCAGGTAGAATTTACATGCTGCTACTTCTTCCTCCCCCACCCCAACACACCCACCATAGACATACAGAAAACCAAGGTGGATCAGGACTTGGAAGAAATAAGGGAAGTCCCCAAATGCAGAAGTCATTTAAAGCCAGAACTGAAAGCTTAGGGGCCAATATGACAGTGAACCAGAAGGACTGGGTTTTTAATACCCACAGAAATGGAAAACATGACTTTGAAAGGGCTGCCCCTCCAGGAAAGGGAAGCAAGAAAAAGCTCTGTGGTCCAAGAAAGCAGAGCTAAAGAAACAGATCCCTGAGTGATAAAGAAGATGAAGACATGAAAGAGAAGATGAGACTTAGAGGACAGAGTGAGGTTGACATCCAAGAGGTGAAACAAGACATCCCCAGAAAATACTAACAACCCGGTAAGGCAAATCAATATCACACACAGTCTGTGAGGCAAAAAGCATAATTTGGAAGAAAGGGGGTCATTACACAATGATGATAGATACAACTCACCAGGAAGATATAATTAATAATTCTCACGTGAAGGACATAGCCTTAGAATGTGTAAAAATGGACAGGAATCTAAGGAGGTCCAAGATGCCTTCTCACCTGGAAAAGACAGGTTATTATTGGTGCCCTACCTTCTAGTTTCCTAATCCCTAATCACTGTTCAGGGTATTGGGATTAATCAGTTGATCTCTTAGTCTCATATTGGAGATAGAGTCAGCCCAGATGATACATAAGGTCGCTCCCAAATTCTTCTGCTCGTTGAAGCAGTTTTGGGGAGTATAAATTAATTTGTGTTTGCTGATCACACCTGTGAGATGTTAAGATGACACTTCATCACTCAATTCCATTCAGATTCTCACAGATTGTCAGTTGAGGTGAACTTGGAATTTACAGTTACAGCTGAGGGGCAGAGGCCTTGAAGGTGATTTGTGCAGTGTCTGAAGTGTCTCATTGTACAGGATGAGTTTAGCAGATAATGCTATAAAGACAAGAGAAGAAAAAGCCTCTGTTTTCAGTGCTAGGAGACTGAGCCTAAGCCATAAATGCAGACTCTGCATAGGGCCAGATCAGTTTAGTTGGATGGTTACATTGGAGTCAACTTAGATGAGGTTGGACAGATGCCTCATGGGCCCATCCTCTTTGGCACCCGCCAGAGTCCATATCAGATCCTGCCCCTGCCTGGGTGCTGCCTATTCCATGAGCTTAGGCTTAGACATGTCCTCATCTAGGTAACACATCTGACCACCCCTTTCTAACCTTCGCCCTTATCACAGTATAACCAAGCCCACACAACATGTCTTACCAGGTGACAGCTTCTCAGATACTCAGCAGCTCTGGAGATGTGATACTTAGCCATTTTCAGAAAGCCAGTCTGTCTAGTGTTCACTTTTCAGGGATATTGTGTCAGGAAGCCCGCTCCACTTCACCTGCATGCCTTGGTTAAGTATGAGCTGTAGAGCTGCAACCATTTTCTTTGTTAAGAAACACATGACTGTTCATTGACTGAGGTTTTGTGAATTTTTTTTAAGAGACAGGGTCTCACTCTGTCACTCAGGCTGGAGTACAGTGGTGTGATCACAGCTCACTGTAGCCTTGAACTCCCAGGTTCAGGTGATCTGTCCACCTCAGCCTCCCAAGTAGCTGGGGCTACAGGTGCACACCACCATGCCTGGCTAATTTTTTTTTTTTTAATTTTTTGTAGAGAGGGGATCTCATATGTTGCCCAGACCAGGCTGGGCTCGAACTCCTGGACTCAAAACAATCCTCTTGCCTCAGCCTCCTAAAGTGCTGGTATTACAGGCATGAGCCACCATGCCTGGGATTGTGGATCTTTTAGTCCACTCCAGACATAGCCTGCTGTAACCCTGTTAAATGAGTTGAATATAGCCATAGATCGATCTCCAAGCTGACCCCATTAGCATTGGCTTAGTTTTTGGTTGGAGCTTTAGCCTGCAGCAAAAAGATTTCTGTGGCAAACCTATTCTAAATTATGCTCTTGACAGCTCAGTTGAGTTGAGTGACTGCTGCCCCTCCAAGGTAGCCTGGATGTGTGAAATTTTCCTTGACATACAGACTTTAGTATTTCTGTTGATATTCTTAGAGAGCAGCTTATAGACTAAAAGTGAAAAGAGGCAGGCAGCCGACACCCCCTCATGGGTCTGTCACGTTGCTCTTTGTCTTTGTATTGCTGTTGCAGCTCCTACTGGCTTCTCTTCAGGACAGTTGTTAGGGTTTTCTAGGGGACTGAAAGAGTCATTCTTCCTCACCTCCAGCTTCACAGCTAATTGAGAAATAAAAATACTGAATCTGTCTCTAGGCTTCAGATCCACACATGACAAGAGAAAGTCTACAGAATAGAAGCTTGCCCAGGTCAGGGAGGGTCGCAGCTTGCTCCATGCCTGAGCACAGAGTGTGAAGGTGGTATACTCCTGGACAGTTGGCCTCCCTCAGTAGTAAGGGGACAGTAAGGGAAGGATTTCACCATCTCACCTGTCATTTAAATTACCCCTCTCTTCATGAGAAGCAGGTGGAGAAACTGACTGGAACCTCCTTAAAAGCAGGAGTATTGGGGAATTTTCTGTTTGATGTGAGGTGGGGCAGGAACGTGGGGAAAGGGTGAGAGTGGTTCTTCTTCCTACAACAGTGATTGGAAGAGAAAAGAATCTAGGCAAAACCGACTCATCTGGTCAGTTGTTTGTTGAGTCTGTACAGTGTCAGGCCCTTTGCTAGGTACTGACTATATAATGATGAGCAAAAACAGATACAGGTTCTGCTCCTAGGAAGCTCACGACCTCATGAGAGACTTAGAGCAATCAAGTCATTGCCATAAGGAGTAAGTGAGTAAAGAACATAAGGCACTGCAGAGCTTCTCGTGCCAGGTACCTCATGTGGGCAGCACCTGTCATGGAGATGGCAGGAGAGCCACTGTGGATTAAAAGATCAGCTACCCACAGCTCCTCAGGGAAAAGAACCAGGTGCTACCTACAGCTTGAAGGATACAACTGCATCAACAGTGATACGAGAACAAAAACCAAAATAGAAATGAAATACCAAACACAGTTAAATCAGGTTTGTTCCTAAGAGCCAGGCTGGTTCTCATTTACACTCAGCTCTTCCATCTCCTCTGATGGGGACTCTGCCTTTTATGTGGCCAAATGCTGTCTCATTCTAAGAGTACATTAGGTTCAATAAAATAAATCCTCACACATGGACTTTATCAAACAAAATCAGGGTTTTTAAAATTGTTTTGCTTCCTTTTTGAGGCCCCTCTTCTGGGTCAAAACACTGTCTGTTGTTAACTTTGGGGTGTGATGAGGAGTAATTCCAAAGCCCTGGCCAGTGTGGATTAAGATTTGTACTGAGTTTGTGATACAGAGGCCACAGGTCTGTCTTAATGCAATAAACAATCATCGTAGTTCTCTTTATATTTCAGTCCTGCCATCCATCATGTTCACCTTCCCTTTCTAACACATGGGATAAAAATGAGCTGTAAGAAAACAAGGCCCATAAAGGATATAACAAGGTATCCAGAGTTGAGGATGGGGGAAGAAGTTGCAAAACCAGCTGACGGGAAGCAGCAAACAGAATTGTGTATCTATACAATTGTCTTTTCACGGACACTGAGTATTTCCGTAAGCCATTGTTTGTTGGTCAAACACTACTCAAAGGTGTCCGCTTTAGCACCAGGATTTTTCCCTGATAGTCTTATAGGATCTCATTAATCTTAAATAATTATTTTTTTGTGTTTGTTTTGTTCTTTACTAAATAAGGAAAACAAAAAGACTAGTGCCCAAAGCAAATATTGTGAGTTCTAACATGACTTCTGGCATTTCTCACCACTCTTGATCAGGTTATGAAAGGTACAATGCCATGCGAGCAGACCCAGCACTTTGCTTCCTGGAGAAAGTTGGGATGCCCGATGAGAAGTCCCTTTCTGCAGAACAGGGTGTTACAGATGGGACCTCAGACATTCCTGAAAGGTGAGAAGCCACGTAGGCCAGCCCTCATGTGACATGCCATGCCACTGATCTGTGACCCCTTCCTCATAAACCCAGCACTCTTTATCTCTTCCTCAGCATCTGGCATCTCCCTACACCTTGCCACACTGCCGCTGTTTTCCATAATTGCTACTTTGGTTACACCCTACTCTACCTCAGACCTGCTCTTTGACTTCCAAGCACTTTGAACCAAATACCGGTTCCTGTTCCTCATGAGTTTCCCAGGCTGCCCACCTTTCTAAAAGCCTGCCCAGCTTTCTAACCATGTCCATCCCTTGTCTGGTCAGAGGATTCCTGTGGGAGAATTCAGACCTCCCATGCCTGGCAGAATAGCTAAGAACAGAAACAAGTACAGCCTTCCTGACTTTGAACTGCAGTTCCTCAGATCCAGTATTGTCTAAGGATTGCATAGTCCATGAGCAAGATGGATTTAGGGGCCGCTCCTTGACGGCCATGACATTTCAGCTTGTCCATGGACTGTGTGCAAAAAAGTAGATGGAAGGCCTCTCCTTTGACTGATTTTTATTTACTCTTGACATAAATACATAGGAAAACTAAACAGCTAAAAATTGTAGTTCTTCAAATTATATATATGTTTTTGAAAACATAGCTTTTTTTTTTTTCCCGAGATAGAGTCTTGCTTTGTCACCCAGGCAGGAGTGCAGTGGCGCAATCTTGGCTCACTGCAACCTCCGCCTCCCAGGTTCAAGCAATTCTTCTGCCTCAGCCTCCTGAGTAGCTGGAACTACAGGCACGTGCCACCATGCCCAGCTGATTTTTGTGTTTTTAGTAGAGATGGGGTTTCACCATGTTGGCCAGGCTGGTTTTGAACCCCTGACCTTGTGATCCACCCACCTCAGCCTCCCAAAGTACTGGGATTACAGGCGTGAGCCACCACACCCGGCCAAAACATAGCATTTATCTCTTAGCATTTATCTCTTAGTTTCTCCCCAAAAGTAGCAGATACTGCTTTGCATTGCCCAGGTCTGTGGCCAGACCTGAGAATGTGGCACTGCCAGGAGCCCCTAACTATTTGCTCAGGCCAAGAAAAGTGTGCAGTGCATTTTCCATCTGTCCTTAACCCCTGATGAACACTTCAGCTGCCCCAGCATTTTTCTTGAGGACAGATAACCGAGATGCATTCTGGGAGATGTTAACAGAGGCCCATATGACTGGTGATTCTCATGTTCATTCACTGATTCAGGGAAAACACTCTCTGAATGGGCGCCTGAATGTGGCATAAAGGCTATTTTTTGTGGGGTGGCTTTTCTTTCTACGGTTAAGTGGTAAAGCAAGGAGCTTATCTTGCCTCTAGGACTTGAGCATCAAGGACAAGAATATTTGGGACGCAAATATTTCAAAGGCAGTTTTTTGGGGGTTTTTTGTTTGTTTGTGATGGAGTCTCACTCTTTCACCCGGGCTGGAGTGCAGTGGAATGATCTCGGCTCATTGCAGCCTCCACCTCCCAGTTTCAAGCAATTCTCCTGCCTCAGCCTCCCAAGTAGCTGGGATTACAGGCACCCACCACCACGCCTGGCTAATTTTTGTATTTTTAGTAGAGACGGGGTTTCACCATGTTGGCCAGGCTGGTCTCGAACTCCTGACCTCAGGTGATCCGCCCACCTCAGCCTCCCTAAGGGCTGGGATTACAGGTGTGAGCCACTGCACCCACCCTCAAAGTCAGTTTTTAAAAGAATCATGAAAAACAGGTAGGCATCAGCAGTAGTTAAGCTCACAAAAGAGAAGACATTAGGCAGCTGAGCTAGCATCAAGGGTCTGATGGTAACAAGGGGAAAATGTCCTTGTTAACCAGTGGCAGCAGAGCTCCCTTCCAAGCCAAGGAGTGACTTTCGCCAAATGTGATTCTGTGGGAAGATTCATCCTACTGTGACCAGGGAGTTGCAACATTAGGCCTCATTTGATGTGCACAGCCTTCAGTTTCTAGAGTGTGTTCTTTTATCAGAGTCACATGTTCAGATGACTCTTGATGGGCAGGAATTACCTTTTTCTGAACTTGCCTGAGTAGACGTGAGGCTGGAGCCTCATGCTGCAGTCTCAGTTGAATAAAGGTCCTTGCCTGTAGAAGTGATAACTGTTTGGTGATAGTTTCTCTCATTCTCAGTGTCTCTTGAATTCTCCCACAAGGGAGGGAAAAACTAAGGCTTGGAATGCCTTCAGAAGAAGGGATCTATTGTCAGCCCTCCTTGTCTGTGGATGCAGAACTCTCAGATCCAGAGGGCCAACCAAGGGACTTGATCATCTGCCGATATTGGTATCCCTGAGGATCTGAGAACCAATCCTCCATGGGTACAGACGGCTGACTTGGAAGTTCCACTTTATTCATGGAGGATACCTGAAATTTCAGATAGTACCAAACCCTGTATAAACTGTATTTTCTCCTATATAAACATACCTATGATAAAGTTTAATTTATAAATTAGGGACAGTAAGGGATTAACAACAATAATAATAGAACAATTATAACAATATACTGTAATAAAAGTAATGTGAATGTGATCTCTCTCTCTCGCCCTGTCTCTCCCCCAAAATATCTTAGTATTTTTGGACTGTGGTTGACCAGGGTAACTGAAACTGTGGATAAGGGGGACCTAGGTAGTATGTGATGCCTTTTTTTACTTTTATTTAGAGGCAACACAGATAAAGAAGACAATGCTGAGGACAAAGTAGATGGCCTCCAGAAACAAACGGTGAGTCAAATGTGCAGTATTGGTCATTTACACCGTCTTTCATATTAAGAAAGAAATCCCTATCTTGGTAGTGATCTGGGGGAACTTGATTGCATTACTACAGTTACATTGCATTTTGCCCAACATTTTATTATAAAAACTTAAAATACACAGACTGCAATTGCATTTTTATTCTAATTAAACTTTTTATTTTGAGATAACTGTATATTTCAGAAGCAGTCACAAAATATAATACAGAAATCGCATATACCTTTTATCCAGTTTCCCCTCGTAGTGGCGTCTTGCAGTATTGTAGTACAATATCACAACCAGGATACTGATATGGATAGAGTCAAGATACAGGACATTCTCATGACCACAAAGATTCATCCTGTTGCTGTCTTATAACCACATCCTCTTCCTTCTGCCTTCACCCCTCTTTAAATTCCTGGCAACCACTCATCTGTTCTCTATTTTTTATGATTTCGTCATTTTAAGAATGTTCTGTAAATGGAATCATACAGTATGTAAACTTTGGGGATTGGCTTTTTCATGCAGAAAAGTTCCCTGGGATTCATCTAGGTGGTTGTCTGTATCAACAGTTCATTCCTTTTCACTGCTGAGTAGTATTCAGTGGTATGGAAGAACCAGAGTTTGTTCAACCATTCATCCACTGAAGGGCATATGGGTTGTTTCCAGTTTTTGACTATTAAGTCCTCTGTAAATATTTGCATATAGATTTTTGTGTGAACATACATTTTCATTTCTCTGGAATAAATGCCCAGGAGTGTAATTGCTGGGTCATATGATAGTTACATGTTGTGTTTTTTAAGAAATTGCCAAATTGTTTTCCAGAGTGGCTGTACCATTTTACATTCCCATTAGCAATGCATGAGAGATCCGCTTTCTCTGTATTCTCCATCCACACCAACATTTGGTGTGGTCACTATTATTTTCTTGAGCCATTCTGGTAGGTGTGTAGCAATACCTTGTTGTGATTTTAATTTGCATTTCCCTGATGGCTAAATGATGTTGAAGATCTTTTATGTGTTTAATTGCCATCTGTATATCCTTTTCAGTGAAATGTTTATGTCTCTTGCCTATATTCTAATTTCATTGTTTTAGTGTTGATTTTCTAGAGTTCTGTATATATTCTAGATACTAGTCTTTTGTCAGATACGTAGTTTGCAAGTATTTTCTCCCACCCTGTAAGTGTCTCTTTTTAGGGAGGATCCCTTGAGCCCAGGAGTTCAAGACTAGCCTGGGCAACATGGTGAGACCTTGTCTCTACAAAAAATTAAAAAATTAAAAAAAATTAAAAATCAGTTTGGCATATTTGTGGGTTCTATTTCTGAGTTCTCTGCTCTTTTCCATATATCTATTTGTCTTTTCCTCTGTCAGTAGCACATAATCCTGAGTGCCGTAGCAATACCGTAAGTTTTAAAATTTGATAGATAGATACCTCCCACTTTTTTCTTCTTTTTCAAAATTGTTTTTGCTTTTCTTGTTCCTTTGCCTTTCCATATAAATGTTAGAATAATCTTATCCACAGAAACTGTTGCTGGGATTTTGATAGGCATTGCTTTAAACCTTTATATCTCTTTGGGGAGAATTGACATCTTCATTGAGTTTTTACAGTACTGAATCTTACTGTATATACCTCTGCATTTACTTTTTTTTTTTTTTTTTTTGACTCAGGGTCTCACTCTTTCACCTAGACTGGAGTGTGGTGATGCAATCATAGCTCACTAAAGCCTCAACCTCCCAGGCTCAAGTGATGCTCCCAGCTCAGCCTCCCAAGTAGTAGGGACCACAGGTGCATACCACCACACCTAGCTAATTTTTTCTATTTTTCTGTTTTTTTGTAGAGACAGGGTCTTGCTGTTGCCCAGGCTAGTATTGAACTCCTGAGTTCAAGCAATCCTCCCTCCCCGGCCTCCCAAAGAGCTGGAATTACAGGCATGAGCCATTGTGCCCAGCCCTTTTCTAGGTTTTTGAGGTGGGAGTTTCTTTGTTATTGATTTGAAACTTTTCTGTTTGTCTAATATATGCATTTAGTGCTGTAAATTTCCCTCGGCATTGCTTTAGTTATGTTTCATTAATTTTGTGTTGTATTTTCACTTTCATTCAGTTTAATGTATTTTTTTTTAATTTCCCTTGAGACTTTCCATGAATTATTTAGGTGTTTATTATTTAGTGTCCAAGTGTTTGGAGATTTCCCCATTACCTTGCTGTTATTGATCTCTAGTTTGATTCTGTTATAATCAGAGAACACATTCTATATGATTTCAGTTGTTTTAAATTTGTTAAGTTTGTTTTATGGCCCAGTGTATGGTATATCTTGGTATATGTTCCATGGGCACTTGGAAAGAACATGCTTTTGGTTTTATTGGATGCAGTATTTCATAAATGTTGACTAGGTCCTGTTGGTCAATGATGTTGTTGAGTTTTTCTGTATCCTTGCTGATTATCTGTCTAGTCGTTTCATCAGTTGTTGAGAGAAGAATATTGAAGCCTCCAACTATAATTGTGGATTTATTTATGTCTCCTTTCAGCTCTATCAGTTTTTGCTTCATATATTTTGCAGCTCTGGTTGGTGCATACACATTTAGAATTATATGTTCTTGCCAGGCGCGGTGACTCATGCCTGTAGTCCCAGCACTTTGGGAGGCCAAAGAAGGCAGATCACTGGAGGCCAGGGGTTTGAGACCAGCCTGACCAACATGGTGAAACCCCATCTCTACGAAAAATACAAAATTAGCCAGGCGTGGTGGTGCATGCCTGTAATCCCAGCTACTCAGGAGGCTGAGGCATGAGAACCACTTGAACCCGGGAGGCAGAGGTTGCAGCGAGCCATGATCACGCCACTGCACTCCAGCCTGGGCAGCAGAGCGAGATTCTGTCTCAAAAAAATGTATAGAGAGAATTACATGTTCTTGGCAGATTGACCCTGTTATCACTATATAATGTCTTTCTCTTGACTCTGATAATTTTCTTTGCTCTGAAGGGTACTTTATCTGATAAATTAATATGGCTACTTTCCCTTGATTAATGTTTGCATAAATATAACTTTTTTATTATTTTACTTTTAACCTGCCTTTATTGTATTTGAAGTGAGTTTCCTATAGATAGCATACAGGTAGATCATAATCTTTAATACGCTCTGCCGGTCTCTGTCTTCTAGTTGATATTATTCAGACCATTTACACTTAATGTAATTATTGATACATTAAAGCTTAAGCCTGTCATTTTATTGTCTTCTCTTTGTTTTCCCTGATTTTTTATTTTTCCTGCCTTCCTCTGGTTTACATGAGTATTTTGTATGATTTTATTCTGATTTATCTTTATTTTTGTAGCTTTTTAATGCTTCTAGGTGTTTCATATATTTATATGTAATGTATCACCGTCTACTAATGCTATCATTTTATCAGCTTAAGTGAAGTGTGGAAACCTTACTTCCATTTTTGTTCCTTTACCCTCTTCCATTTATAATATAGTTGTCTTAACCATTTCTTATCAGGTAATGTTAAAATTTTTGCCTCAACTGTCAAACATCACTTAGAAAACTCAAGAGGAGAAGGAAAATATGCTATATTTACCCATATTTTTTTTACTGTGTTCTTTTTCTTCCTGGTGTTCCAAGGTTCCTTCTTTTATTGTTTTCTTTCTTTTTAGAGAAATCTCTTTAGCTCTTCTTTTAAGGTAGTCTAGAGAACTGTCAGACGGTTCTCTTAGTTTTTCTTCATCTGAGAATGTCTTAATATCCCCTTTGTTCCCAAAGGATATTTTCACCAAATGGAGGATTCTGGGTTGATAGTTTTTTTCTTTCAGCTCTTAAGGTACTGCCGCTTGCTTCTGGCCTCCATGGTTTCTGATGAGAAATCTGTCATTCAAGCAGTTTTTCCCCTATTGGTAATGTGTCTTTTCTCTCTTGATGCTTTCAAGATTTTTTCTTTGTCTTTAGTTTTCAGAAGTTTATGATTTTATGTGCTTACGGATTTCTGTGAGTTTACCCTATTTGGAATTCACTCGTCTTCTTAAATCTGATTTCTGTCTTTTGCTAAATGTGAAGCATTCTCAGCCATGATTTCTTCAAGTATTTCTTCTGCCCTGTCCTCTTTCTCCTCGCCTTCTGGGAAACCAATAAAATGAAAATTAGATCTTGTGTTATAGACCTGTGGGTCTCTAAGGCTCTGTCCATTTTTTTTTTTTTTCTGTTATTCACATTGGGTACTTTCCATTTTTCTGTCTTTGAGGTCACTGATTATTTTCCTCCACCATTCTGCTGTTGAGTCTTCTCCTGAGGGTTTTGGGTTTTCATTTTTGGTTTTGGTTTTTGTTCCAGTTTATTGTACTTTTCAAACCTAAAATTTCCCTTTGAATCCAAATATTATTTGGATCTTTGTTTCTTTGCTGAAACTTTCTGTTTCATTTCATTTCACTGTTTCATTCTGAACAGTGGGCCATGTTCAGAATGGCTCACTGATGACTGTTAAATTCTTATGTCAGATCATTCTAAGATCTTTCCTCTCAGCATTGGCCACTTTTGTCTTTTTTTCATTCAGTTTGAGGTCTTCTTGGTTCTTGGTATGTGATCTTTTATTGGAACCTGGACATTTTGGACATTGTATTGTGAGACTCTGGATCTTATTTAAACGTTCTCTTTCAGCACCTTTCTTGGCAGGGGAACAGAGGTCGGGGGGGGCACCTTGTTTCTGTGAGGTGGAAGCAAAAATTCATGTTCCCAGTCTGCTCCCATTAACCCCTAAAGGGGATGTTTCTCATTACTTTGAGCAGGAATGGAAGTTTAGCTCCACCATGGGTAGGGGTGGGGAACCTCATTACTACTTGTCAGGGTTGAAAGTCCTGACTTCCTGCTTAGCTTTTTCTGATACCAGCCCAGCAAGGGAATGGGGTACCCTATTACCACCTGGAAAAAGTAGAAGTCTGAGCTCCCACTCAGCCGTTGTTGCCATGGGTAGAGTTGAGACAGTTTCTTCTGCATTGTTGGGCTGGGGTATAGCAGTTATTGTCTTAATATTTTCTGTGTCCCTAACCTGCTAACCTACCTCTTCCTAGTCCTTAACTAGAGAGAGCAGGAAGCCACCTCGCTTCTTTTTTTTTTTTTTTTTTTGAGACGGAGTTTTACTCTTGCTGCCCAGGTTGGAGTGCAATGGCATGATCTTGGCTCCCTGCAATCTCCACCTCCCAGCTTCAAGTGATTCTCCTGCCTCAGCCTCCCAAGTAGCTGGGACTACAGGCATATGCCACCATGCCCAGCTAATATTTTGTATTTTTAGTAGAGACAGAGTTTCACCATGTTGGCCAGGCTGGTCTCGAACTCCTGACCTCAGGTGATCCACCCGCCTTGGCCTCCAAAAGTGCTGGGATTACAGGCGTGAGCCACCGCGCCCGGAAGGTTTTTTTTGAGGGCCTTTTTTGTCTGCCTCTGCCATTTCCGGGTAGCCCGCTTCTTTACCTCCAAATCTAGGATATATGAAGCAAAAAAAAAAAAAAAGCATGTTTTTTCATCATGTCATTCCTTGAGTCCTGAGGTCTCTAGTTTGTCCTTTCTTTTTTTCACCTTTCAGAGTTTTCTTATGCTTGTTTCATATTTACTATCCAGAGGGTTTAATTATACTTAAAGAATAGGGAAATGCATCCCAGAAGCGGCAGTCTGTATTGCATTTTTAAAATGAGTTTCTGAGATTTTGCATAAGTAGACTGAAACCCTACCTGGGCCCCAGCACCATATGACCAAATTTTCTCTAGCATTGAGTAATAGAGAGAATGTTATGGATTCTGGATCCCAGAAGTTACTGTAGCATTGTCCCCAAGTGACTCCCCTGCGAGGGTCCTCCCTCTTCTTCTCCTGATCACTACCCAAAAATTATCCATTATTTTCCATTCTCTTCTGTTGATTCTAGCTTGCAGAATGTATGGTATTTATTTACTTTGGCCTCCATCAGCTCTGACCCCTGTAACAGTAACAATGGCTTCATCCCTTTCTTAAAATAGATAATAATAATTTTTCAAAGATGCATTTCCCTGTGTCCTCAAGGTTTGAGAAGCAGTGGATTGAAGCAAATCAGCATGAAGCCTCAGACCCCGGTAACATGAAGGAAGTTAGGTTCTCATCTTGACAATTCAAATCCATGTTCTGGGCCAGGCGCAGTGGCTCATGCCTGTAATCCCAGCCTTTGGGAGGCTGAGGCGGGTGGATCACGAGGTCAGAAGTTCGAGACCAGCCTGGTCAACATGGTGAAACCCTGTCTCTACTAAAAATATAAAAAATTAGCCAGGTGTGGTGGCATGCGCCTGTACTCCCAGCTACTCAGGAGGCTGAGGCAGAGGTTGCAGTGAGCCAAGATCGAGCCACCACACTCCAGCCTGGGCGACAGAGCTAGACTTCATCTCAAAAAAAAAAAAAAAAAAAAAAATTCATGTTCTGCTGTTCCAGTCCTTAGTTTATATTATTGCTTTTGTCTGGAATTTGGGATGCGTTTTCCCTGTAGAAACAACTCAAGTACCAAAGAAATGAACATAATACCTTATTCTCATATGGAACTTGACTCTTTTCAAACCAGTTACTCCATTTATTTAAGTTGATCCTCACCTCACCCTGTCTTCATTTGAGGGCTGAGGAAACTTTAGGCCCTCCCTGAAAGTTAAAGGACTTGACCAAATTCTCACAACCACTAGATCACAGAGCTAAGACTTGTAATTCTCTAGATATTCCGGTATTCTTTGTTGTAGTCAAGTATTCTTTTCGTAGTCCAGACAATAGAGAGTAATTCAGGTGTGGGTTTATGCCCCTTCCTCCCAGCAGTAGCTCATATGAAGAGGCCAGCCTCTGAAAGCCACTGACATTAAACTGGACATGCTTAGCTAATCAATTAGGAGGACACTGGAGGGCCATGGCAGAATCAATAAAAATAACTTAAGCGCTCTTATATATTAGAGTTAAACTCTGGAATTACTTTTGTATTCATTTACAAAATTAACACATTTATGATTTGCTCTTCATATCCTTAAAACCTGGGGTATAGAATATCATTAAAAGCAGTTGAAATGGGGAGTGGATTTCCCCAGATTCTGAGGTGGACAGATTATAAACGGATTCACCTTTACTTCTAGTCTGCATGCTAAAACCACACACACATAGAGGGATGGCCGGCATCTGAGCCAGGCCTGCTGCCCACCCTGCTTCACGCTTGCTCCCTACCTCCTGCACTGAAGACACTGTTTGGGTGTTTCTTTCTCCCAGCTCTGTCCTCAGGCAGAGTTAAAGAAGCCCAAAGCATTGTATAAAAAGAGCCTGTTCATTAGAGCAGTTCCCCTGAATTCAACAGACCTAGGCATAGAAAGGCAACCGTTTAGTAGATTGGTAGAGTCTTAGCATTGCAAGGAGCCCTGGCACAAGCCTGAGTGGTCTCAGTGTGGCGTTCCCTCTTTAGCGGGGCTGTCAGGGGGGAGTTCATGGGGAAAACAAGAGGAACATGCCACCTTCCAAAGAAGTCTATTTTATTGTTGGATGATACTTCTTTTTACCACACCAGAAATCTGCCTCCCAGCTGGTTCCATGGGTTCCATCTAGCTTTCTTTATGGTACTACAAAGAACAAAACTGTTGTTTTTCCCCTCTCTGATAGAATTTTAAATTGCTGAGACCAGCTCATGACCTTAATTTCTTTAAATTTCTTTTCAGGTGAAATACCTCTAGTTCCTCTATATTTTTCCATATCATATCATATCCAGACCCTTTGCTATTCCAGCGCCTTCCAGAGCACACTATGGTTGTTGTCCTCTTAAAATGTGGCGTTCAGAGAGTCATAGAATGTTAGAATTTGAAGGGAGATTTGAAATGATCTAAGTTACAGCTTCCCCCACCCTCTGTTTTAATACCAGTAGCACTTTTGATTGGCAAATCATTACAGATGTCACGTGCAGCCAGATTCAGTGAACCTACAGAAACCTTCTAAAGCAGTTAGTCTGAAAGTATATTTGGGTTGGAATGGTCTGGAGCCTGAAATTGTAAACAAAATCTTTCTCTATCACAGCCAGTATGTGGGGAGAGTAACACATCTTTTAACAGAAATAGCAATAAGTAACAGCACAATTTTCATCATTGTAGTTATGCTGTCAAAAGCATGCATGTCCGTGCTGTGCCACAGTTCCTACCGTAGGTGGCTGTGACATCTCAGGTGCTCTCTAAACCATGAGGTCAGTACATAAAAGGATGAAGTCATGGCCAAGAACTTGCAGGAAAATTTAATGCCTAAAATGGCCAAATTCCATTGTTCCAAAAGTTTAATTAGGAACTGAACAAGCACCTTCTTCTTGTGAGTTAGGAGTTTGAGGGTTCTGTGAACTCAAATACTAGTATTTGTGTATACTTTCACACTTACAAAGCATATTTCCCCATCTGTTAGGCATTATTCTTATGCCCATTGTAGAGACGAGGGAGCTCAGTTTTAATCAGCTGCAAAAAAGCCATACAGCCAGGGGACACAAGAGTGCTATCTCCCCTGCCCTCTTCTTTTTCTACATTCTGCAGTCTTTCCATAATAAAATCCTTGAATATTGTGTTAATGGCATTTGAGGTATATCTGCTTTCCACCTGAAGTTTATGCCATTCTCCATTTTGCAAAAGAAGAAATGAGCTTGAGAGAGATCAAAACAACTTGCCCGAGACCAGAGAGCAGTGGATCATGGGACTCCAAACCACGTGTGTCCTCAAGATGGAGAAATTGCACATTGTAACCAATCAGTTTGCTGTGTTGTTGACATTCTTGTCAGCACTCTGGGGCCCTTCTCTGTGAGATGATTCATACCTCTTTGAAGATGAACATTTCTTTCAAGTTAATCATGTAAGCAGAAATTGAGGTAGCACACATTAGACTACATAGTTCAGATGCAGGGCCTCTGCATGCTCAGGACTGTCACTGCTACAGCACCTCACACACACTCACATTAAACGGATTATTAACTAAAAGTCTGACATCTTTTTCACTTGAGCTACTAACAAACTAGGTCTTCTTCATTCTGTCATTTCTAGAGAGAGGAAGTACCTTCAAGAGAGGACAGGAACAGAAAAACACTATGAATGCTCAAAGCTTTCCTTACTTGAAAGTTTTGCCTAAAACTATTCATGTTTACTAACTGTACCAACAGAAACTACTAGGTGGACTGGAAGGGAAGCTAGCATTTGCTGTATGCCTGCCTCACACCAAGCTGGGAGCCTGTTGTCATGGACTTGGGGTATGATGATGCCCATGTCAGCCACCACTACATGGCACGAAGGAACATGGTAGCTCTGGGGCCTGCCACCTGTGTTGTGTAGACTGTAGAGCATTTCTCAGCTGGAAGTACTACACTTATACATTTCAGCATTCAAAGGATCTTCACAGATACTGTGGGGATATTTAAAAAGTCCTCTCTGGCAGGAAATTATATAAGGCATAGTAGGTTGTTTTTTTAACTGCCTAAATAGTAGTATAAGATAAAATGGTATATTTAACTGCCACTTCAAAATGGTACAGTAGATCAGCCCTGGGTTTTCACTCTTCATTAACATTAGATAACAGGAGACAATTCTGGCCCAGGCAAAGGAGGTTAGCTAGTGTTCCCCACTTCTGTTATAAATATGTTTTCACTCTCCAAGACAAATTTTCATCTAAGACTCTCTTGTCCTTTTTTAGACAGCTTGTTAGTTGAAAGTGTTGGCTCTCAAATCAGATTACCTGTATTTGAATCCCAGCTCTGCCACTTGCCAGCTGTGTGACCTTGGGCAAGTTACTGAACATTTCTAGGGCTTGTTTTCTGCATCTGTAAAATGAGCATAGTAATGGTTTCTATCTCATGAGACAGTGCTGATAACTAAGTGAGATGAGCCATGTAAAAGGTTTTGTGCAATGCTTAACACGTAGTTCTCCGTAATATTAGCTGTTAACGCTGTTCTGCGTAAGAGAGAAATTCATTCAGAAAATGGGCTCCTGTTCTTTGCGTCGTATCAGGGGCCCAAAAGAGCATTTTGAATTTTCACTGTTGGCAGTCATGGGTGTCTCCTTTCCTACCATACTAGATTACTGGTCTACCATGTTGTGTATTCCAGGAAGTAGCAAGTAAAGGACCAGATAGTAAATACCCTGGGCTAGAAGGCCATATATGGCTTCTGTTGCATATTCTTCCTCCCTTTTTTTCACCCTTTAAAAACGTAAGAACCATTCTTAGCTTGAGGGCCACACAGAAAGTCTGCAGGCCGCAGTTTGCTGACCCTTCTTTCTGACCCTGTGCTCTAAAATAGCAAAGTCTTGAATCCTGAGGTTGTTCTGTACTGTCATTCAGGTCAAAAGATGCTAGTCAAAATATAGTAAGTTTTAGTGTTGAAATTAGAGTCCAGTTGAAAAATAGCACAGTCACTTCTGTTACCCCTCAGATTCCCACCTGAATTACATATGAGGAGTTTTTAAAGTTCCATTCCTGAGACCAAGAAGGATTTGCGAAGGAATTCATTAAAGCTGGTTTGACACATACACCGACTTGGGCAAGCTCAGTGCTTGTGATATTACTCCAGATTCACTTAGAGCTCAAGTCATGATTTTAATTTTAAATTCCTGGGGTTTTGCGCCATCAGGTTTCATGTCTGGAGCAGTAGTGTTTTATGAAAATAGTGTCTGTTGCTGTGAAGTAAGCTAACCATAATGAACATGAGCATGACACTTTTTCACAGCAAAAGAACAGAAATGCAGGCACAACCTTTGTGAAATGAAATGACAGTATTAAATTGCAAGTGACGATGGTAAGGCAAATATTTAAATTCACAACTAAAATAGTACTTGTAAAATGTAATTGCCAGAGAGAGCGTGCCAGTTCATCATTGCTCAAGCCGATTCTCTACAGGCAGAAGCATTCCACATGGTTCCAGGAAAAGAAAAAAAAAACTTATTTTAAATAAACTGCTTTCTGGCTCTTTTAAGATTGTACAGAAGTAAGCTTTATCAGGTCCTATCTTGGTCTGAGTTGTTCATGGGCAGGGGACAGCTCTTATGCGTGATGCTTACTCTTTCCGTTTCAAGACTTTCTGAGCTGGTTTCTTCTAAGCTGCAGTTTTGCTGATGGGATGGCTTTATTTATCCCTAGGAGAGTTCCAGTGATGGAGGTGATGGCGTTTTTAGCGAAAAGAAGGATGACAGCCGGGCAGGTGAGACTATGTCCTTCTGAAGGCATAGGAAAGTAAGGTCTTAGTTTGTTAGTTATCGTGGAGTTTATATGTAATTAATAAGTAGTTTTTTAAGGAGGCTCTTTTAAAAAGCCAAGTAAGTTGACCATCATCAAACTCCCCTAGAGTCACACATGGAGCTTCAGCATGGCTCTGGCTTCCTCTACCTGGCATTAAAATTTGAAAGTGAAGTAAATGTTAATATCTTCAGTTAGAATAAGGTCTGAGAGGTAAAAAGGAATTGTGATGACATCGGGTTTTTTTTGTTTTTTTTGTTTTTTTTTTTAAAGAAAGGTTGTGGGGGTTGGTTTAGTTTGGTTTGGTTTTTGAATTTTCTGAATTCAGACGTGAGAGGAGCTTTGGTAATTGGAAGGTGCAGGCAACAAAGGATCTGCTCATTCCTGTGCTTTAGAGCAAAGTCCTCACATAACTTCTGCCACCACAAAAAGACACTTCTGTGTTTGAGAGATAACAGAATTAATTGACCACAACATAAGCTGTATCCAAGGCAAAATTGCAGCCCTTCCAGTCATGCCTTGCTCCTGGGCCAATTATTAAAACAGTAACTACTTTGAGTAAATTATTGAGTCAGCTTTGTTTTTATTTAAACAAAACCAAAAGACAGTCACTCCTGTTTTAGTTCTGTTTGTAAATACTAATATCCTCACTGATGTTTGAAGCCCAGGATGGCTCCGACCCAGACAAATCGCCCTGGCCAGTTTCCTCCGCCCTCACAGCTCGTCTCAGACGTCTGGTCACTGTTTACCAGCGCTGCAACCGCAAGGAACTGTGCCGGCCTGAAATTCTGGGACCAGGTAACCAAGGATATTGGGTTCAGGAAGAGATGTTCAGGAGAACCTCAGAAATGGACCTCATCAACAAGGAAGCCCAAAAGAGGTAAAAGCCAGTGGCCAAAGGGGCATGCTCAGCCACCCACTGGGTAAAGTTTTCAAAAGGTAAAGCCGGTAGCTTGGAGGGCGAGTATATTTCTGTTCTCATGTGAAGTTAGGTTGTCTCCAGAATTCATTACATTCAGCCTTCAGTTGTGATGGTATCATGGTGATGGGAGTCTGATGAGGTCTAGGAACACCCTGTCTTTACAGTTTCCAGATTTTTATGATTTTCTAACTTGACACTCTTCCTAAGTTAAACCCCAGTCTCTGGGGATGTGGTTTAGAAACACCACAATGGAATGTGTCAGACCATTTCAGACCCCCTAATTATTTTAGTAACAAAGGGAACAGTATGCACTGAAGCTGTCTTATTATAGCTAAATCCTTATCAAGCCTTCCAGGGCAATAAATACCGTAAAATACAAGCCCAGAAGGAAAGAATAAATTACCAGCAGTGACTTGCCCATCTGAGAATTAAGCCCTAAAAGGCTTACAGAAGGCCAGCATAGGCTAGAAATGATGCCACCAGAAGGTATCAACAAAGCTGCAATTCCTTGAGTCATATCTCTCTTTCTGATGAAACACCCCATGAATTAAAAGAAGACTGCATAACAAATTTAATTACTTCTCTGTACTCCTGACTTATGAAATTCGATAGTTCAAGGAATATATGTCTTCCTTCTTGCACATCTCTAAAGAGAAGAACCAGAGCCACTTCTTCCCTGCTTCTCACTCTTTCTCTAACCCCTCACCCTGTTACCCCCATGCCTAGCTAGACTCCCTCTGGATTGGAGAGCACCCTGCCCAGGAGCCCCTCATAATGGCTATGGTGGTATATAATTATCCACCTCCCTTAAGTCATTGACTTACTCGTATAGGATATAAAGACTAGAGGACCTTTGTGTCCCAGAGAAGATAATTGTCATGGACAACCTACCTACATAAAACCACAAAGAAAAGCAATATGAGATGGGGAGGCAGGGGTTGTGTCACTGAAGTAGTCACTTCCCTTCGGGACACCAGTAAGATAAGGAGGTTGAATTTAATGGTCTGGAACATCCCTTCAGGATTCTCTGCTTCTATATTGCCATACGGGTAAAAAAAAATAAGGCTAGATATTTAAGCATATATAGTATTTTAAAAATCTTCATCATCTACAGGCAGAAGTTAACTAGGTGATTCCTAAAATTGATGAATCAAGAGATAGCAAGTGTATACCTGGTTTAGAAATAGGGAGGTAAATACCAGAAGAAAGAGCTGAAAGATTTGGAAGTGATTACCTCTTTGGGAGTTGGATAATAGGCTGTTTTCATTATAAGCCCTTCAGCCCAGTTTAACTTAAATAAAAATAATAAAAGAGACAAACCAGCTCTGCCTCCTTTCTTGACTTTATGGGCTCTCATAGTAGGCTCTCAATAAGCAGTTATTGGCTTTAAAAAAAGAAGAAAGAGCTCACTCTTCCTTTCTGATTAAATCTCAAGGTGGACTAGGAGAGAACAAGCAGACTTCTATAGAACAGTGTCTTCCTTTGGTGTTGTTTACGATCAAGAAAAGAAAACCTTTGACTGGACACAGTTCCGCATCATTTCCCGTTTGGACAAGAAGTCGGATGAGAGCCTGGAACAGTATTTTTATAGTTTTGTGGCCATGTGCCGGAATGTCTGTCGTCTACCCACATGGAAAGATGGCGGTGAGAAAACTATCAGTATATTGTCAGATGATACAAGGAAAGAACATTCTGATTTTCAAATTGCAGAATTACTTTAGGTATACCTATAAAAACTAGAGTCTACATGAGGAATTTAGGTAAAGATGAGTGGCTTTTAGAAATTCATGAACTTCTAATTGGGTCCACCTCATAAAATAAAATCTCTCTCCCAAAATGATGTAACTTCAGTGAAAGTTGAAATTCAGCTTAAAACATCACAGAAATATTGGAAGACTGCCAACCACTTTCTCCAAAGTATAAGGGTTTTTTTAAAGTCATGGTTTTTTTTAAGTCATGTTCAGATTTATCCTACTCTGAACTTTGCACCTTCCTTAGATTAAGTCTTAATAACTTTAAGTATTTCCTCACATGTCGACTTGTAACTATAGAAAGTAAGTGGCTGTCATTTAAATATCCCCTGATGCAATAGAGAACCCTTTTGAAAAATGTCTTCATGGTTGGCACTTGCAACAGCTTCCTTCAGGCCTCCCTGTAGCCTCGTATTTGTAGATGGAGTTCCTCTGGATCATGGGACAATATTTTAGGAAAGCCAAAGCAACCATTGAGCCTACTCAGTGTGGGTTCAGGGCTGATGGCAGCACGCACAAGACATACCAGCCTTTGCCTCCTATATGGCAGGGCTAAAGTGTTGTCATCCAAGCCAGGGAGCTGAATATATTGGAAAGATGGTGGACCTTGGAGTCACACTGACAAAACCTGGATTTAAATCCTGGTTCTGTCACGTGGAGCAAGGTAGTTTATCTGAGCCAATTTCCTTATCCTTGAAATAGGACAGGCATGATGATGGTATGGTAGGATTTTCATGAGAACTAAGAGATGTGTATAAAGTACCTAGTGTAGAGTACAGTGACATGATCACAGCTCACTGTAACCTCAAACTCCTGGGTTCCCAGATCCTCTTGTCTCAGCCTTCCAAGCAGCCAGACTATAGGTACATGCTACCATGCCCAGATAATTTTTTTTATTTTTTGTAGACATGGGGGGTGGGGTCTCACTTTGTTGCCCGGGCTGGTCTTGAACTCCTGGCCTCAAGTGATCCTCCTAGCCTCTGCCTCTCAAAGTGCTGGGATTACAGGTGTGAACTACTACTATACTATGCCTGGCCTAGTACATGCTTATTTAAAGGAAACTAATACTGTTTTCAGAACTGGAATTTTTATGCTCTTCTTTCACACCCTTTGGGTCTGTCCTTGTTTCATAAAAGCCTTCCATTCTTTTTCAGTTTCCTATTTTGGCAAGGGCTCACACACCTGAAACTGCCATGCTGAGGAGCCAGGGAGCTAAACTCCAAGACCAAAGATGCAGGGGCTCAGGTGGGCGGGGAGTGTCTGAGGTCACCTTCAGTGATAGGCTTTATTTCCCTTTCTCTCCAGGTCCCCCAGATACCACCATCTACGTTGAACCCATCACTGAGGAACGTGCTGCAAGAACTCTGTACCGCATTGAACTGTTACGGAAAGTCCGAGAGCAAGTGCTCAAGTGCCCTCAGCTGCATGAACGCCTCCAGCTGTGCAGGCCCAGCCTCTACCTCCCAGTCTGGTGGGAGTGTGGGAAGCATGATCGAGACCTGCTCATCGGCACTGCCAAACATGGGCTGAACCGCACTGACTGTTACATCATGAACGACCCCCAGCTGTCCTTCCTGGATGCCTATAGAAACTATGCCCAGCATAAAAGATCTGGCACCCAGGCACCAGGAAATCTCTGTTGCCTTTACCAGACCAACTCCAAGTTATATGAATCTCTTACATATTCTCAAATGAGTAGGACTTCAGAGTCCCTTGAAAATGAACCTGAAAATCTAGTGAGAGTAGAAAGCAGAGATGATCATCTCAGCCTGCCTGATGTGACATGTGAAAACTTTATTTCTAAAGTTCAGGATGTCATTTCCATCAACCATGATGAAAGTCTGCTGCCTGAGTCCTTAGAGAGCATGATGTATGGTAAGAAGGTGCTCAGCCAAGAACCAAGCTCTTTTCAGGAGAGCCCAAGTACCAATACTGAATCTAGAAAAGATGTTATTACCATCTCAATAAGCAAAGATGGGAACTGCCAGTCTGGTGGCCCTGAGGCAGAAATAGCTTCTGGCCCTACTTTTATGGGTAGCTTAGAAGCAGGAGGAGTAGCTCAAGCAAACATCAAAAATGGAAAACATTTGTTGATGTCTATTTCAAAGGAAGGGGAGCTCTGCTGCAGTGAGGCAGGACAGAGACCTGAAAACATTGGCCAGCTGGAAGCCAAGTGTTTAGCTTCCCCTTCCTTGAATCCAGGAAATGAAAGTGGGTTTGTAGATATGTGCAGTCTTAGTGTCTGTGACTCCAAAAGAAACCTGTCATCAGATCAGCAATTAATTGATTTATTGGAAAACAAAAGCTTAGAAAGTAAATTGATTTTGAGTCAGAACCACAGTGATGAGGAGGAAGAAGAGGAGGAAAACGAGGAGGAAAACTTAGCCATGGCAGTAGGCATGGGGGAAAGGCCAGAGGTATTGCATCTCACGGAGCCCACTACTAACATCTCAAGGGAAAAGAACCAAGGCTTCCAAGATGAAACCAAGAAAGGAAGCTTAGAGGTGGCAAACCAGACTCCTGGGCTACAGAGGGCTTTCCCCGCTCCAGCAGCCTGTCAGTGCCACTGCAAACACATGGAGAGGTGGATGCATGGCCTCGAGAATGATGAATTTGAAATCGAGAAACCCAAGGCTTATATCCCAGATCTGTTCAAAAGTAAAACCAATACTATCGCCATGGAGGGTGAACCCACTGCTATTCCATCACAGCCGTTTAAAGTGAAGCATGAGCTTTTAAAAGAACCTTGGAAAGAAAGTGCAGAGGGGCAAAACGTTTTCCCCACATATCCTCTTGAAGGAAGTGAGCTCAAATCAGAAGACATGGATTTTGAGAATAAAGATGATTATGATAGAGACGGAAACTGCCATAGTCAAGGTACAGTATGTAGGATCTTGTGGCATTTTGGATAAACTAGTTCACACACGACGGGGGGTTGGGTTTTAGGGGAGAGAGTGCTTCATATTTTTACAGCTTCTGAAACAGACCTGCCTACCCTCACCAAAGGTCATAGGCCTTGGACTGAAAATTCGAGTAGCTTAGTAACTGTGGTCATGTTGTAGAAAATTGAAGATCATAGACAATCATAGCAGTTTGGCTGCCTCACTCATATAATTTGGGCAGGGGCTTGTGTGTTTTCATTCAATAGATGCTATGTATGGTGTTAAGGGGAAATAGTTTGTTCTTCCCCTAGATAAGGTGCTTCAAACTGGCTAAAGTAGAACAGCCTTGGGATGTTAGGAACTTGCACTTTAATATAGGGGCAGTTAATTTTTCAGGAACTGAACAAAAATACAAATAAATTTGATCTTTGTTAAGGTGAGCAAAAAAGCCATTTATTCATGTCATTGTCAAAACTGTGTGGCTTAAGGTCAGTGCATTTGATTTAGATTCCTTTCAGTAACTCAACAGAAATAAAAAGTTTACAACAATGAAGAAAATAGATCTGATCCTATAGGGAAATCTTATATAAGGGTTTAAGCTAGAAGGAATTTCAAAATGTTAAGAATCTAGGTGACCCTGAGATTCTATGGGCTTTGCAAGAATAGACATACAGTGATCAGGGATCCTGAGGAACAACAGCAACAAAATGATTGTTAGCTGTAGTTTTAATTTTTTTCAGATCCAAGAAGGCCTATTAGGGTGAACAAAAAACCAAAAACAACTCCTTTCATGCCTGGTCCACTGTGGTGCTGAGGGGTGTAGACAGACACATTGTCCCTTTCTGGAGCACTGATTTTATGTTAAAGAGGGAAAGAGAGGAGCTAAGCTAAGTCCCTCAAGTTATCTAGCCTTTTTTTTTTTTTTTTTTTTTTTTTTTTTTTTTTTTTGAGACAGAGTCTTGCTCTGTCACCCAGGCTGGAGTGCAGTGGCGCAATCTCAGCTCACTGCAACCTGTGCCTCCTGGGTTCAACATCCCAAGCTGGGATTACAGGTGTGTGCCACCACGTCTGACTGATTTTTGTATTTTTAGTACAGAGTTTCACCATGTTGGCCAGGCTGGTCTTGAACTTCTGGCTTCAAGCAATCCACTTGCCTCAGCCTCCCAAAGTGCTGGGATTACAGACGTGAGCCACTGCACCCAGCCTCAGGTTATCTAGCTTTTTATTTTTAAACTCCTCGTCTTGGTTTTAGTTATTCAGAACTCTTGGGAAGAGTCTGAACCCAAATTAAAATTTACATACTAGCTAAGATAAAAACCGAGAAGCCAAATTGAAAGTAGCTTGATAGAGTTGTAACCCCAGCCAACCCAGAAGGAGCCAGTCTACAACTATGCCTGATCCTCCTCATGGCAGGCCACGAAGCATTGCTGCCATGTGTTGAATTATAAAACCCACATTGCTTTTTGAACCCTGTTGCGGGTAAAAATAACCAAATTATCAGTCCTTGGAAACCCAGGCAATCAAGTGAGTACAAGGTAAAGATAAGTATGGTTTAGAGGAGAAATTATGTTCCTGAACTGGTGTCCTTTGATGGCAGCGTCAGCCTTGCTAAGTCAGAGTAGAGGGAGCAGTGACCTTAATAAGCTTTGGTGAGCATCATGTGCACGCGTGGGTGGGAGTCCCTTTCACTGATGCTTTTAAAAGTGCTTTTGCAGACCCTGGAAGGGATCCTCCACACATATGAGGTGTGGGACAGGTAGGCCAGAGAGGATTAGCCCTGCTTTCGAGACTAGAAATCTACAGTCCTGAAGGAGCAGTAATTAATTGGTACACCTGTCAGGGCCAGCCCCCAGGTCTCCTGGCTTTTTCCAGGTTTTCTGTCTCACATGATTTTGCTTTTAAAAAAAAAAAACTTAAATTCAACTCCTCTGCTTAAAACCTTTCAGTGGTGGTCCCCCATTGAATCTAGAATAAAATCTAAATTTTCTATTCTGGCCTAGAGGACTCAGCATGTTCTAGATGATTTCCACCCCTCTAGCCTCATCTTTGTGCTTTCCTCCTGGCCCTCACTTCGTTCCTCAGCATGTCCACAATACCCTTCCCTGTTGCCTCCTCATCTTCATGGGAGCTCCCTCCTCCGAGAGACTCTCTAACAACCTACTTGAGTAGGTTCTTCCCTCTTGTTCCCTATCATGGCGTCTTGTTTCTTTCCCTTGATAGTACTTATCACAGCTGATAATTTTAGTTGCTCCTTTATTGTCACCTCTTTCCTGGCTGTCTTCCCTCATAGGGCTGTAAGAATCTTGAGGACCTGGGCGGTATCTGTCTGGCTTATCCTGAGTCTACCAGGCCTAGCAAGGCCCTGTTTTTCATGGTCAGGTCGCTGCAGCTCCCTAGGAGACTTGTTGCACATTGAGAAGTGAAATAGCCACATTTCAAAGGATGGATGCTCCTTGTCATTTAACCAAGAAAGAGGTCAACAACTTTTCCTGCCTTAGGTGTTTTTCCATTGTCTGTTCATTTCCTGTAAGTGGATCTTTGAAGATCCATTCACGTTGACACATTGATGATAAACTTTCACCATTACTGAAGCTTGAAAGAATAAGTTACATGTCCATTTCTTTCCATGAGTGAAGTAATTGAAATGTTCTGAGTTTCTTGGCATCTTTTTTTACATGAATCAGGTCTGTCTTACCTTTGTTGTAAGCTTCATGACTTTCATCCTTTCTCATATTAATCACCGTCTTGCCGTGTTACATTTCATAGACTGTCCCTTCAAAGATCTCAAAGTGTTAGAATGTTCAGCTTTCCCTTGACCACTACACTAAGTGAGAAGCCTCTTTGTGGTTAGTCATCTCTTTCACTCTTGGATACACAAGAAAAATTTCCTTTCTCTTTTCTTGTGTTGGGATATGGATGCAAATGCTCACTAGAAGACTTGCCTTGGGAGCCCCAGAGCAGGATTTGCTTTTATGGCTTAACTGATACGGTTCTCCTGGAAATAGAAGATATCATAATTAATATTCCATTTAAAATAGCACAGAATGAGCTAATTTAAAAAGCAAAAGGAAAAGAGGATATCCTAATCTCTCAGATCACTAGTATCTCACTACTATAGTTAAGTGCCTGATTAATTTTTTAACCTCTTCCCAGATTATCCAGGGAAGTACTCTGAAGAGGAGAGCAAGAGCTCAACATCGGGCATCACAGGAGACATTGGGGATGAGCTACAGGAGGCTCGAGCTCCCACTATTGCTCAGCTGCTACAGGAGAAAACTCTCTATTCCTTCTCTGAGTGGCCAAAGGTACCCCAGAGCTTGCGTTTCCCACCCTACCCCCAAACCATTCCCAGCTTTGAATTGCTTTTTTTAACCCTTTTAGAAATAGTTCTGAACAAGAAACTCAGAAATGTTTAATACCTTTAAAAGATATTAGTTATGTAGCATTTGAACATTAAAGATACATGCGCTTAACTAATTCGACTGTAAGATGAAGGTGTCAAATTGTCCTCTTATTTATAGTACGATGGCTTTAATTTGTATTGTCCAGACTATGATTTTTATTTTAAGCCTTATAAAGTGAGTATGTTTGAGTGTGCTCTTTTCTTATCGACTCCTTCTGGTGAAAAGCTTAACCCTTGATCTCAAAGGATTTTGTGAATTTAGGTAACTCGATCCTTATTCATCAGAGCTTTATCCTTTTTTCTAGGACCGCGTGATAATTAACCGCCTAGATAATATCTGCCACGTGGTGTTAAAGGGGAAGTGGCCCTCTAGCCAGCAGTATGAGCCCTCAGGCACACTGCCCACCCCGGTATTAACCAGCAGTGCTGGTTCTCGAACCAGCCTCTCAGAGCCGGAAGCAGCAGAACACAGCTTCAGCAACGGCGCAGCATTGGCGGCCCAGATCCACAAGGTGAGCCGGCAAGAATGGAGTGACCACAAAACAAAGAATGGTGGGCGTGTTCCACGTCTCTGTTGAGTTCATTCATTCAGCAAGTATTTACTGAGTGGATAGGGGTTTTTTTTTGCCAAGCCATTAGTGTTGATTGGGGAATTTAGACTTTATCCTGTATGTAGTGAAGAGCTAGTAAAAGTATTGGAGCAGGAGAAGGCATGATGAAAGCAGAGGTTTGCAGCTCACTTGGAGTAGAATACAGCTTGGCTAGGGGGGCCAAGCAGGAAACTGATAAAGAGAGGTTCTAGACCCCGGTTGTTTCAGAGTGGATACAAAGATAGGGGGGAACTGGCAAAGATGACCCCATGACTAATAAATATATAAGGAAAGGGAAGCATGAATGGAACAGTGTGGTTGACCCTTAGAGAACTGAGCTCTAACAATGGAAGCTGATAGAAATTAGGGAAATCAAGGCAGGAGTGAGCGTTTTGGTGGGGGTGATGAGTTTTGAGATACATTATTAACTAGCTGGTTCTCATGCTCAACTGCACATTGGAATCAGCTGGGGACCGTGACAAGCTAACGATGCTGACTTATTCAGTCTGGAGTGTGTCCTGGGTACTGAGTTGTTTTAAACTTCCCAGGTGATTCTGATGCACAGGTGAGGTTGAGCATTTCTGAGTTATCATCTTGCAACACCAAATGTAGTTCACGGACTAGCATAGCAGCTTTAGCAGCACCTGGAAACCTGTTAAAAAAGCAGATTCTCAGGCTCTACCTCAGACCCACTGAAGTAGAATCTGCATTTTAACAAGCTGTTCAGGTTTGAGGAGGCCTGAGTTAGAAGAACTCCTAAAAAGATGATTGGAAACAATATGAGGCCTAGGGAAATCAGGCCTGGAGAAAGAGCTAGCATTCAGCCACTTGTGTGACATTCAGACCTCTCTTGCTGTTTGTGTGTTCACAGGAGAGCTTCTTAGCTCCAGTATTCACAAAGGATGAACAAAAGCACAGGCGTCCCTATGAGTTTGAGGTGGAGAGGGATGCAAAGGCTCGGGGCCTGGAGCAGTTCTCTGCCACCCACGGGCACACCCCTATCATCCTCAATGGCTGGCATGGGGAGTCAGCTATGGACCTCTCCTGCTCATCAGAGGGGTCCCCAGGAGCCACATCCCCTTTCCCAGTGAGCGCCAGCACCCCTAAGATTGGGGCTATCAGTTCACTTCAGGGAGCCCTTGGCATGGACTTGTCTGGGATTCTGCAAGCTGGCCTGATCCATCCTGTGACTGGACAGATTGTCAATGGAAGCCTCAGAAGAGATGATGCAGCCACGAGGAGGCGGAGAGGGAGGCGGAAACATGTTGAAGGAGGGATGGACCTCATCTTTTTGAAGGAGCAGACACTTCAGGCGGGAATCTTGGTGGGTATTGAGGTCATTAGATTAAAAACATTTACCTTTCTACACTGAGAAACAAACCCTTCTTCCTCAGACGCAAAATAATTTGTGGATCTTTTATCTCTATTTCGGTTGTCCTGCTTTATTTTCTCTCATTATAAGATGCCCTCCATCTTCTGTAGAACTAGATAGTTACTAACTCATTAATGGCGCTTAATCTGCTTACAGCCTGGAGAAATGAGCCAGGAGGTCTTGCCATTTCAAATAGGAACAACCCCGCTCCTCCAGGGTTTCAGAAGAGCCACTGTTGACGGCACGGCAGAGCAAGATGGCAGGGTTGAGTGTGCAGCGGCTTTTCTCCGGGGTAGTGAGGCTCTCCAAGACTGGGGTATGGGAGAAAGAACAGGAGTCAGGGCTACCTGAATGTGATCCTGGCTCTTCTGCTTGACTTACTGGGTGATATTGGGCTACAACTGAGACTCACTTTGCTCCTGTGTAAAGTGGGGCAACAGCATCTACCACGGAGGGTTGAAGATTTACGGAGATCATGCTAAGACAGTTTGTTCCAAACTCAAAGGAAATCATTTGCAAACAACAGAAAAGGTCAGAAACCGTATACCTGGCCAAGAGAGATCCCTTTTACGCTTTGTTTAATGTTTCATGTTGTATTTTGGGTTTTCCCATTTACTGGATTCTGAGCTCCAAAACAGGAATCACATTTTATGTTTTCTTATTTTAAAAGCAATAATAATAACTAGTACTTATTGAGTGCCTACTGCTTACCATGTTCAAGGCTTTACATGATTATCTTGTTTGTTCCTCACAACCACTCTGAAGATGGGCTTTGTTATTCCCATTTTATAGGTGAGGAAAATAAGGCTTTAAAGCATTAAATAATTTCCCCAAGATTATCCAGCTAGTAAGTGACAAAGCAGGAAACCAAACCAAGGACCTTTTTCTCTAGGGGCTGAGAACTTTACTGCTAAGCCATATTGCTTGGGTTATGTCTTCCTCTTAGACTTTCAAAGTAATCTGGGAAGCTGAAGTGACACGTTCTTTCCCTGCTCAATCCTGCAAGCTTTTAAGAAGTCTTTTACCTTTTTTAGATGTGCAACACCATAGTTTCTCTATAATGATCATAGAATTCCAATGGAATGACCGATAAAAATTTTCCCCCTTGTCCTCAGAGTATTTTTTTAATTTATTGATGCAAACACTTATTTAGCATGGTCATTGTTATAGACCCCATTATAGGCATTAGTAAAACAGAGGTAAGACAGGCATTCAAACTATAGAGGGTGAGTAAATTGTGGTATGGCGTTTTCTTTATGTGAGAGAGCTAGGAACCGAGTGCTGTGGGGACAGGAGCTGGAGCAGTGAGTGCTGCCTGGGACAGTGGGCAGTGGTGACAGAGGAGGAAAACTGAATCCGGCAGTCAGGATGGAGTTAAAGTGTACCAAGTGGACAAGAGCGGGAGAGGAGTGCTCAGGTGAAGGGAACACCAAATCACTTGCAAGAGCTTATGTGGGCGTGGGTCAGTGGTGTGTGTAGGGTTCTAATTCAGGCACCCCAGCTGAGTAATATCAGGGTGGAAATAGGTGGAGTGATTCAAATAACACCTTACATGTTTTCTTTCTTTAGAAACTAATTTTCATTGTGTCGTGATTATACATACTCGTTTTTCCTTCATCCAGGAAGTCCATGAAGACCCAGGGCAGGCCACCTTGAGCACCACACACCCTGAGGGGCCAGGGCCTGCCACCTCGGCTCCTGAGCCAGCTACGGCAGCCAGCAGCCAAGCCGAGAAATCCATTCCCAGCAAGAGTCTGCTTGACTGGCTAAGGCAGCAGGCTGACTACTCCTTAGAAGTTCCTGGCTTTGGGGCAGTAAGTGTTTGTTGGTACTGCCTGAGATCACTGTTTACTTCCTGCTGACTTGTTGCTATTTTTGATGAAAGCATGCTGAGGGCAACCAGGAAGTTGGGAGCTGTTTGGGAGAAATCTGTCAGCTGACAACATCATGTTAAAGGACTTTTGTTTTTAAGTTTAAATTTTGATTAAATTCTTCAGTAATAGAAATGATAGCCCATCTCAAAATACTATGCCAAAAAGTAGACATGCAAAATCCTAAGAGGACAGAACTTATCCGCTGTCCCCACAAAAATTGCCACACAGTATCATAAGCTCATAGAGAAATCTTTAGGTTGCATAAACTCTGCCACCTATGAAAATGTTCCTTTGAATTCTTTTCAAGTTAATACGTTCCATTTGTGGTGGTTGGGGGACCATCTGTCCTTAGTTTTATGTACATTCCATTTGCGGTGGTTGGGGGACGGTCTGTCCTTAGTTTTATGGTTATTCTGCTTTAGGACATTCCCTTCAAGTCATCGTACTGTCTTTGTCCTAAGTCCCTCAGACTAGACATTTTTAGGAGAGGACTCGAGCACAGATGTCTTTTTTGGTTTTTCTCTTCTCACTTGCTCATCTACCCCACCACTGTCTTTGTCCTGGGTGCGCCTAACTAATAAGATATGTAGGTAGAGAGCGCACAGGAAGAGGAGAACACATTCACAGATGTGCACCCTCCAGAGACAGGCGAAACCAGCCAGGCAAGTAGCAGTGACAAGAGAATGCAAGGAAATGATCAAGAGGAAAAGGCCAGGGATTAACAGGGCCCTGGCAGCCTGGTGAATCGGCTCAGGTGTTCTAGTCTGGAGGGCGGGGGTGCCCACACAGCCTGTTTTCCAGATTACTGTAGGAACACTGGTGCTTCAGGAGAGAAAGCCTAGGTGAAGCCAGGTGGCTATTTCCTTTAGTTTAACCTGGCCAGCTCCTGTGCAGACAACCATTGACGAGAACAATAGCAAAACCAGTTGAAAAGCATCAGCCTCATCAGAAGAATCTGGGATAGCATGTTTTGTAATATTGGTCTCCGTTTTCATCCTAGAATTTTTCAGACAAACCAAAGCAGAGGAGGCCACGCTGTAAAGAACCTGGAAAATTAGATGTCAGCTCCCTGAGCGGGGAAGAGAGAGTTCCTGCCATCCCCAAGGAGCCAGGACTGAGGGTAAGGAAGAAGGCCACGTGAGTGTGGGGCCAGGAGGAGCATCCTGGTTGAGCCGTGCCTTACATACTTGAGAGAAAGCCCCAGCTGGGAAGGGGTTCGCTGGGAGACATCTTTCAAGAGGACTAGAAGCCAGCACAGGAAGTTGATTAGCAGCAAGAAATGGTGCTGTGGCATTTTTGAGCGCTCTGTGACTCCCAGTGGTCATTTGTTTTCAACCCTTACCTCCAGAATTGTTTGTTAAACCATTGCCAAAACTTGGGTTTGTGTTTTGTTTCTCCTATTTGTAGAGTTATGAGGGGAAAGAAATTTTAACCTTTGTCAGTGAACAAAACTCATTATTGGAAGTTTTCATTTCCTAATTTAGGTTTTTTTGGCTACCATTTAAGACATTTCTTCCTGGTCCAGCCTCACTGGCAATGAAAAACAGCTGCCTCTAAGCACTACCCTTTTCCTATTATAGCATCATGACACTGGAAGGGACTTCAAAGACTTCTGCAGAATACTTCTAGTATAACGAATCCGAGTTAATTATAGTTTACAGATTAGTACAAATTTGGACTACAAAAGTCATAACCTCTAGAGGGCAGTAACAACATTTCAACTTGAAAATGTGTTGAGTTTGGGCAGATTATACATAAATGTGCTTTTAGCCTCCTAAAAGCACTTTCTGCCCAAATAGGGAGCTCCTGAAGATGCTCATGGGGACTTTTGCCTTTCCCAGGTTGTTCCATAAACTCAAGCTTTCCTGAATGCCTTCTCTTAAGTACTCTGCCAGCTACATCTTTCCTGGAGTAGGAATTCCCTTCTCGGTGGGATTGCTTGAATGTGATTTCTTTTTATAGCTCCAAAAGACCGCCCACCCTAGTCATTTCCTCCTCTCGCAGAAAGAGTTTGGCATTTAATGTTCTCAGGGAACTTGTTCAAGAGTGTCACCTGGATGACCGCTGGTCTAGTAGCTCCACCAGTGGCCGTTGCTCATCTCCATCTGCTACCACAGCCCCTTTGGGGGAGACTTGGGCCCTAGACAGTTTGTCACGTTGGAGAAGCTGCCCTTTTTTCCCCTCTTGCTTTAGTCTCAGAAAATGTCCCTTCTACCCTTTTCTTAGGACTCTTCCCTCACTTTCTTCCACTTGCGTGAGCAGTACGAGCTAGTTCACCTTTGTTTGTGTCCCCTCTGTCTTTCCTCACCCCTTCACGCTGCCTCCCACCTTCTCCTTTTGTCTCGGCACACGGTGTCTCAGATACGCCATCAAGGGAAGATCTCCGGTTCTTGCTTTGTTGTAGTCTCTGAGCTCTTGCTTTAGAGATGTCTCAGGAAGAGCCATGTGGTTCCCCCTTGGCTTGCTTGTTTCTTTCCCCGTGTCTAACAGTTTCCCTCATGTTCCTTGGAAATTAGTGTTCATCCCTCCCTACAGATGCTGACCCTTTGCCAGAAAACCCATTTCTAAGCTGTTCTTGCAAGCCAGCCTCTTCCCAGAGATGTGTTAGCCTCTTTTATTAAATAAACACACTCCCTGCCTCGGAGGCCCTTTTCCTGCAGTAAGGCAAGAAGAAGACCTCGGGCAGCTCAGCCTTCCGAACAGGGGCACCCGTGTATCTCCTGCAGCTCCTCTTGGGACAGGGCCTTCTAGGGTGCACTGTACCCTTTTTCTTTGCCATAGAACCTTAGTCCATTCCGACTACCATAACAGAATACTGGGAGGCTTATAAGCAACAGAAATTTATTTCTCACAGTTCTGGAGACCCAAATGTCCAAGGTCAAGGCACTGACAGATTGGGTATCTGGTGAGGCCCCATACCACATCATCCAGACTGGTGTCTTCTCACTGTGCCCTCGCATGGAGGAAGGGACAGCCAGCTCTCATAAGGTCACTAATTCCATTCATAAGGGCTCGACCCCTATGACCTAATCACCGTCCTAAACCCCCCGCATCCTATTACCATCACCTTGGGGCACAGGATATCAGCATAGTAATTTGAAACATTTATAGCGGAAACCCTACCCCTCTTTTTAGAAATAGATTTAAATCTCACAAGGAACTCCTCCTCCCTTCCTTCGAGCTCACATGGCCCTTCTGCCACACGTGCTGTGGTTTGGACGGGTGGTGTCCACAGAATTATCATTGCGCGGGCTGCATGGAAGGTTGTGGGATTCAATTTTTAATGCCCACTACCTAGTGGTTACTCATTAAATATATGTATACACACACATATACTTAATATAGTTTATATATGTAAGTTACATATGTATATATTGGTTTTACCTGTATGTGTATAGTTTTGAGGTTTTGCTGGGCCATTTGACAGTAAATTGCAGACATGACATATCACCCCTAAATACTTCAGCATGCATCTCATAAAGAACATTTTCCTGCATAATTATTGCCCTTATTACACATGCATATTAATAATACTTGTTATCTAGTCTATATTCAGATTCCACCAGTTATCTCAAAAATGTCTTTTAGAGCTGGTTGTTGTGTTTTGGTTTGGTTTTAGGATTTTTAAATGAAGAGCCACACGTCGCATTTTGTCGTTAGGTCTCTTTTCACCCAGCGTGCGTTTGTTGGATGAATGTACTAACCTTCGGAGGAGAAAGGAAGTTCTGGTCACCACCTTCTCTTAAGTCCACCCAGAGTTAAGTTTTAGAGTTGGAATAATGCCACCATGCATTGATGAGGATGTTCTTCTTAGGCTGGAATGCCTGTGCAATTAGATAGAAAGCAGATTTGCCTCCAGTGTGCTTGAACATAAGGAAGCTCCTTTTCCTTGTTCCCTTTGCCCCCTCCGCAGGCCTTTCCTGGAAGGGGAAGCAGGTTTGCTCCCAGGGTATAATTACCAGGAGGGAGAGCTGCCAAAGCCCGCCTGGCCGCTGTGTGTGGTCGCCGCGCTGCTGGGAGGGGCACCTGACTGGAGTGGGCAGCAGCTGGTGGCTGGGGTGACTCCTCCACAGGACATGGTTAAAGCTGACTTCCTTTGCCAGCGCTCTTGCTCTGCTGCAAATGAAGAGCGTTCTCTTTATCCTCGGGGCATTTCTGCTGCTATTCTCCTCATCTAGAGGGGAAGAAAGATTAGCTTGTGCCTTCTAAGCAAGTTCTCATTTCTGAAAGGACCCACCATTGTGTCTGCACTCATGGTTCTCAGCAAGAGCAGGGAAAGGATGCTTTTGACATCCCAGATCCTGAGAGTGCTACTTGCACTTACTGGGCCAGGGCCAAGGTGGCCAAAGGTCCTCTGGGGCATAGTCTGGTCCTAGATCCCCTGAGGAGGGTCTCAAAGCATGTTAAAGAAGATCTGATTTATAGCAGATTGCTTGAAAAGAAGAAGGAGGCACCATTCATCAAGTGCTGGGCTTGTTTTCTTCCTAACAGAAAGACCTCTGAGGTGGAATATGCCCCCTCTCTCTGGAGTTATGAGGGCACATTTGTGGATGTAAAGGAAAGACACTCCCCAGTATCTTTCTCTGCCTCTCGGTTGTGGGTAGGCTGCAGGAAGAGGGCTCAGAAAGATATGTGGTCAAGTTGTGGTTACCCTGGCTGAAGCACCCTGGGCTGTGGTGCCATGCCAGCAAGGGACTGAGACTGTGCTGTGTAGACAGAGTGGCTGGCCCAGAATGAGACGATTTGCATTGATGAGCTCAAGACAGACTGGTGAGAAATTATCCTTTTAGCCTGGCCCCGACCCATCAAGTCCTACTGTCTCTCTTTCAAAACAGGAACCAGCCAGGAATTGCGTCCCCAGTGATCCTCCCTAGAGCCAGAGTGTGCAGTTGCCAGCCTAGCAAATTGCAAGTGGCAGGTCATGCTGGGAAGAAGAGAGGGTGTGGTGTGCTGTGGAAAGAGGCCTGGGCTGGGAACCACAGGGCCTGTGTTCTCACCTGCTCTGTCCCTGACCAACTGTACCCTCCCCACCCCCACCCCCAGCTTGTGAAAACGAAGGGGACTAAATATAACAGTTTCAGGGGTTTCTTCCAGCTCTGTGATGCAAACCAAGGCTTTTTGAGAAGAATTTTCTTAAAGTTGCCATCATGAAGCTTTTTTGTCTATGATGAACTGGGTTTTTTTTTTATTTTTTATTTTTTTAATATTCTTGGGAAACTGAAGGACAGGTGTAGGAGTTCAAAAAATATTTCTGGGGACTCAGAAACATTCAGATATGCACGTTTTCACACATCTATGAATCTGTAAATTCTCTGTAAAGCAGGCATGATGATAGTACTGACTCCACAGGGCTGATTCACTGATTTGTTGAGATGCTGCTGAAGCCCTTCGTACAGTGCCTGACACGTGATCAGTGCTTCCTTCGTGGCGTCTCGCACTCTTCTGCTGCTCATCCTCTTATCAGCACCGCCTTCCCTGCTGCCTCTGACAGCCGTTCCCCTCGCTGCTGAGTGCCCACTAGTGTGGGAACCAACACAGTCCAGCTGCTGCTCATTTGGGGCCCACCACACACGTGTGTTCTTACAGCCCATGAGAACCTGAAACCAGTACCACCAGCTAAGGTTACAGCTGCCCCTTAAATAAAAATCTGCTGGGTCTTCTAAGGATTTGCTTATTTCATAGTTTATGGAGAAGAGAGGCAGTGGGAAAAATGGGAAATGCCTGGGCTGCCAAATTAAAGTTAAAAGTAGGTGCCCTTAGGCAGATTGTAAATAGATTTCTTAACTGCCCTCAGGCCTGGTGGCCAGTCTCAGCCCAGAGATATCCTCAGCTTCCCTGGCTTCTTTCTCTGCGTTCTGTGGGGTTTTTCTGGTCATTCTGGTGTCTCTTGGTGGACCCACATCTCCTTTCGCACCCCAAGAGTGTACCCCAGTGAGAGCAACAGCCAGATCCCTGCCTCTGATTCCCACAGACAAGGAGGCTGTGGGCTGGTGGAGCCTCAGCTGCTGCTTGTCACATCCCCACCCCCCACTCTGCAGACTCTAGTGGAAGGGAAGGTATTCCAAAGGAGAATCCTGAAAAGGCCGCAGGTGCAGCCCTGGGAGTTGCCTCAGCAGCCCAGAGGCCTCACCCCTCACTGTTGAGCTCTCCTGTCTCATGCTGCTCCGTAGGCTGCGCATTCCGGCCTTGATGGTGACCATTGACCTCAGTGGAATCCAGTGTGACAAGATCCATTGAAGCCACTCTGAACATTTTGCTTCACCATTGCTGTAATCAAAGGGAAGGGGATAAAACAGCACTGACTTTGTAGCAAGAACCGTAAGAAGATGCCCAGGCAGTCAGGGAGGGTGCCAGCAGGGGAGGGCTTTGTCCTCAAACTGTACACCTCCCCTGGGTGAGGAAACGCTGAGACTGCTGAACTGCACAAGTACAGTTCACCTTTTTTAATACCATGGGCATGTACTAGTTGATAAACTAGCTGATAGCAGTGAGGTGTGGAGGGCAGTCGAGAGAGAGAAAGGCATGCAGTTCTCCAGGGGCGCAGGGACTGCGGCACTAAGTCCTGAAAGAAATCGCTTCCCATCTGTGGGAAGAAATTCTCTCAATCTCTAGGGATTATAAATTCAGAGAAAGATCCATCGTAATTGCAGTGGTTTGTTTACGCTCCAGGGACCAGGTTCCTGGCTGCATCCTCTCTGCCCTGCAGAGCTCCTGAGCTCCACTCTCAGGAAGGAGGGTGTGGGGCTGCAGCCTGCGCCTTCCTTTCCACGTGCTGCCTTCCGCTCGCTGATGCTGCTGGAGCAATCTGCCCTCCCCCAGGATTCTGTGCAGCTCAGCCATCCTGATGGGTTATGGGAATGTCCAGTGCAGATGCCAGATCACCCGTGTTGAGGGCCCAGGTCCTGTCACAGTGTGGTCCACGTGGAGCAGAAGTGCTTTACTGCAGAACTCTCTGCTAATTAAGAAAATTGGAGAGTGAACCTCCAAATAGAGAAAAAATAGATGGTCTCCCTTAGGGAGAACCACCACTTATTTTGGTGGCAGTTTCCCCAACAGTGTTCAAGAAGTCCTTCATTTCTTCAGCAAACATGTACACATCCCATTGTATTCAGAGAGGAGTGGGGCATACACACAATAAATAAGTAATGTGCCATTAGCAAGCACTGCTTCCTATGGATCAGGTAATGTATTAAACACGTCACTTTCCGTGACTCTAAAGATAGGTACCATTGTCCTTTTTTACTTAAACTCAGAGGCTAACTGACATGTCCTGAGTCCCACAGCTAGGAGGTTGCAGTCAGGATTTAAACTTGGGATTAAAACCCTGTCTTACATATTCTGCTTTGTTGCTTCAATAAAAACCTGTGTCAAGAGGAAGGCAAGTGTTGGGATCTGGTGAAGGGGTCTCAGCCATAACAGTCTCACCGAGAACCAGAGCACTTTTAGTGCTTTCTCCAGCTCCCCACTCTCTTCTGCCAGCTTCTCACAGACTGGATGCCACTTTTGCCAGTCAGCATGTTGGAATTACCACTGGGCAGTGACAGGTGCCCTAGTTGTGCCCATGCCACAAAATGTTCTCAGCTGCTGAGGGAGAAGCCTGTCAGGTACAGTCAGGCCAGAGAGCTGCACAAGTAGGCGGGAGGTGCTCCTTGTACTGGGAACCCTTCGTGCAGCTGGAGACAGGCCAGGCCAGTGCAGAGCCCTGGTCATCACCCTCAGCTGACCACCTGCCATCCTGTTGCCTTCAGCATTTTGTGTTTCTTTGTTTTTCCAGGGGTTTCTTCCAGAAAACAAGTTCAATCACACTCTGGCTGAGCCTATTCTTCGAGATACGGGCCCCCGCAGGAGGGGGAGGCGGCCTCGGAGCGAACTCCTGAAGGCTCCTTCCATTGTGGCAGACTCTCCCTCTGGAATGGGGCCACTGTTCATGAATGGACTGATTGCTGGGATGGACCTGGTAGGACTTCAGAACATGAGAAATATGCCAGGCATCCCCCTCACCGGGCTGGTGGGGTTTCCAGCTGGCTTTGCCACGATGCCAACAGGTGAAGAGGTCAAAAGTACCCTGAGCATGCTGCCCATGATGCTGCCAGGCATGGCTGCTGTGCCCCAGATGTTTGGTGTTGGGGGACTCCTCAGTCCACCCATGGCAACCACCTGCACTTCCACTGCTCCGGCGTCTCTATCAAGCACAACGAAAAGTGGTACGGCAGTGACTGAAAAGACTGCGGAAGACAAGCCGAGTAGCCATGATGTGAAAACAGACACTTTAGCTGAGGACAAGCCTGGTCCAGGTCCATTTTCTGATCAGTCTGAACCTGCAATAACTACTAGTAGTCCTGTGGCTTTTAACCCATTTCTCATCCCAGGAGTATCTCCTGGACTCATTTACCCATCCATGTTCCTCTCCCCTGGTATGGGCATGGCTCTGCCAGCCATGCAGCAGGCCAGACACTCGGAAATAGTAGGTCTGGAGAGCCAGAAGAGGAAGAAGAAGAAGACAAAGGGGGACAACCCCAACTCCCACCCAGAGCCTGCTCCCAGCTGTGAAAGGGAGCCCAGCGGTGATGAGAACTGTGCCGAACCCAGTGCCCCTTTGCCCGCAGAGAGAGAACATGGGGCACAGGCTGGGGAGGGGGCACTCAAAGACTCCAACAACGACACCAATTAGAACTTTTTTCATTTAAGAAATTATTGTGACTTGTAAGTTTCTTATCCCATAAAGGTTTGTTACTTCCCTCACTTCACCTCCATAAGAACCTGTGTTTCCATAAGTAAGATTACGTACCTGATTTCCTGTCTGAGAACTATGGTAACAGATGTTAATAGTTGCAGGGTCTCACCACTTCATTAGATAAGTGTTGTCTACCTAGTCTAGGAGGCACAGAATTCTCATTCTGTTATCCAGTTCATTCCAGCAATCATAGTTAATACAGTACTTGGTGACACGCCCTACCCCCTTCTCTTCCAAGTTTCCCACTCACTTGAGGAGGAAAAATGGCAAAAGAAAGCTGTCTAGGGTTTTACCATTGAAGGGTGGAAGAACAGAGACAAAGAGGAGCTCTTTTTCTGTGAGCTGGGTTGCACAGGAAGAATGTCACAGGGAACCAAAAAGCACAGAAAAAGGAAGTGCTGGTGCATATTTTTGAGTTAAAATATTTCCCTATTTTATCATGATTACTAAGTGAGTAGTATAGACAGAAGTATATAACTAATGGTTGAAAATACATATATTCATTTCTTTATAAAAAACAAAAACCTTACCGGTAGTAATATAATTTCCCCCTTGGTGGTTTTTCAGACACCTGCAGCAAGAAGAAATACTGACTGACTAGGCATTATTTTCTATACATCCCTCTCACCAGTGAAAAGATTCCTCTTGCTGCGAGAAAGCTTTACCCACCATGAGTTATTGCTGTCGACGGGGGTGGGGCAAGGACCCGCGCTCCGTAGAGCTACACGCTGCTTCACAAGCACACGGCTAGCGCTCTGCTCTCACCTGGTTCGCTTACAGATTTCTCTAGCCATTAATTTGCCTCTCTGTGTTTAAAGAGCACCAGGACCGAATGGATTTTCACTTCAGGCTTTCCTTCACCAAGAATAAGGTTCTTTCTGGAGCCTGCAAGAAGACAGTTGCCCAACACTTTGACACTTGCTAGTAGGTCCTTTGATCAAGAGTGTCTGAGGCTGTCAAATGTGTGCCACCCTTTATAATACAGCTATGAAAAGTTACTTCTCCATTAATTTCTCCATTCTGTTTATATCTTACAGTTGGACCCAAATTCCAAATTATCAGTTAATCGAAACTACATTGCAAGTCAACATTATTTTCTCTTCTTCCTCAGCTTCTCCATGTTTAGGAACTGAGAAAGAAACTGCCTAAGCAGCACTTCCCCATGTCCTTTCACCTTCATGTTAACGTCCCTTCTGATGGTCTCACTCTTCACAGGTAGTTCACACTCTGAGACTTGAAGTAAGCTCATGGTTCAGTACTCTGGGGGCGCAGGGCTGCGCAGGACCCTTGGAAATGTTGCAAGTGTTACTAGTACCAGTTTCACTTTTTGTTGTCACAATTTACTGTATTTTTTACTTTTTCTGTTACAGTTTTGCTAATTTATCAGAAGGTCCAAAAGTCTGACATAACTATTTCATTTTGCATTATTTATTTATGATGCTTTTTTCATTGTCTTTTATACATTTGGGATTATAAATTATGTAAATGTTAAAATGAGCATCTCAAAGAAGTCTGTTAAATCATGACTGAAAAAAATCAATCAGATGTATCTTCAAAAAGTGGAGTCCCAGTTTTATGAATCAGAGATATAAACCAGAAATTCTATAACTGATCATAGAAGAAGAATCCAGTAATTGAACAAATCCTATTTAATGACATCCTTGTAGCATAGATGGTCTATAATGCTGACCACAGATTTCTTAGAAATGCTGCTCTCTCTATTTAACTAACATTTTGTTCAGTTTTGCCTCCAGTGGAAGCAGAAAGGGTTTTTTCAGCTGTTAAATCCTAAAAATCAATATAATTTATTTATGTAAGAAAAATAACTCAATCAATATATTTTTGAACCTTTTAAGTACTAATTTTCTTTTTATCAAGTAGAAAAAAAAATGTATTTGCCCTAAATCCTTAAAATACAAATGCTATAAAAATTCCTGTATCTTGAAAGCCTTACTGCAAATGAGTATTATAGACATCCAGCAGAGTCTGGTTTTCTTTGTTGTCGTTGTGTTGTTGTTGTTTTGTATGGAAAAGCTGCTTTCCCCGGGTTCCACTTATAACCTCCGGTAGGTCACAGGGTTCAATGTGGATCTGACTTAAAAACCCACCAGCATGCTCAATCCCTTGTTATCCTTATGGAATCTGTATGTTAACTCTCTGGGTGTTCAGGCTTCTATTTGACTGCTGTTGTGACCCTGTTTGCAAAATGAATATGACACTCTGTGGATTATTTGCTCTGTAAGGCACAAGTGCTTCTTATGATTATTTTGACGTTTCCAAGAGCAAAAGCCAAATTTAAACTCTCTTCAGCAAACTTGAGCCTTTTCATCTAATTCCATGTCACTCACGGCCATAACTTTCCTTGACCATTCTTCACCCCATGTCTTACATAATAAATTGTGGTCTTGATCCTGGATTTAAAAACAAAAGAAAAAGTTTAAAAGTCACATTTGTATTTGAGGAATTCAGTGGCACTTGGGTGTCTCCTGCTGCCTGGGGCATTGATGAGTACATGGTATGCCCATCGCCTTTCCGAGGTGTCTGATCCGTGCTGGGCACCCTACTGAGGGCTTGTCGAATATTCATCATGAGGGTTGACTTGGCCTGTCTCTTGACCAACTGACCAGAACACGTGGTTAAAACATGCCCTAGAAGGGAGTTGGGGCTGGGCGAGGTGACTCATGCCTATAATCCCAGCACTTTGGGAGGCTGAGGCAGGCAGATCACTTGAGGTCAGGAGTTCGAGACCTGCCTGGCCGACATGGTGAAACCCCGTCTCTACTAAAAATACAAAAATTAGCTGGGCGTGGTGGCAGACGCCTGTAATCCCAGCTACTCAGGAAGCTGAGGCAGGAGAAACGCTTAAACCTGGGAGGCAGAGATTGCAGTGAGCCGAGATCATGCCACTGCACTCCAGCCTGGGCGACAGAGCGAGACTCCATCTCAAAAAAAAAAAAAAAAAGGAATTGGCAGCACAGCATCCTGCTCCACAGACTGGAGGCCTGAACGCTCTCAGCTGGTACATCCCCAGTGCCACTTCTTAAGCTCCGTACCAAGAGTCCCACCTCAATCACACACCTGGAATGTATGGGGGAACTAGATTTGCATAGGTTAGAGTAGGCTCATAAAACACAGGATCACCAGGGTAGCTGAAATTCTCAAGGTTTTTCAGAACTCTGTGCTCCTGAGCATGGTGTCTCAACCCCAAAAGGGGTGGGTCAGAAGTTACCAATGAGGCTGGCAGGAAAGTGCCAAAGCCTCTTTGAAGGCTGAGCAAGAGACTGACGCAGCCTCATCTTGTTGGGTCCCAACTAAGCACCATCAGATGGGTGCATGAATGGCCTGAAGCATGGATGGGCATTGTTACAGGAAGGCCTTAGGTTTTATAGGCCTCTAATCAAGATATAGGGAGCCCTCATAATAACTTAAACAATAAGTAGTAAAGGGTCTTGGTTTCATTTTTTACCTAAAACACTGTCCCAGGAAATACTACCTTGTACAAGGGCAGAATAGGAATAGTTGGTTCAGCACACTGGACTACTGTTGGTGTGTGTTTGCCATTAGTGACCTCATTTGTCCTCACAGCATCTTGGGCACTGGGTAGAGGGATGCCAACATCGAATTTGCCTCCTGAAAGCCAGCAGAGAGGCTGCCAAAGCTATCTTGTCAATCATGAACAGCAGAGCTGGGCTAGACCCCGCAGTCCCACCAGCTGGGGAGACAGCACCCCAATTTTGCCTTTCGTGATAACATTCTGGGGCCTCTATCTCAGAAACCAAAAGTGAAGAAATTACACTCGGAAAAATTGGCACCAGGAAAAACAGAACACTCAAATAAGTGTCACACCCTCTGGAAAACTTGATGCTAGATTCATTTACACCAGATTCCTTAAATGGCCTCTTGTAAGAAGTATTGTTCATTTACCTCTTCTGGAAACCACAGGATTTATTTATTAGGTCAGAAGTAGGGTTCACCCAGCCCAGTAATTTAGATCTTGGCTGCCTAGTGGTGGGCATTGTGGCCACTTTCATAATCCAAACTCAGCAAGGTATCTATGGGACAAAATAGGGAATAGGGAAAAGGGTGAGTTCAACGCTGGCTCCTTCTGGGAAGCTGATGAGGTTAATTTGGACATGGAGTCTGAGCATGGCTGTGACAAGTTGGTGCCTCCTAGATGGCCTTGGGGTTTGAGTTCTGGCTCAGCCCAAGCCTTGGAGGACAATGGGAAGACCTAGAATGAGGGCCAGTTGCAGGGGAGGAACAGCCACTTGGAACACCCTTCTCCAAGTCTGTTTCCTCATCTGTAAAATGGGGATAATGATAGTTTGCACTAATAGGGCTGTTGATGGGGTTCATTGAAATGATTAATCAGAGTCTTTGTTTATTTTTATTTTTTTGAGATGGAGTTTCGCTCTTGTTGCCCAGGCTGGAGTGCAATGGTGCAATCTCAGCTCACTGCAACCTCCACCTCCTGGGTTCAAGCGATTTTCCTGCCTCAGCCTCCTGAGTAGCTGGGATTACACGCGCCCACCACCACGCCTGGCTAATTTTGTATTTTTAGTAGAGATGGGGTTTCTCCATGTTGGTCAGGCTGGTCTCAAACCCCCAACCTCAGGTGATCCGCCCGCCTCGGCCTCCCAAAGTGCTGGGATTACAGGTGTGAGCCACTGGCCCAATCAATTAGATTCTTAATACTGCTGATTCTGTTGAATCATAGGTCTTTTACTCCTTCTGGATAGCCAGCAAGAGGATTTACCAGTCTCACTGGAAAAACAGGATAAGGAAGGGGCAAGGAAGAGCTTGTTCCAAGTCCCAAGGCAAGTACAGAGTGGATCTGGGATTGGTCTCAGAGCACTGTGGGAAACCAGCTTTCTGTCCTGCCCGCAGGAAAGAAGGTTTTTCTGCATGAGCGCATTGTGCTGGGTGGACTAGAGGGATGTGGGGGCTGTTTTGGGGCTGGGGAACAGGAAAGTTCCTGGGTTTGTGGAGCCTCCCTCAGTGTAGGAGTGCCAGATTTAGGAGGGAAAGTTAACGCCCAGTTAAATTTTAATTTCATGTAGACATTTTTTAGAGTAAGTATATCTCATACAGTATTTGGTATATGCACTTTTAAAAATTTTCCCTTTTTAAATTTATTTAAATATTTTTGGCTGGGTGTGGTGGCTCACCATGTAATTCCAGCACTTTGGAAGGCTGAAGGGGGAGGATCACTTGAATCCAGGAGTTTGAGCCTGGGCAACATACAGAGGCCTCATCTGTACAAAAAATATTTTGAAAAATTAGCCAGGCATGATGGTGTGTGCATGTGGTCCCAGCTACTCAGGAGGCTGAGGTGGGAGGATCACTTGAGCCCAGGAGGTTGAGGCTGCAGGAAGCTGTGATCACAACACTACACTCCAGCCTGGCCAGCAGAGCCAGACCCTGTCTCTAAAAAAAAAATGCAACCTCAAAACTCCCAGGCTTAAGCGACGCCCCCTCCTCAGCCTCTGAAGTAGCTGGGACCACAGGCATGAGCCACCATGCCCAGCTAATTTTTTATCTTTTGTAGAGATGGGATCTTGATATGTTGCCCTAGCTGGTCTCAAACTCCTGGCCTCAAGCAATCCTCTCACCTCAGCCTCCCACAGCGCTGGGATTACAGACGTGAGCCACCACCCCCAGCCTAAAAAATCTGTTGTTTATCTGGAACTCAAATTTAACCAGACAGCCTGTATTTTATCTGGTAACCTTACTTAGTAGCAATAGTGTGCTATTTACTAGGCACTTCCTGTGAGTAGGATTTGTTCTACATATGTTATGGCCAAATTCTTAATCCCCGCAATAACCCTATGAGGTTATCCTCATACATACAAGGAAACAGGCCCAGGCCCAAAGAGGCTAAGTAACTTGCCCAATCATCCAGCTGGAAAATGTCAGGGCTGGGCTTCGGGAACTCAGAAGGAGTAAACCCAGAACTGTAAACTGACCAGGAGGGGAGCTGGGCATCTTTAGTCTGAGGCTTGGAGCAGGCCATCCCTCTAGAGTGCAGCTTCATAAAATAGCACTAAGCACAAATGATGAGCAAGGGGAGAGAGGCTGCTCTGGCCCTTGCACTGCAGCTACCATCCCTGAGGCCAGTGGGGAGGCAGTTAGCCTCAGTTTTTCCCTCCCATCCCGCAGTGCTGGTGTTGGGAGGCCTCTGAGCTGGGGCTTATCCTAGGGAGTAAGTGTCTAAGTGCTTGGACTCACCAGCCCAGGGCCAAGGAGCCCCATGAGAAGCAGTGTCCAATCTTGGAAGGTGGAAAGAAGGATGGCAGGGAGTAGGACAACTGTTCAGCTAGAATGACCTGGGGAAAAGGATGGGGGAGCTGACTAGGGAGGGGGAAGAGGCACATCTCACCCACTCATCTGCTGGCCATGACCTTCCTCCTACCCAGGCAGCTCAGCTACATGCACCACTAAAGGTGGCCACAGCACTGCTTAGTCAATACCTACTGTGCAGGCCTTCTGTGAGCTCATTCCAAAACACGTTCTCCAGGAGAGGACCAGGCTCAGGTAGGTTGTCACCTGCCTTCAGTGGCATAACTAATGAGGAAGAACAAGAATTTAGAGATGGGTCTGATTCCAGAATCTAGTGTTCTTGCTCAGGCCTTGGCTTTGCATGTGGAGCCACAGGCCCAACACGCTTTCTTCCCAGGGTGGAGTGAGAGCTACGGCCCACAAGCCAAGAACCAGGACTCACATTTATAAATAATTGGACAATCAAAGGGAAATATTTCATGAACATAAAAATAATCCCCTCACACCTGTAATCCCAGCACTTTGGGAGGCCAAGACAGGCAGATCACGAGGTCAGGAGATCGAGACCATCCTGGCTAACACGGTGAAACCCCATCTCTACTAAAAATACAAAAAATTAGCCGGGTGTGGTGGCGGGCGCCTGTAGTCCCAGCTACTCGGGAGGCTGAAGCAGGAGAATGTTGTGAACCCAGGAGGCAGAGCTTGCAGTGAGCTGAGATCGCGCCACTCTACTCCAGCCTGGGTGACAGAGCGAGACTCTGTCTCCAAAAAAAAAAAAAAAAAAAAGATCCCAAATCCAAATTCTAGTGGCCATAAATAAAGTTTTATTAAACACAGCTATACTCATTCCTTTGTGTATTGTCTATACAAAGCTGCTTTTGGGCTACGACAGCAGTGGTCACAGAGACCACACAGCCTGCAAAGTCGAAAATATTTATTATACTGTCTGATCCTTTGCAGAAAAAGTTTGTCGATCCCCATCCTGCAGCATCAATTTTATTCATAGATTCAATGCAAAAACTCATTTAAAATATTTCATATGGCCAGGCACAGTGGCTCATGCCTGTAATCCCAGCACTTTGGGAGGCCAAGGCGGGCGGATCATCTGAGGTGAGGAGTTCGAGACTAGCCTGGCCAACATGGCAAAAGCCCATCTCTACTAAAAATACAAAAATTAGCCAGGTGTGGTGGCAGGAGCCTGTCATCCCAGCTACTGGGAAGGCTGAAGCAGGAGAATTGCTTGAACCCAGGAGGCAGAGGTTGCAGTGAGCCGAGATGGAACCATTGCACTCCAGCCTGGGCAACAGAGTGAGACTCCATCTCAAAAAATACACACACACACATACATATATATATATATATATATATATTTCATATTAACTCCAACATGGTTTTGTATAAAAATGAATCACATAGTGGAATATAAGATTCATGTCTACTTTTGAGATAAAATGCTTCCAAGAAGCCCTTGGCTTTGGGCATGCTTCTTGAGGGCCAGCCTCCAAACCCGAGGGCATACTTTCACTTTGGAGGAAACACTGGAGTTGCCCTGTCCCCCTCCCCTCTTCACACTGAGTCTTTTTTGTTTGTCTGTTTTTGTTTTTGTTTTTTTGAGACAAAATCTCCCTCTGTCACCCAGGCTGGAGTGCAGTGGTGTGATCACAGCTCACTGTAGCCTCGAACTCCTGGGCTCAAGCGATCCTCCTGCCTCGAGAGTGACTGTCCTGTTCCCCACTGAGATGTCCAGCTGGCTCTCAGAAGCAGGACACTAGGAGAGGCTCAAGAGTCCAGGTCGATGCAGTGCTGTGGCCAGACTGAAGCAGCTTTGCCACGTCACCCTGGTCTCATCTACCATCAGGCCCCTGCTGGCTGTGTGTGCCTGTTCCCCCTCAGGATGACAACCTGGCCTCACCTTTCTCTGTCCCCAGCGCCTTGGGGCTCTTTGAAAATCCTCAGGGACTCCCAAAGCCTGCATAGGGCAGGAGAGCTGGGCCGAGGAAGGTCCACGCTGCACAGGGCAGGCAAGGACTCAGCACTGCTGGGTGTTTAGACTCTTTCCTGGCTCAGACCAAGAAAACTCTAAACTCTGTAGACACAGCTCCCAACCCCCACCCACTCCCCACTCCAGCTCTGACCCAGGCTTTTCCATTCACAGATCCCAGACTTTCCAGACCGGCAAAGAGCCCGGAGGCACAAGGCACCGTGAGTGCCTTGGGCAGGGGTTGGGGGCGGGGCGGTGGATTGTATGAGGCTGAGGAAAGCCCCAGCCGCAGCCCCTTGGGCCTCCCCAGGTAGAAGACACCCCTACCCTCACCCCAGTCCCTTGTCAAATTTCCCCGTCAAGAAGCAGCACATACGTATATAAGGATACTCCTAGTGTTGGTGTGCATCTGAGAGAGAGGGAAGGAGGGAGGGAGGGAGAGCTGGAGGGCGGTGGGGCAGGGGAGCAGGTGTTCCTCCTGGCTAAGCCCCTGCAGCTACTTCCTTTCTTCTCCCAGACAAGTTGAGGATAATTAGCATCCCATGAGGGAAGAAAGAGGCAGCTCCCATCCCTAGACTGAGCGTGGGAGAATTCAGAGCCCCCACCAACTCCACTCCCAGTGCGCAACCCAGCATCCCCAAAACAGGCCCAAGGACAAGGAGTCCACCACCCCCACCCTGTGGGCCCAACCACTCCCAGCCTCTGTAAGGAACAAGAGTTCAAAGAAATAAAACCTCCATCCAAAGAGGTACTTGCTCTGCACAGTCAACCGGGGGGGCACAATGTTCTTGAAACCCTGACCTTTCTTTGGAGTTACTGGTTGTTTCTTGTGTTCTCTGGCTCCTTTTCAAGCTGGGCTGGTCCATGAGTGTCTCTCAGGGACAAGGTACGACAATCGGAAGCAGACAAAAAAAGATTCTCTGCTTGGCTTTTGAGTTTCGGTGCCTGGCCTGGGCACATGCCAGATAAGAGCAAAGCTTCCCAGCTACCATCCCTCCCGCCTGGAAAAAGGTTTCTGAAGGGAAGAGGAAAGGGGTGGTTGGCAGCGGTCAGTGGGGATGGACTGAAGGAACCAGCCTCTTTGAGGGTGTCTCGTCTGTTTCCAGCACCCAGGAGCCCCCTGGAGCCATGTCTGAACCCAGGCTTCTGGGATCCTCTTCCTCAGTTGCCCCACCAGCCTGCCCCTCCCACACGGCTGTGGCATCTCCAGCAGCAGCCCCTGTGTCTCCTGTGACAGACCAGTGAGGGGGGTGCCACCTGTGCCCTGAGCATCCACTTGAGATAGGGTCTTACCCATTGGACTGCCCTCCCATCTTCACCCTAGGGCACCCTTAAGACCCAGTGGAGGCCAGGTACGGTGGCACACACCTGTGATTCCAACACTTTGGGAGGCCGAGTTGGGTGGATCGCTTGAGATTAGGAGTTCGGGACCAGCCTGGCCAACATGGTGAAACCCCGTCTCCACTAAAAATACAAAAATTAGCCAGGCATGGTGGTGCGTGCCTGTAATCCCAGCTACTCAGGAGGCTGAGGCAGGAGAATCACTTGAACGCGGGAGGCGGAGGTTCCAGTGAGCCAAGATTGCACCACTGCACTCCAGCCTGGGCAATAGAGTGAGACTCAGTCTCAAAGAAAAAAAAAAGACTGGGTTGAGCCCCAGTAGGGGAGATAGCAGTACAGAAAGCCCCTCTCTTGTGCCTCAGTGGGACTAGGAGAAACAGCTTGAGGTCCCCTGCACCCCAAGTAAGGCAAGTGCTGGGTAAACCAACCCTGTGCTCAAACACTGACTTTGTGATATGGACTCAGGAGGCCTTGAGCAAAAGGGCCAGCCAGGCTCAGAGCCTGCTACTCTGAAGTCTGGCAGTGGCACCCACCTCCCTGCAGAAGAGGCAGACCCAGGGTTATCCATGGCAGGGTCACCAGGGCCTGGGGCTGCAGGATGCTAGGAAGTGGCTCAGCTCCTGCCTGGTCTGGGGCATCACTCTGGGCCTCTCCCTCCAGTGTGCCCATGGGGAGTTGAGCTGCCTGAGCCCTGGGACCCCTCCGAGCTCTGCCACCCTGGACATGAGACCTTGAGATGCTGTGTCCCCATCTTTGGGGGTGAAGGGTCCATTGACCAAGTTCACCTTCAGGCTGCAGGGCCGTCTCTGGCTGAAGTTCAGCTGACTGATGCTCCCATTTAATCTTGGGGCTTGGAGCAGGGTTCCTGAGCCCCCCAGGCAGAGTTCCCACCTTCCTGTTAGGCTATTCCCCATGAGCCTTTTTATAAAGAGTTTGGCTGGGAGCCAGAGAGTTTTGGAAAGTGTATGGGCCAAGCCAAGCTGTACAAACCTGTCTTCCTCCCAGAGCTGAAAGAGGCCAGGTTGTTCCCAGACAAATGCAGAGGCGGGGCCGGGGGTTGGGAAGAAGAAAGGGGGCTATTTTAGGAGGACTTGCATACTGCAGAGCCCCCACACAGCAGCAGAGGGTGTGGGGAGGCACAGCCAGAGGCAGCAGAGTTAGGGACCTGGTACCAGGTGTCTCATGTAGACACACACATGAAACATATGCATACACCCCCAAACGCATGTGGGCACAGACACAAGTTACACAGATACGTAGGCTTGCGACTGTGTATAAGCATGTGCTGATGTGTACAGAAATATGCACAGGTACATACTAGGCAGTCGCACCTGCAGCTGCAGGGACATGCACAAACATGCTCATACATACAATCACACACCACCACGTACACACACATGCATAGACACTTAGAGATGTACACAAAGGATGCAGATTGAGCAATGCCAGGCTAAACCCAGGAGGCTGGGAGAGGGCTTGCACTCCCTGACAGCCCAACTCCCTGAAACCCAGCACACACGTGCGTGCACACACACACACACACACACACACACACCCTGGGAGGAAACTGCTTCCTCCATAGGAACTTTTGGATCCAGGGCAACATGCAATCAAGACCTTGTACTAGGAAAGAAAGCGCCTTTGTCTGCTGGGACCAGGGCTGCAGGAGCAGCTGCAGCCTCCTCCAGGATAAGAGCCAGGCCAGTTCCTTGCCCTGGGGAGGAAGGTCAGGCCAGGCCCTAGATGGGGGGTGGAAAGAGGGAGCTGGGGGCTCCAGCAGGCCCTGCCACCAATCCCAGGACACTGTGTCTGGCTGGGGGCACAAAGCCCGGAAAGCCTGTTGTTCTCAGGCCTGGCCTCCCTGACCTCTAACCCTAGTTTGGCCCTGTCTCCAGAACGACTGTGGTTCTGATCCCAGCCCTGGGGCTACACTGACCCAGACTGAGACCTGGCTCGCCTGGGGCTCCATGCCTGCCATGTGCCTGTGACGTCACTTTTTTTAGCGGAGTGAAAAAAAGTCAGGCTCTGGAATTAGAAAGATGTGAAATTGAATCCTGATTTTGTCACTCTCTGAGTGATTTTGAGAATGTACTTGACTTTTTGAGCCCTAAATTCAAACTCCTGTTATACAGAGGCAAATCTTTTTATTTATTTATTTATTTAGAGACAGGGTTTCATTTCTCATTCCATCACCCAGGCTGGAGTGCTTGCCGTAACCAACCTTGAACTCCTGGGCTCAACTGATCCCCTCACCTGAGCCTCCCAAGTAACTAGAACTACAGGTGTGCACCACTCACCTGGCTAATTTTTTTTTAAATGTATCATAGAGATGGGGTCTTGCTGTGTTGCCCAGGTTGGTCTGGAATTCCTGGCCTCAAGCCATCCTCCCCACTTGGCCTCCCAAAGCACTGAGATTATAGGCATGACTCACCACGCCCAGCCCAAATCCTCTTTATTGAGCCCACTGCATACAGCTGCCTTCTCCCTGTGTGCATCTTCTCTTCTGGGCCTGGTGAAGCTGGGTTGGTCCTCTCAGCCCCCAGCACCCCTACCCAGCACCCTCTCCTGCTGCACTGGCCCCAGGGAGGAAAGCAAGACCCAGCCCAGATCTCTAGGGGCTGCCATCTTGGGAGCACCCCTCCTCCCTTGTGCCCTTTTCTCACCCTCTGTGGTCCCAGCCCTGTCCTTGAAGCTGCCCCGTGCCCCTTTGCACTCCTCATCACACTCTGAAGGCCAAAACTTCAGTGAGAACAGCCCTGTTTTTCTAACTCAGGAAAAGGATTTAGCCTTGGAGACCCTGCAGAGGTAACTTAAGCCCCATCCCCAGACACTTCCAGAACTAATTTTAGTCCTTCCATTCAACAGATATTTACCAAAGGCCTACTATGCTATTCTAGATGCTGGAGATTACACGGTGAGCAAATAGGCAAAACTTCCTGCCCTGGGGCTTACATTCAGGCTCCCCATGCCCCATGCTGCGTGGGAGCCTTTAGCCTCACACATTCTCCACATCTGCCCAAGGGCTGCAGTCACTGTGCAAGCGCAGACACACCTCCTCCTTCATGTTGCCACAAAACTTTGGAATGTCACTATCATCACCGTCGCAGCTCTTTCTCCCACTAAGCCGCTCCTGGCTGATGCTAGGAATCTCAAGCGCAGGAATGCGCCTGGTGTGAATGCACTTGAACTATTGAAAGCCATTGAGGCGCGCTCTCTCTCTCTGCCCCGCCACCTCCTGCCCTCATGTAAGATGTGCCTTGCTTCTCCTTGCCTTCCACCATGATTCTAAGGCCTGCTCAGTCATGCAGAACTATGAGTCAATTAAACCTCTTTTGTTTATAAATGTTTTAAAAATGGGCCGGGCGCGGTGGCTCACGCCTGTAATCCCAGCACTTTGGGAGGCTGAGGCGGGCGGATCACGAGGTCAGGAGATTGAGGCCATCCTGGCTAACACGGTAAAACCCCGTTTCTACTAAAAATACAAAAAATTAGCCGGGCGTGGTGGCGGGCGCCTGTAGTCCCAGCTACTCGGGAGGCTGAGGTAGGAGAATGGCGTGAACCCGGGAGGCGGAGCTTGCAGTGAGTCGAGATCGCGCCACTGCACTCCATCCAGCCTGAGCGACAGAGCGAGACTCTGTCTCAAAAATAAAAATAAAAAATAAATAAAATAAATAAATAAATAAATAAATAAATAAAAATGAAAGCCATTGTGGAGTCTGACAGCGGCTTTCAATAGTTCAAGTGCATTCACGTACCACTGTGCCTTAGCGTAGGTCTTCTGATCTTACAGTAACTTGGCATCTTTTAACTATGATGCAGTTATGATAAATTATTGCATCATAATTGAATTATACATAATTATTTCTCTTAATTGCATCATAGTTAAATAACTTGCCCTTATTTTAAATAAAAGCATGCTGTTTTAGGAAATAAATCAGTCATGCACAATGGCTCATGCCTATAATCCCAGCACTTTGGGAGGCTCAGGCAGGAGGACCTCTTGAGGCCAGGAGCTTGAGACCAGCCTTAATAACATAGCAAGGCCCCATCTCTACAAAAAATAAAAAATTAGCCGGGCACAATGGCACATACCTGTAGTCTCAGCTACTTAGGGGGCTGAGGTGATAAGATTGCTTGAGCCCGGGAGTTCAAGGCTGTAGTGAGCCATGATCATGCCACTGCACTCCAGTCTGAGTGACTGAGCAAGACCCTGTCTCAAAAAATATAAAAGAAATGGACTGAACCTGAAGCTCAACTAGTGTCAGTTCAGTTGCCCTGCTCTGTCACTCACAGTACGATGCATTTGTTCATGAAATATTAATTGAGCACTTGCTCTTTGCCGGACCTGGAGAAGGGGAAAGGGGTCCCTGGAGCTCCCTGTCTAGAGTGAGCCAGTGAGCAGAAAATGACAATGCTGTATAGTAAGTGCTGAATAGACTGATGGGCAGTTGCCATAGGAGCCCAAGGGGAGTTCCTTGGGGGCAGTGGGGGCAGATGGATTAAAGACAGTTTTGCAGAACAGGGGATATTTGAGCTGAGCCTTGAAGGAGCAGTTGGATTTTTTTTCAGGTAGAGATGAAAGAGAGTGAGCCAAGCAGAAGGACCAGCATTTGCAAAAGTCATGGAAACAGGGAAATGCCTGATGTGTGAGGAAGATGGCAAAATGTTAAATGTCCCAGGCAGGGAGGTCAGGCTGGCTGGGGAAGTGACTGGCACCAGATAAGACTGTGAATGCCAGGGAGAGTGGGGAACCCCTGCCACATGGAGGTCACCCAACCCTGGCCCTGGAGCTGTCCCCCTGAGCTGTCCACCCCCATCCTGAAAACTCCGTTCAGCCCCTCCCCTCCTACCTTCCTCCTGCCCTTAGAAACCCTGATTTCACTGTGGTCAAATTCCCCCCCATTCTTGGCTTAGGGAAAACAATTATGAGGCAGGAATTCTTGTAAGAGCTTTTTCTATATTAAAATGCTTGATCCTCTGTTAAATATTGTTTGTCTTTTTTTTCACAGTTTGACCTTATTTTATTATGTTTTGTTAGAAAGAAGCCTCCCATTATTATGTCATGAAATCTATCAGTCTGTTCATATGATGTCTTCTTAGGAAGTTGTCCCCTATCCTAAAATTGTGTAAGTATTCGGATTCTTTTATGGTTTACCTTCTAGCATTTAAATCTTTAAGCCATCTGCAGTATATTTAGATTTAAGGTAGAAATCTAACTTTTTTCCAAATTGTTAGCCAGTTGTCCAGTCCCACATCTTAAGTAATCCATCATTTCTGCCCTGTTTTTTTTTTTTTTTTCAAATTTTCAATTCCCCCCTCTCCTCGATTTTTAAAGTTATACATGCTATCCAGAAAAAAGAAGAGGAACGAGCAGGAGGGGGATGAGAAGTGTGGAAATGTATGGCTAAGGAAGTAAAAGCCCTCCCCTTTTACCTCCCTGAGGTAGAGGCAATAACTGTTCATCATTTGTTATAGATCCTATTATTATTCGTGTTATAACACTTACTAGGTTTCTCTTAAGTGCAGAAATATTCAAAAGAGAAAACCCAAAAGGGATCAAAACCTCTGGAACATATTTTGGCATAAAAACATGTTGGCTTCTCAGGTGAAGGAGGTTGCAGTGAACTGAGATCACGCCACTGCACTCCAGCCTGGGCAACAGAGTGAGACCCTGTCTCAAAAAAAAAAAAAAAAAAAAAAAAAATATATATATATATATATATGCATATATATGTATATGTGTGTATATATGTATACGTGTGTGTATATATAGGTATATATATATGTTGGCTTTTTTTAAAAAAAAGAATACATATGGCAGGGCACGTGGCTCACACCTGTAATCCCAGCACTTTGGGAGGCCGAGGCAGGCGGATCACAAGGTCATGAGATCGAGACCAACCTGGCTAACACGGTGAAACCCCGTCTCTACTAAAAATACAAAAAATTAGCCAGGCATGGTGGTGTGCGCCTGTAGTCCCAGCTACTAAGGAGGCTGAGGCAGGAGAATCGCTTGAACCCAGGAGGCAGAGGTTGCAGTGAGCCAAGATTGCACCACTGCACTCCAGCCTGGGCAACAAAGCAAGACTCTGTCTCAAAAACAAAAACAAACAAACAAACAAAAATATATAAGGTTGGAAAATAAAACAACTCTAAAAGATACAAAATGAAAAGTGAACACTTCCCTCTCACTCACTACTGTCCCACGCCAAGTCCCTCTCCCCAAAGGTAACCACTGTTGAAATTTCCTATTTGCTTTAGTGTGACATGCATTTCTTTGCCACATTCCACATTCTCATATGGAGATGGGTCTACTGCTCGTGTTTCCATTTTCTGTGCCATTTCCCTCTCTGCTGCGCCGGCACAAGTACCATAATGTTCAATGTATTTTAGTGTTACCTGTGTTTTAACAGCTGAGAGGGTAAGTCCCGCTTTAATGTTTTTCATCTGCGGAGACATGGTGAGTATTCTACACTTAACGTTCAACTTTATATTGCACCCTCTCCCTACCCCCACCAATTTGATTGGAAATTTGTTGGAAGGGCATTGTGTGTATAGATTCATTTGGAGAAGATGATGACTTTATCTCTTTGTGGACACCTCACCCCTGTGACTGCATTCAGATTTTGTGACTTTTCTTTTTTTCCTTTTGAGACAAGGTCTTGCTCTTTCATCCAGGGTGGAGTGCAGTGGCACAATCATGGCTTACTGCAGCCTCGACCTCCCGAGCTGAAGTGATCCTGCCACCTCAGCCTCCCAATTAGCTGGGACCACAGACACATGCCACCACCCCTGGTTAATTTTTTTATTTTTAGTAGAGACAGGTCTCTCTATGTTGCTCAGGCTGATCTCAAACTCCTGGGCTCAAGTGATCCTCCTCGGCCTCCCATTGTGGGGATTACAGGCGTGAGCCTGGCCCTTTTCTCTTTGAATTGGAGTGAAGGCATACAGATTTTATTAACATCTACACAGGGAGAACCACAGAATCATTCCCCCAGACGTTGAGACTTTTCTTGTTTGGGATTTTGAACATCTCTCCTTAGAGCATCTTAATCTTCGTCCATCTGATGTCATAACTGCAGCTGCCTACTAGGAAAAGGGTTGGGAGACTCGGTCTCTGTCTTCCCATACTCGAGGGTATCAGGTGAAAGAGGGTGTGGCCTGCTCAGCAGAGCTCCAGAGAGCAGAACTCAGACCAGTTGGGGGTCACACAGAGGCCGCCTTTGGCTCAGTGAACGGAAGAATGTTCTATCCGTTGGAGCTGCAGGGCCATGGAACAAGCCACTGGGGGAGGTGGTGAGCTCCCCACCTTGGCTCTTTTCCAGTGTTCCAGGGAAAATGCAGCCCGTGCTGCCCAGGGGCATCCGTGTTGCTGAGAGGAGTAGGGGAGGATGCTCGGTGACTTGGGCCCCTGTTCTCTCCACTCAGGGAAAGTCAAGGCTTTCTGAGCCCCGTGCTGTGCTGCTTACTTCATTTCATTTTGCACAATGACCTCTCTGGGTAGAATGGCGTTATTCTATTTTCCATTCAAAGACAGGGAGGCCAAGGACTTCTCCAGGCTCATCCAGCTAGGCCTGCTTGAACCAGATTCCAAAGCAGACCCTCCCCAAGCTGCCTGTCTATGATTGTCCCCTGGGAGCCCCTGCTCAGAGTCAGGACTGAAAAAAAAGGAAGCGGGAACACCCTTCCTGTCTTTCAGTCTGGGGACAGCTGCAGGGCAGGTGAGCAGCCCAGTGGGCAGCAAGAAGGCACCCTGGCTCCTCTCCCATCCCTGGTTCTGCACGTCCATGTCTCTCCCCCGGGCAGCTCTCAGCTTGGCTCACAGTGTCCTCAGGGGGCCAATGGGCTTCTTGATTCCAGGCTGCACATCTGGAAGTTGACGCTATTAAAACAAACCCCATTATATAACAAACGGACATCTGGAATCCGTTAGCACTGAGTTTTTAGAAAAAGAAATTGTTTTGGATGTGCTCTCTCCTAAGAATGTGGCAAAGCGCCCTCACCCTGGCTGTCCAGGAACCCAGGGATCCAGGGGCCTCTCCTGGGCCCACTTCTCAAGGTACTCAGGCCAGGCCAGAGGTGGGCTGGGGCAGAGACAGAGACAGACTCCCCCGGCCCGCACAGGCAACTTCACTGTCTCCTGCTGGCTCCATCTTTGGAAGGCTCCTTTCCAATTTCATGTAAATATTCATTCAGCAAACACTTGTGTGCCTACTATGTGCTGCCAACTGCATATCATTCATATGGCCATGCCCCGCTTCTCCACTGAGCCTAAGCACCCCAACATGGCTTAAGAAAAAACATCCTGGACTTCCCTGGATTCTAAACAGCAACGCAAAACAGCCTGAGCCTCAGTTTCCTCAAACACAGAGCCCAAACGCCTTAGCTAGTCCCTAGAACTCCCTAGCACCCTCAAGGCCTCTTTCGGAATTGTCTCCCTACTCTTTCTTCCTGGGCATATTGGTGGGGGACACAAGGACAATTGACTTGGCATAGTCTCGTGGCAACCTTGATCTAGCAATGAAGAAAGATTTTATGAGAAATGTCTAGCTAATATTTTCAAATGGAAATTTTATCCCCCCCCCCAACACTTTATGATGAAAAATTTCAAACATACAGAAAAGTTGAAAGAATTATACAATGAGGCCAGGCACAGTGGCTCATGCCTGTAATCCCAGCACTTTGGGAGGCTGAGGCAGGCCGATCGCTTGAGTCCAGGAGTTCAAGACCAGCCTCTGCAACATGGTGAGACCCAACTCTTATAAAACAATACAAAAATGAGCTGGGTGTGGTGGCACACGCCTATAGTCCCAGTTATTCTTGAGGCTGAGGTGGGAGGATCGCTTGAGCCCAGGAGATGGAGGTTGCAGTGAGCTGAGATCACAACACTACCCCCCAGTCTGGGCAACACAGCAAGACCCTGTCTTAAAAAAAAAAAAAGAGAAAAGAAAAAGAAAAAGAAAGAAAAGAAAAGAAAGGGCTGGGCGCAGTGGCTCAAGCCTGTAATCCCAACACTTTGGGAGGCCGAGGCAGGTGGATCACTTGAGGCCAGGAGTTTGAGACCAGCCTGGCCAGCATGGCAAAACCCCGTCTCTACTAAAAAAATTCAAAAATTAGCCGGGCATGGTGGTGGGAACCTGTAATTCTAGCTACTCAGGAGCCTGAGGCAGAAGAATCCCTTGAACCTGGGAGGCAGAGGCTGTAGTGAGCCTAGATCACGCCACTGCACTCCAGCCTGGGCGACAGAGCAAGACTCCATCTCAATAATAATAATAATAATAATGATAATAATAATAATAATAATAATAATAATTGTACAGGGAATCCACCATCTAAATTCTGCAATTGTTGGTAGATTGCTATATGTGCATTTTCAAATATCTATCCATCTGTAGACCCAGCCATCAATTCAAAAGCTATTTGCAGACAGCAGTACACTTTATCCCTTAACAGTAGGCATGCATATTATTAACTAGAGTTCAATATTTGTTTCTGGTTTTCTTTGAGGCAAAATTAACAGACAATTAAATGCATAAATTGTACTATTCCATGTACCATGTGGACTACATGTTTTATTCCAGTGAGTTTGACAAATGTAGATACTTCTTTTTTTTTTTTATGAGACGGAGTCTTGCTCTGTCGCCAGGCTGGAGTGCAGTGGTGCAATCTCAGGTCACTGCAACCTCTGTTTCCTGGGTTCAAGCAATTCTCCTGCCTCAGCCTGCCGAGTAGCTGGGACTACAGGTGTGTGCCACCATGCCCAGCTAATTTTTGTATTTTTAGTAGAGACAGGGTTTCACCATGTTGGCCAGGATGGTCTCAGTCTCTTGACCTCGTGATCCACCCACCTCGGCCTCCCAGAGGGCTGGGATTACAGGCATGAGCCATCGCGCCCGGGCAACAAATGTAGATAACTTTTATAACCCAAACCCTATCACCAAATCCAATTTTCCATCAACCCCAGAAAGTCTCCCAAACCACTTCCTAGTATATCCCTAACCCACACTCCTCCCAGAGGCAACCACTATTCTGCTTATTTTCACCATAGTCTAGGTGTTGTGGGCTAATTGTGTTCTTCCAAAATCCATATGTTAAAGTCCTAATCCCTAGTACTGCAAAATGTGACTGTATTTGGAGGTTGGGTCTTTAAAGAGGTGATTACCTTAAAATGAGATCCTTAGGGTGGAACCTAATCCAATATGCCTGGTGTCTTTATAAGAAGAGGAAATTAGGACACAGATACACACAGAGGGACAACCACGTGGAAACACTGGGAGAAAACTACCATTTACAAGCCAAGGAGAGGGGCCTACGAAGAAACCACCCCTGCCAACACCTTGATAGAGGCTTCTGGCCTCCAGAACTGTGAGGAAACAAATTTCTGCTGTTTAAGCCACCCCGTCTTTGGTACTTTGTCATGGTAGCCCTAGCACAATAATACACTAAGTTTGTCTTTTCTAGAATTTCATATAAAGTCATTTGCTCTGTGCCCTTTTGTGTCAGGCTTTTTATTTTGCCCAGTGTAAGACTGTTGGGATTCATCCATGTTGCTACAAGAATCAGTACCTTGTTCCTTTTTATCGCTGAGTAGTATTCCATTATATTAATATTCCACAGTTTGTTTAGCCAGGCACATTTTTTATTTTTTTAAGAACAGAGGAATGGTTTGTCAGCATTTCACTTCAGTGTATGCCCTTTATGCCATCCCAGCAACAAACCAGACATTCCATGGCCCGCCCTATTCAGCAGGAGCTTCGGAACCATACGTGGATGTCTAACCATCCTGATAAAAGACATCATAACTCTGGGAAAGAAAAGTTCTTACAGATGAGATTAAATTAGTAGCACATCATTTTTATCTCAGCAAATATAGATGATCCATGATATCACAGGAGCCTCAGATCTTCATCCCTTTGGCTGCAAACTGAACACAGTGATTACACCGGCTTGGGAATCAGGCTAGGTTTGACTCTTACTTGCTTTGCAACCTTGGGCAGGTCACTTAACATCTCTGACCCCCACTTTCCTCCTACAGCAAATGGGACTAGTGATTTCTTCCTGCAGGGTTGCTTGAAGACTGAATGAACTAATGAATTCAGGGTGTGTATTAGTCCCTTTTCACACTGCTGGCAAAGGGATACCTGAGACTAGGTAATAAGAAAAAGAGATTTAATGGACTCACAGTTCCACGTGGCTGGGGAGGCCTCATAATCATGGCAGAAGGCAAAAGGCATGTCTTATATGGTGGCAAGCAAGAGAGAGAATGAGAACCAAGAGAAAGGGGTTTCCCCTTGTAAAACCATCAGATCTTGGCTGGGCGCAGTGGCTCATGCCTGTAATCTCAGCACTTTGGGAGGCCGAGGCGGGCAGATCACGAGGCCAGGAGTTCAAGACTAGCCTGGCCAACATGGTGACACCCCATCTCTATTAAAAACACAAAAATTAGCCAGGCATGGTGGTGCGTGCCTATGGTTCCAGCTACTCGGGAAGCTGAGGCCCAAGAATCGCTTGAACCTGGGAGGCAGAGATTGTAGTGAGCCAAGATTGCGCCATTGCACTCCAGCCTGGGCAATAGAGTGTACTCTGTCTCAAAAAAACAAAAAACTATCAGGTCTCGTGAGACTTATTCACTACCACAAGAACAGTATGGGGGAACCCACCCCCATGTTTCAGTTGTCTCCTACCCAGTCCCTCCCAATCCCATCCCTCCCGGGAGCTACAATTCAAGATGAGATTTGGGTGAAGAAACCGTATCAGGGTGGAAAAGGAAAGACTCAGGAAACATTCGATGTGATTTGTCTCACTCTGCAGCTGTTGGGGCCAGAGCCTGTCACTGGACAGAGCAGCAGAAGCGGGTTTCTAAGTCACTAAGAGTAGAAAATGAGCTTTCTGCACTGCTATTGTAATCGCTGAGACTAAGGAGCAGGGTAGTGAAGACAGTGTCAAATCATCAGGCTGCCAAGATCAATTAAGTTGATACAATCGTAGCAGAAGTGATCCTTTTGGAGTTTCATAAAACACACTCTGAATTGTGGGATTCAGAGTGCTTCCAGGCTGCACACATTTTGCACGTGTTTGACTATTTCTGTGTATTATTTTATTTCAACTGAATGGGACTGCTCAGAAATTTGCTTCACTTCAATATGATTATTTCTATGAAACTGTAACTTTAAATGTAATCTAGGAACCCATCCTTCATAAGAGACATTAATTTAATACTTTTCTTATGAGAAAGTAGGAAAAATGCATAATTGGAATTGCCATCATTTGTTTTATCTCAGCAGTTCTTTTCTTCTGAAGGAAACATTTTTCAACTTTGAAGTCCTTAGGAATTGGTTTTTGGCATCATTTCTCCACTCTGTCCCAGGTGGCCTTGAAAGGCTCATAATTTCTCTCAGATGGTGATCTTTTTTGGCTTTTAAAGGCAAAGAAAATGTCTACAGTTTCACTTTGAAGCTCTTTAGAAAAAAATCCTGGGACACTTATCATGTGGTTAAAAGAAAGTAAAACAAAAGATAAAATCAAATTTGGAATCAGTGATAGCAATTGTATACTTCGCTCACCTGCAAGAGCTGAAGAGTCATTTGTTACAACTTCCTGTGGTCTAATGGTATCTGAAAGTTCTTCATCGGCAGCTGAAGATGGACCGTGACGCCCAGTCCAATGTGTTTTCAAGAAATTGGCCGGGCGCGGTGGCTCACGCCTCTAATCCCAGCACTGTGGGCGGCTGAGGCGGGTGGATCACGAGGTCAGGAGATCGAGACCATTCTGGCTAACACGGTGAAAGCCCGTCTCTACTAAAAATATAAAAAATTAGCTGGGCATGGTGGCGGGCGCTTGTAGTCCCAGCTACTGGGGAGGCTGAGGCGGAAGAATGGCGTGAACCTGGGAGGCGGAGGTTGCAGTGAGCCGAGATCGCTCCACTGCACTCCAGCCTGGGTGACAGAGCAAGACTCCGTCTCAAAGGAAAAAAAAAAAAAGAAATCACCCTGTTCCCTGCACACTTCATCTTCACCCACGTCCAAAGGTTTGGAAAACTCTTTTGGTGGGTACATGGTGTTGTGCCAAGGAGAGAACTGAGAGCATTTAAGGTTTTTGTTTTTTGTTTGTTTGTTTGTTTGTTTGTTTTTTGAGACGGAGTTTCACTCTTGTTGCCCAGACTGGAATGCAATGGCGCGATCTCGGCTCACCGCAACCTCCACCTCCCAGGTTCAAGCAATTCTCCTGCCTCAGCCTCCCAAGTAGCTGGAATTACAGGCATGCACCATCACACCCGGCTAATTTTGTATTTTTAGTAGAGACGGGGTTTCTCCATGTTGAGGCTGGTCTTGAACTCCTGACCTCAGATGATCCGCCCGCCTCGGCCTCCCAAAGTGCTGGGATTACAGGCGTGAGCCACCGCACCCAGCCAAGGTTTATTCTTTTCCTCACAAAATGCTATAATTACCACAACAAAAAAATGTGCGGAATTCCTCAGAACTCCTTCAATGTCACTCAATTTTCTATGCATGCTAGATACATCATCATAGACCTAGTAAATTTTAAAAAAAACTGATTTTATTCAAATCCATTCCATTTTGCTTTTTATTTTTTTCTGATATACTTTTGCAAGTATAAGTAAACTTTTGATTGATCCCAGTCATCTCTTCAATATCATGAAACCCAAGAACTTCTCTTTAATTAAACCTCCAGGGTGAAGGCAGCCTGACCGCCCTGCTGCCCTCCTTTCCAATATCCAATGGGCTCCCACAGCAGAGCTCCTGGGTCAGCCAGCAGCCAGGCCTGGTCGGTTGGACAGGGCCTTTGTCTTGATAGCTCTGGCTTAGGACTTAGTCTCCCTCTGGGGCAGACAGTAGGGACCCGCAGCAGAGAGAGCCCTGGGTGAGAATGGGATCTCCAAGGCTCCAAAGAGAGAACTTGGCGCAGGGATGCACAGAGGAGAGCAGAGCCAGCAGCTTTGGGTGGTCCTGGGAGGCCCTGCAGAATCCCTCCCTGCCCCGAGGCTGGGAGACGGGGATGCAGAGCAGCAGAATGAGCAGAGCGCTCTCTCCTGGGATACAGAGAGGTGCAGCCAATTTGTCAGCTGGATCTGAGCCTTGGAGATGATTAGGGCTGCAAGAAGGCAGAAAGACAGTTGGCACCTAAGGGAATCCAGCGGCCAGGAAGGAAGAGCCTGCAATTCACTCAGCACTGCAAGAGGAGACCAACCACAACTTGCATAACAGGAAAAGCAAACAAAACCATAAGCTCACATTTTAAAAAATCAAAGGCATTGGGCAGCCAAGGCGGGCGGATCACAAGGAGTTCGAGACCAACCTGGCCAACATAGTGAAACCCCGTCTCTACTAAAAATAAAAAAAGTAGCCGGGCCTGGTGGCGGGCGCCTGTAATCCCAGCTACTCAGGAGGCTGAGGCAGGAGAATCGCTTGAAACCGGAAGGCAGAGGTTGCAGTGAGCCGAGATCACGCCACTGCACTCCAACCTGGGTGGAAGAGCGAAACTCCATCTCAAAAATAAAATAAAATAGTCAAAGGTGAAATCAAATACTTTCCTGAACGAAGAAACATCGTTTTCAATTTAAAATGACTTGGAGGAGAGGAAACCATGTGGAAGAGATAATGCAAAACCCAAAGTAAAAATCTAAAAGCGCCTCAGAGGAGAGAGATCCAGGAGTTGTAATAGGTGAATGATGAAAATAAGAATAAAAATCTCAGAAAAAAGAAGAAATAGAAGAGAAGCAATCATTTTTAAATGAGAAAGAAAATTTTCCGTGGTTTGAAGAACGTCTTGGGTTTGCAGATTAAAAGGCTCATTGAGTTCCAGGCAGGAATGATGGAAAAAAGACACACATCTAGGCATAGCCTGGTAAGGTTCCTGAATTCCACGATTAAAGAGAAAATTCAGACAAGCTTCCCTAATGAGAAAATAAGTTGCATAGAAAGAAGAGAATCAGACTGAAATCGTACATCTTATTTGCAAGCTAGAAACCAATATGAATCACCTCCACAGACCACTCAGAGAAAAGCCTCCTAAACCAACCAGGTTGCCATTCACCTTCCTAGGATAGAAGAAATGCAAAGGTCCACATAATTTTCCCATATGGGGGAAATACCATAGAAAGGAATCTAATCAGGAAATAGATGAATCAGATTGGAGACAAGGAGATGAAGAAAAGAGGAACCTGTGGTGAGCCGTGAGCTGACCAAATCATGTACAATTACCTCCGAATAAATAATGATAGGATGGAATTTGTAATGTAAGGGCTAAATAAGTATATTTTTTTAAACAGAAGAGAGATGCAATAAGAATTTCCCTAAAGGGAAAGTGCTGAATGATGGCAAAGTTAGGCATTGAGGAGGGGAAAGGGAGCCTGAAAAGGCATTTTACATATCTCCTATTGCCTGAGGGAGGAGAAACAGGGAGAAGAGCTCTCTGGTGAGAGGAATTAACTGGTACCTTGTTGCTATGAGTTTCTTTTTAATGAAAATCAGAAAAGGCAAGGTCAGTACTTGCGGACAGCAGCATCTAGCAGAGCTTCCAAAATAAGAAGGGAAAAAGAAGAATGACAGGTGTCTATTGTCAATTGTTCCATCTTTAAGAAAAAATTTAAGACTTTATTACGGAACCATTATATATATAATATATAATATATATTTTACATATATATATGTATGTATATGTATATATAGAGAGAGGTTTTCACCATGTTGGCCAGGCTGGTCTTGAACTCCTGACCTCAAGTGAGCGGTCTGCCTCAGTCTCCCAAAGTGCTGGGATTACAGGCTGGTCAATTATGGAAACTTCTGAACACACACCACACAAAAGGGGAGCCATAACATATTGAATCCCTGTGGACCTAACACTAGGGTCCAATGACTCCTTTTTTAAAAGCTGGGGATACATTGACAGATATAAAACCCTGTAATGTATCAGTTTTTATTTTCCCCAGCATTCCATTTAGAATCTGTACACTTTTGCAAAGATCACCACTCATCTTCATTGATCAAAAGGTTTCTTTTCCTATAATTTTTTTTTGAGATGGAGTCTTGCTCTGTCTCCTGGGCTGAAGTGCAGTGGTGCAATCTCGGCTCACTGCAACCTCCGCCTCCCGGGTTAAGCAATTCTCCTGCCTCAGCCTCCTGAGTAGCTGGGACTACAGGTGTGCACCACCACGCCCAACTAATTTTTGTATTTTTAGTAGAGGCGGGGTTTCACCATGTTGGCAAGGCAGGTCTCAAACTCCTGATCTCAGGTGATCCACCTGCCTCGGCCTCCCAAAGTGCTAGGATTACAGGCGTGAGCCACCACACCCGGCCTAATGGGCGATATCAACCAGCATTTATCTTCACACGGTAAGAGACACCTGTCTTGGACAGTATCATTCGCTCTCTGCCTCTATTGTAGTGCCAGGTGATAGTGATTCTGGAAAACTCTGGGCCATCACTTAACTCCTTGGGTGAGTTCTTGCTGGAAAATGACAACAGACTGTGTCTTACCTCATCACAGTTACCTTGGTCAAGATGTCAAGAAGTAAAGAGTAGGAAATATTTGTAAGCACAGCGATAAACAAGCCAGGCACGTGGGCAGGTGGACACCAGCAAGGTAGAGAAATGTCAGCATCAATTTGTTCCCAGACATTCAGTTTTCTTCCTTTGTTCTTCTTTCCAGTGAAAATGTGATTTTTTTTTACATTGCCACAAAGCAAATAGTCACATTTTACAATTCCGAAGCCCCTGCCAGGTTTCTGTTGATTTTTTTTGTTTGTTTGTTTTTTCAAGACTGTCTCTTGCTCTGTCACCCAGGCTGGAGTGCAGTGGTGCGATCTCGGCTCACCGCAACCTCTGCCTCCCAGGTTCAAGCAATTATCATGCCTCTAACTCCTGAGTAGCTGGGATTACAGACACGTGCCACCACGCCTGGCTAATTTTTTGTATTTTATTGGTAGAGACGAGGTTTTGCCATGTTGGCCAGGCTGGTCTTGAACTCCTGGCCTCAAGTGATCCACTTGCCTCAGCCTCCCAAAGTGCTGGGATTACAGGCATGAGCCACCAAGCCCAGTCATGTTTCTGTTGATTCTAAATTTGGTTTTCCCTAGGAAACTGGTTGGGGAGCAGCAATCCTTACTCCCACCAGGTTCCCTCTCCCTCCCTAGATCCACACTTACAGCCCTGGACAGGCCCCTGTAGGCAACGTTTTGGCCCCACCCTCAAACTGCTGGGGGGCTGTGGCCAAGGGGCAGTCACCAGAGCCTTGCAGCCACCGCAGAGGCTATGGTCTAGCCTGTCCTCAAACCTTCACTTCTCCTCAGCCTCATCTAAATATTCCTCCATCCTCTCTCCAGATCTCAGGAGAAAACCTCACTTCCCGTTCAGACCAATAAGCAGAGGTCATTTCTGCTTCCTGCCACCCCGTCAGCCCCCGCCACACCTGCAGGTACTCTGCCTCCCAGCCTGTCTGCCGCCTCCTCCTCCTCCTGCCCCTCTTCCCTCCAGCCTGGGTCCTGCCTGCTAGGGGCCTTGCTTTCCTCTCTCTGGCTCCCTCCCCTTTGCCTAGAAACATCTCAGCTCTTCCAGCTCAGCACCCTACCCTTCCCTGGACTCACTCATTCTCCTTCAGCTGCCTTCGACTTCTTCCTGCCCCCTCCCCACAGTCACTGCCTCCACTCCATGACTCCCTCACCTCCACCCTGCTTCCACCCAACTTGGTCCAAGAAGAGGGCACCACCACCTTCCCTCTGGGTTGTGAACTCCAACTCTTCACCTATAGCTTCTCTGAGTCTCTTGGAAACTCCTCCCTCTCTTGCTCTCTTATCTTGGCTGGTGTCTCTCTCTCTCTCTCTGTGTCTCTGTCTCCCCCCGCCATCCCGCCATCTTTCTCCCTCTCTCTCTCCCCTCCTCTTCCACCCCCCTCCTCCAGCTCCTCTGACCACATCTTTCTGATCTCCTTCACTGAATCATTTTCCTTAGTTTTCGCCTTAAATGTCCCCAGTTTTCTTCTTACACCACACAAACTCCTTTGCTTGTTTGTTTGTTTTTTGAGACAGAGTCTCACTCTGTTGCCCAGGCTAGGGTGCAATGCAAAGATCTCAGCTCACCGCAACCTCCGCCTCCCAGGTTCAAGCGATTCTCCTGCCTCAGCCTCCTGAGTAGCTGGGATTACAGGTGTGCACCACCATCCCTGGCTAATTTTTGTATTTTTAGTAGAGATAGGCTTTCACCATGTTGGCCAGGCTGGTCTCAAACTCCTGACCTCAAATGATTCAACTGCCTCGGCCTCCCATAGTGCTGGGATTACAGGCGTGAGCCACTGTGCCCGGCCTACAAACTCCTTTGGAGATCTCTTCATTCCCATTGCCTTTATTTTTGCTGATGAGTTAAATTCTCTCCAATTTCAAAGAAATGAGATGGGGCAGGTTTTGAACATTCAGCTGGTTTTGTTGTAAAACTTTTTTTGGGGGGTTGTCTCTATTTTCCCTTGTATTAGGAGTCATTTGGCCCATTCTTCTGGGGAGGGTGACTCTCGTCTGGTTGGAACCTAGACGTCTCCCCTCTCTTCCCAGGAATGCTGCCCTGGCTGGCACACTTGAGTGTCTAAGGTCAGGCCCTCAAGGTGGGGGAAACCCGTTTCTCTCCTGCTGACAATTTGGGCTCCAGGTATAATGGGCAATCAAAGCTCTTCCTGATTATGGGAAAAGGAGAAGAATGAGGTTTGCGGGAGGAGAAAGGGAGGGTCCCTGGGAAGGAGATGGTGAGAAGAGAGGCTAGGGATGGGGGAAAGGACGAAAAACCCACGAGGGACCCAAAGCTGGAAGGGTGGTCAGTGGTGCGGCAGCCGCCTGGGAAGTGCCAGGCCCGTGGAACAGGGAAGGATGGCCTCGGGGCAGCAGAGGGGCTGTGGCCTCAGCCAGCCGTGCCTTCTGACCAAGTGCCTTCATCAGCTATCTGGGAGGAGGGGTCACAAGGACAGCCAGTCAGCGACTTCCCTGTGGCTCTAACAGGAGCCCTGGACAGCAGTGGGGTAGGGTGGGCCTCTGACCTTGCACTACAGTATGCTCTGGCCCCCTGCCCTGCCCCCAGCTTCAAAGGGGCAGCCAACAAATGGGACACCTTAACAGTGTGCATATCCTGCTGCCCTCCAGACAGCCTTCTCCCCCGGGGTACCTGAAGGCACCTCCAATTCAGTGTGGCTTCCCTCCAGACTGGTGTACCCCTCTGTCCTTGTCTCAGCAAAAGAGACCCCCCATGCCAGAAACCTGTAGTCATCCTGGAGCCCCTCAAAAGTCAAAAGGCCTCATCGCCTGGATACTTTCAGCTGGTCCCTTCCATCCTCACCAACATGGTTCCAGCCTTCACCCTGGCTCAGGCACCTGCACTGCCACCTAACTGGCACTACCAACCACCCACTCCATGGTGGGCAGCTGGGGGATGATGGGGCTCTTCATGAGGCCAGAGAAACAGGAGGAGGATGGAGAGAGGGAGGGAGAGGGAGGGGAGGGGAGACTGTGACTGGAGGTGGGACTGTGGTGATATGGCCAGGGAGGAAGATACCCTAATCCCAGTGCAGCCCCTGGGGCAAGGGAGGGAAGGAAAGGATACAGTCCCCGCCATGGGAGCCTCCTGTCCGCTCTTTCCCAAAGGAACTAGGGCTGCTGGCCAACACCAGCATAGCCAGGAATGTGGGAGCCCTGGCTGCAAAGACTCAACCTGGGGAAGGCCTCAAAGGTCACATGGCAAGGGCAGGTGGGTGGGACCCGGGCAAAAGGAGAAGGCTGGGCTGCTCTGGAGGGGAAAGGGGTGTCAGAAGGTCAGGCCCTGGCAGGGACCCCTTTTGAATAGACGCCAGATATATCATCTAGCCCTAAGCATAAGACAGAATCCTGGGGCCCCACCAGGGTGGGGCCCATGACCCTGACCTTAGCCCTGAGCCTTCTCCAGCCAGCTCATTGAAGGCTGGTGACTCTCTCTCCAAAATGCCCACCCTCTCTCATCTCCAGCATCTCTTGCCTGGATGCCAGTGCCAGCCTGCCTAGTGCCATCTCCTCATGGCTACAGAATGACCCATCTAACACCCACGGTCCATTCATCTGGCAAACTTGGGCAAGAGATGGCCCCCCGCATCCAGGACTGCCAGTCTGGATTGGAGCTCGACTCAGAAATAGACAATGGCAGTGGCACTAGGAAGTGGTCTGGAGTGGATTCAAGGGGCTGAAGGCCAAGCATCAAAATGCAGCAACCCCCAGCCTCCTCAAGTCCTCAGCCTGCACGCAGCCCTCTCCCCTCCTGCCATGTCCCCTCCTAAGTCCCCTCCCTCTGATTGGAGCATGTGTCTCCCACCATGGATGCTCTTTCCCCTCTCACCTCCCCAGGCCCCTTTCTGGCCCCTCCTGGGGCTTCTCTAACTCTCATCCACCTCTGCCCCTCTGGATGCCTTGAGCACAGAGCCTGGAGCCGACCTGTCTGTGCTTCCAGCACCGGGTGCCCAGCAAATGTCCCAGCAAATTAAGGAATTAAGGCAGAGCAGGTCTGAGATAAGGACAGTGTCTGGGTGAAGGTCAGGTTCTGCCTGTCCAAGCATGAGTCTTCCATGGCAACACCCTCCCCTTCCTTCCCCCCATGGAGGGTAGCCCCCTCCCCTGCTTGTTTTGGCCTCTCTGCACACACCCTGCATTGCAAGCCTGCCTCCCCCATCACCAGTGGGTAATCTTGTGTAGTTTTTACTCTGGTGTCCATGAATAGAAGAGTTAGAGGAGAGCTGATGGTGAGCCCTTCCCAGGGCCTTGCAACCACACCCCCGCATCAATGCCTGAGCAGCTCTGCACTCTACTCCCCCGCCCCCAGCCTCTCCCCATCCCTGTCCTAATCAGGCCTGGAGGCCAGCCCCTCCAGCAAGGGGCAGCCCCAGGTCCTTACTGGGGTCAGGCCAGCTGTGCCACATACTCTGGTCAGTGTCCGGACCTTCCAACTGGAGGCTCAGCCTGGCTCTAGCTGTGGTGGGCACAGGGAATGCAGACCCCTGCCCTGTACAGCTCATTCAACCCTGCCTCAGCCCTGATGTTTTGTCTCCTCTCTTTGTGGTACCTTCTAGACTCCTTCCCACACCCAGAGCCCCAGATTAGCCACCAAGGCCTTTTAGTCCTTTGTCCTGAAAGCCTCTAGAATCTAGCCCTGTTCCTCATCCCTCGGTCCCTGTTAGCCTGGTGGCTGACAGCTGCCAGGGCCACCCCACCGGCACCCCACCTCGTGTGTCTGCTCCACACAGCTGCAGCCACAGGATGTTTTTCCCGACAGTTCTGCATGCATCGTTTCCAGCTGTAAAGTCCAGACTTTTCACTGGGGTATTCAAGGCCCCTCTTGTCTGGCCCCTGCCAACCTCTCTTGGAGCCTGGGCTACCCAGAGCTCTGCGGGGTTCCCCATACATACCAGGCTCTCTCCTGCCTCCAGGCCATGCACATGCCGCACCCACCACCCACGGTGCTTTCTCCCCGTGCGGTGAACTCTAGTGTTGCCTGTTTTGTGAAACACCCTCTGATCCCTTCCCCCAAGCTCAGGCACCCAGGCACTTCTTCCTCTGTGAGCCCACGCTACCCTATGGTTCCTGACTATACAAGTTCATGTCCCCCTCTGCATGCAGGTCTGTCCCCCTCTCTTGGGTTGGGTTCCACAAAAGCAGATCCTGAGACAGGGATCTAGTTATAAGTCATTTATCAAGGGGGCTCCTGGGAGAGATACATAAGGGAGGTAGGAAAACAGGAGAGGATGGAAATAGAGCAAGAATGGATCCCAGGTAGAGTCTAGAGGGGCCTGACCAAGGGGGCTCTGCAACATAAACTAACACTGGGCTGTCCACCATGAGGCGAGGAGGCTGCCTTTTTTGTCCCCCTGTATATTAGTCCATTTTCACACTGCTGATAAAGACATATTCTAGACTGGGCAGTTTACAAAAGAAAGAGGTTTATTGGACTTACAGCTACGTGGCTGGGGAGGCCTCACAATCATGGTGGAAGGTGAAAGGCACATCTCACATGGCGGCAGACAAGAAAAGAGCGCTTGTGCAGGGAAACTCCCCTTTTTAAAACCATCAGATCTTGTGAGACTGAATCACTATCATGAGAACAGTGCAGGAAAGACCTGCCCCCATAATCCAATCACCTCCCACCAGGTTCCTCCCACGACACATGGGAATTGTGAGAGTTACAATTCAAGATGAGATTTGGGTGGGGACACAGCCAAACCATTTCACCCTATCAGCCAGTCACTCCTCAGCCAAGGGCAATTCACAGAAGGGGCAGCTGGGAGCATTCCCAGTAATCACACCTGCAGCCAGGGGATTCATGGGTACACTGACCAGGGAAAGGGAGTCTGGCTGGGGTACCCACAGCACCCCTGTTGAGTGTGACCTCTGCCAGATTTCTTGACGAGTGAGAGGTACATGGATTCCTGGTCCATCCAAGCACTGACATTTTCCAAACCCAGAGCTGCATGTGCTGCTTTGCAAGAAGGTCCTGCCCACAGCCTGAGGGGGCACAGCTGCTACTGCAGTGACTAGAAAGGAGGCCCAGATATCCAACCCCCAAGAAAGGACTCTGTGCAGAGCCCTGCCACACTCACTGGGCGTCTGTTATGTGCACGACTGTGCACATGGGAGCCTTGGCCAAAGTTCTCATCTATTCCTCATAATAATCATTTTCGTATAGGAAAGCAGAGGCTCAGAGGGGTGAAGTGACTCAAGGGAGGTCATGCAACTTGTGAGTGGAAGAGCTGGGATTCAAACCTGAGTCTAATTGACTCCTTGCCTGATTTCTTCCCCACAGTGTGTGAACCACCTTGGAGCAAAGCCCTTCCTGCCCACCATAAGAAAACTGGCAAGTCCTAGCTAGGTGCAGTGGCTCATGCCTGTAATCCCAGCACTTTGGGAGGCCAAGGCAGGTGGATCACTTGAGGTCAAGAGTTCAAGACCGGCCTGGCCAACATGGTGAAACCCCATCTCTACTGAAAATACAAAAATTAGCTGGGCGTGGTGGCTCACGCTTGTAGTGCCAGCTACTCCAGAGGCTGAGGCACGAGAATGACTTGAACCTGGGAGTCGGAGGTTGCAGTGAGCCAAGATCACGCCACTGCACTCCAGCCTGGGCAACAGAGTGAGACTCAGTCTCAAAAAAAAAAAAAGAAACTGGCAAGTCCAGGGTGATCTCTCTGCCCCACAACAGGTCTCAGCTAAACTTAGGGTCCTCAAGGACCATATCTGGCATTTGCAATAGTTGGGAGACCTGTGCATGTATTTTGTATATAATTTGCGTAATGTTGCATCTGGTTTGCATATGTCCATGTTGACAGTCCATCAGCAGTCACAATTTCTAAGCTGTTCCTAAGCTACTCTCACTCAATGGAAGTCCGTCCAGGCTTTACAGAGCCCAGTTTCCACGATTTCTGGACTCTTCCAGGACCTTGCCTCCAGGCTGCACATCTATCCCCCCTAGGATCCTGGACGAGCCCTGCTTCTGCCTAGCTGGATGGGGTCAGTGCAAACCCCTGCCTCAGAAACTCATGTGCATTTGGTATAACCTTTTATGATGGTGCAGATATAATCAAAATGCTGATGGTGATGATGTGGAGAAAAAAGTGAGCCTGGGCAAAGAGCCTTGCTGCACAGAACTTCCAAATGTGGCTCTGTGGGCAGGGAGGCCTAGCTGTGCACTCTCAAAAAAGAAAAAAAAAGAGGGTAAGGGAGATGGTCAGGGACAAAGGGCTGCACCTTAGGGCTGGTGCCTTCAAGGGCTGTGGTCCCTGTGCAGGAGGGGTCCATCTGCAGCAGGAAGAGCTTGTACCAGAAAGCCAGCAGCTTCAGTGCTTTCTATTTCTGTCTCTTTTAGGGGAACTGCATCCCATACAACTTTGTGTGGTTTTTAATACTCTTATGTGCTGGGCCCTCAATAAGAAAAGGAAAGGCCAGATGTGGTGGCTCATGCCTGTAATCCCAGCACTTTAGGAGGCCAAGGTGGGCGGATCATTTGAGACCAGCCTGGCTAACATGGCGAAACCCTGTCTCTACTAAAAAAAAAAAAAAGAAATACAAAAAATTAGCCAGGCGTGGTGGCATGTGCCTGTAATCCCAGCTGCTTGGGAGGCTGAGTCAGGAGAATTGCTTGAACCTGGGAGGCAGAGGTTGCAGTGAGCCGAGATCACGCCACTGCACTCCAGCCTGGGCAACAGAGTGAGACTCCGTAAAAAAAAAAAAAGAAAAGAAAAAAAAGAAAAGAACAGAAAAGAAAGGCAGGATGCATAGGGCTCACCCCTGCAGTCCCAATACTTTGGGAGGCCAAAGCAGGAGGATCACTTGAGGCCAGGAGTCTGAGACTAGCCTAGGCAGCATAGTGAGACCCCATCTGTACGAAAGGAAAAACTCATGCACATGCATGATAGTGGTATGGGGGATGGGTTGGGTGTGGTTGTGCATGTCCCTGTGAACTGAAACTGCACTCCCACTCCCGTGTATGGCCCGTTTCCATCCAGGTGTAGAAACTCCAGTCTGAGTCAGAGGAACATGACTGCCTCCTTTCCTCCTCTGCTTCTGGCCTCCCTAGGTTTCCTGTCTGGCAGATGCAAAGTGGCCTCATCGTCTATGGGGGGACCCCCGCTCTGGCCTGATCCAGCCAAGACCCTGAGCATCTCCCTGTACTGAGGTCCTCCACCCCCACTAGAATGGGGCCCAGATCCTGGATCCCAAAACTGTTGCAGTGAAAGAGGGAGCATGGTGTTTGATGTCAGCCACCTGGGAAAGGGGGAAGTGGGGTCCAGCTATCCTTTTAGCCCCTATGACGTGGATATTTCCAAGCTCAAACAGGGTCCAGCCTCTTCCTTGTGAGTTTTGGGCCCCACATCTGGGGCTGGGGAAGGGAGTGAGAGGAAGGGGTGGGACCACTTGGAAAAAGATCACAGCCTCTGGGGTGGGGGAGTTCCTCCCAGAGCCAGGCTGGGCAATGCTGCCAGGCAGTCAGCACCCAGCCTAGGATGAGGAGCTGGCTCAGATGTTTCTCACTTCCTAAAAAGCGCAAAGTCAGTGGTTACAAGATCAAGAGCTTGTTGGGGATATGGTGTATCTTGCCCTCAGCAAAATGGTTCATAACATCTCTCTTAGAGGTTGGAGCATATAATAGCACATTCGGTGCTTTTATAGGGAGAGTGAAAGGCTGTCTTAGGGACCATGTGGTTGCTGTAAGACTATACTTTCAGGGATCATTTCTACAGTTCATGACTAGAGAAGTTTCTCTCTGTAGAGCACATTTGGTTGCTGGGATCAGAAACCCATTCAAGCTAGCTCCAATGGTGGACTACTGGAAGCAGATAGGGAAGTCACAGCTTGTCCCCAGATGGTTACTCACCACATAGCCCCTGACTCTGCCCCTCTCTCCCCTGACCACACTCTTTCTCCCTTTCCCATGATTCCCCCAGAGCTCTCGTGGTCTCTCCTATCATTACCAGCCAAGTGCCCCTGTAGTGGATTGAATTGTGCCCCTCCCAAAATTCATGAACATTTGGAACCTCAGAATGTGACCTTATTTGGAAATAGGGTCTTTGTAGACGTAATCATTTGAGATGAGGTTATGTTGGGCTGTACATCCAATGACTGGTGTCCTTATAAGAAGAGGAGGCTGGGCTGGGTGCAGTGGCTCACGCCTAGAATCCTAGCAATTTGGGAGACTGAGGTGAGAGCATCACTTGAGCTCAGGAGTTTGTGACCAGCTTGGGCAACAAAGTGAGAGCCCATCTCTACAGAAATTTTAAAAATGAGCTGTGCATGGTGGTGCACAACTGTGGTCCCAGCTACAGAGGAGGTGGGGGCAGGAGGATCACTTGAGCTCAGGAGGTCGACGCTGCATTCCAGCCTGGGTGATGGAGCTAGACCTTGTCTCTATTTATTTATTTATTTATGGAGATGGAGTTTCGCTCTTGTCACCCAGGCTGGAGTGCAATGGCATGATCTCGGCTCATTGCAACCTCCACCTCCAGGGTTCAAGTGATTCTCTTGCCTCAGCCTCCCAGGTAGCTGGGATTACAGGCGCCCGCCACCACGCCCGGCTAATTTTTTTATTTTTAGTAGAGATGGGGTTTCACCATATTGGCCAGGCTGGTCTCAAACTCCTGACCTCAGGTGATCCCCCCACCTCGGCCTCCCAAAGTGCTGGGATTACAGGCATGAGCCATCGCGCCCAGCCCTGTCTCAAATTTAAAAACACAACCAGAAAGGCAGGGCGCGGTGGCTCACGCCTGTAATCCTAGCACTTTGGGAGGCCGAGGCGGACGGATCACGAGATCAGGAGATCGAGACCATCCTGGCTAACACGGTGAAACCACGTCTCTACTAAAAAAAAAAAAAAAATACAAAAAAATTAGCTGGGCATTATGGCGGGCGCCTGTAGTCCCAGCCACTCGGGAGGCTGAGGCAGGAGAATGGCGTGAACCCGGGAGGCAGAGCTTGCAGTGAGCCGAGATCGCGCCACTGCACTCCAGCCTGGGCGACAGAGCGAGACTCTGGCTCAAAAAACAAAAACAGAAAGAAGAGGAAAGGACACAGATCACAGTCACAGAGAAAAAAAGGTCACCTGAAGAGGGATATGCGGAGGGAAAGTAGAGGCTGGAGTGATGCTGCTACAAAGAATCCTTGACCAAAGAACGCCAGAGATTGCCAGGAACCACCAGTGGCTGGAAGAGGCAAGGAAGGCTTCTCCCCAGAGCCACTGGAGGGGGCATTGCCCTGCTGGCCCATGGATTTTGGAGTTAGCCTCCAGAAATGTGCAAGAATACATTTCTGTGTGTTAAGCCACTGAGTCTGTGGCTGTTACCACAGCCCTGAGAAACTCACACAACCTACACCTGGAAGCTGGATTCCTTCAGCTTCTGTGTTCTGATTCCAAAGCCTGGGGGAAAGCAGGATGGGCCTAGCTGGGGTCAGATGTCCGCCCCACAGAACCCAAAAGCCACTAAAGCTAAGGGCAGGAAATAGATGTGGGTTTCGGAGCTGCCCCTTCCAGTATCCTTGATAACCATCACCCTATCCAAAAGGCATTAATTCATATCTCAAGGTCAATTTGGAGGGAGGTCTCTCCAAGCAAGCCCCAGAGTTCTGTACACCTATCAGCTCCTGGGGCAAAGACACAGACGGCTGTAGCCACCGGTGTGGATGAGACAAGGCCAGGAAAGTACCGCTCTGATGACAGAATCAGAAGGACTCTGTGCAGGTTAGAGAGTTAGCAAGGTGATACTGAATGAGGACGACGATAAAACCCAACTCTTGGGTTCCAAGAGTCAACTTCACAAGCAAAATGTGGACGACGCCTGGCTTCACCGCGGCAGTGCCTTGTGAGAAAGACCTGAGGATTTTCTCTGACCAGCCGGCTTAGAGCTTCAGTTGCACGAAAAGCACAGCACTTTTGGCTGGGCTGGGGCGGTGATAGGCCTTTCGGGCTCGGTGCAACCCATACCTAAGACAGAGAGGCAACACAGGCGCCTCCAGAGAACCAGAGGTGCAACCGGGCCACCAGGCTACGTGGCAGAGGTTGCGGGGTAAGGGGGAGGTGGGATGCCTGGGGAGAGGTCAGCGGAGTTATCAAACTAAGGTTCCCGGGCAATGATGGGGCCAGGAGGCAGAGCGAGCAAACGGGGATGATCTGGGGTCTATTCCAAAGAGGTGGCGGGGGAGGTGGTGCTGCTGTGCCCCCAGTCACGGCCATCTCGGCTCCAGAGCCCTGGAGAGCAGTTCCCGGGTTCACACGGACTCTGAAGACAAGCGTATCCTGAGGGTGGACGACTCCTGGAAAGTCCACGCCCAGGCTGGCCTCAGGGGTCCGCTTCTCTGCGTCTCGCCCCGTGCCCGCAGGCGACAGAGTGGCTGGTGTGCTCGGGGGGCCTCCCAGGGCGCGGCGGCCTGCGCCCCTGCCACCTGGGGCTGCTCCCTTTGGAACCTCCTGTTCGCAGGCGGCTCCTCGGCCGTCCGCTCGGAGCTGGGGCGAGGGGCTGGCGGCGGCGAGCGGCGCGGCCCCAAGTTTATGCTAATCCGCAAAGAGCCCGCCTCCCGCCTCCCCTCCGCGGCCCCAGCCGCTAGCAGCGCCGGCCACTCCGCGGGACGCAGCCGCCGCGAAGCGCCAGGCGGCCGGGCCAGCGAGCTCGGGGGCCGAAGGGGACCCCGGGACCCTCGGGGCGGGACCCGGGCCGACCAGCGGCGGGGGCGGCGCGGCGCTGCAGGCGGACACCCGGCGGGGGGCACCGCGCGGGGCCGGGCAGAGGCGCGGGGGCCGCTATGGGCCGCCGCCGCCTGCTCGTCTGGCTGTGCGCCGTCGCGGCGCTGCTCTCGGGGGCGCAGGCCAGGGGCACCCCGCTCCTGGCGCGGCCTGCGCCGCCCGGTGCCTCCCGCTACAGTCTCTACACGACGGGATGGCGCCCGCGGCTGCGCCCGGGGCCGCACAAGTAAGCGCGGGCGGGCGGCGGGCGGGAAGAGGGAGGGATGGGCCCGCGCGCGTCGCCGCTCCCACCTGCCCGCACCCGCGGGGGGCGTCGAGGCCCCGGGCACCCCGAGGCCGCTGCACAGAGGGGGCGGCGCCCGGGGCCGAGCCCCTGCCCAGGCGAGCGCCCTACGCTCCGGGAGGTTGCGGGGCTGGCGAGGAAAAAGGAACCGAGGGGGCCTGGCGCGGCGGCTTGGGATCCTGGCAGTGCCAGCGGAAACCTTTCCAGCGAAGTAACATTTTCCAGCTGCGCTGTGTGCAGACTCCGGGCGAGCGGACCAGGTGGAGGGAGAGGAGGAAAGGCGGTCCGCGCGCTGAGCACGCGGGGCTCCCCCGCCCCGGGCCTCCCTTCTCTCCCCTGGCCCGGCCAGGTAGGAGATAGAGCTGCGCATCCGGGCGGCCGCTGCCCTCTCGCAGTCAGCCTGGCCCCAGCAACCCCATGGGAGCCCCAGCGTGGCCGGGCTGCAGAGCCAGAGCGGGCTCCTGGCTCCGGGCCTGTGCTGTGGCACAGCCGTCCACAGCGGTCGGCTTATGCCAGGCAGCCACCTCCTCAGCCCTTGTGGCTCATCAAGGAGCCTGCTTTCCCCGCCTCAGCTTCTGGTGTTTCGTGGGCAGTGGCTTGCGAACTGGCCTCAGTTAAGTGGGCTGGAGGCTCTGCCTGGGGTGCTGGCTGAACTTGAATTCTAGCTGAATTTGAGAGCTGTTGTAGGAGGAAGAGTACCGACACTCAGTGGGCCTGGGTACATCACAGCGAGCCTCCTGGAGGAGGTGGTACAAGAACTGCTCTGAGAGTAAGGGAACAGGACCAAAGGCAGGGGCTGCAAAACTACGAGGAGAGGTGGATTTCCCCGGGAGCCAGGCAGGGAGGAAGGACAAGACATGGTGCTCTCAAAGGAGTCACTGAGTGGGGACTCGGAAGCCTTAAATGCCAAGATAAGGAGTTTGGAATCAGCGAAGGATGGGGGGGTGTGGCAGGGCACTTGAGGGAGAATCCGGGCTGGCCTCTTCCCCACGCAGGGAGGGGCAGCCACATCAGGCTCCTGGTTCCAAATAGTGCTTAGCCCAGGGGCCACCCATCACGGAGGCTGGAATCAGAGACCAGCAGCGGGGCTGGACCCCAGACCAAGGGCGTTGGCTCCCAGGGACACAGAGAACAGACAGAAGAGACATGGGAGTTTGGAGTCCTGCTGAGGCCCACAGATGGAGGTGGGAGGGTAGGCGCCTCTGTGGGCCTCGCTCAGCCAGATATTCCAGGGGTGCCATTTTCTCCTGTAGGGCCCTCTGTGCCTATGTGGTGCACAGGAATGTGACCTGCATCCTACAGGAGGGAGCGGAGAGCTACGTAAAGGCTGAATACCGGCAGTGTAGATGGGGGCCCAAGTGCCCCGGGACAGTCACGTAAGTGCACTCCTCACCTACACACTTGGAATCCCCTGGCACAAGCGCCAGTCCTGCCTTCAGCTGAGAGCAGCTGCCAACTCCACAAGGGGCTTCTTGGACTCCAGAGAGCCCACCTGAGCCCCCATACAGGCCAGAGTAGAAGGCGGCCCCAGAAAAGAGGGTGCCAAGGAGGACCCCAGGGATTTGGGCTTGCAGCAGAGCATCACCCGCACAGACAGGGGCAGGCTTGGGTTGGAGCCCAGGAACCACAGAGGGACAAGGGGAAGGTTCTGGGGGCAGAGGCAGCACAAGGCTAGGAGGAAGTGACAGAGGCAGAAGGTGAGGGGAGAGGAGGGAGCAGAGGGCCCCTTAGGCAACGGGTGATGCCACAGGGGGGCCTGGCAGGCCCAGGGAGGACTGTGGTGACCACAAGGAGGCAGGCCATGGGGCAGGGAGAGGAAGCCGGAGCAGCAGGGCTGCACGCACATGGGATGCACAGCTCTGTACCTGGAGAGGTTCACGTGTGTGTGTGGAAACAAACCTGTTGTCTCCGGTGTGTCAGTGGGTGAACAGGTACGTGGCTGAACAGTGAGGGCATGGACCCTCGCGAGCCTGCCTGTACCCTGGACCTTCCCTTCCCTGCTCACAATCAGAGGTACCCGTCCATCTGCCTCTCTGACCAGAGCCGAGGTCCCGGAGCAGGCTAGAGAGGAGTGGAAAGAACTAAGGGGAGCAGGTAGGAGCCAAGAGTGGCCCCCAGGGCAGTGAGGGGGCTGCCAGCGCCAGCTCCAGGGCAGTGCCCCTCCCTGCCCACAGGGAGGGCTGGGGCTGTGTCTGATTCTCCCAGGTGCTACTGCAGCCTGAGTGGAATTTCTCATGGCAGCCTGAGCTAGAGGGGGTCCAAGTGGTCTTGGGAGGGATGGGGCAAAATTCCTGCTTCTCTCCAAGCTACCAGGATGGGTGGGACTTCTACCTGCATCCTTCCCTAACATGACTGTGAGCTTCAGGAAGGCCTGCCCTTACCCACCCCTGTCACCTTAAGCACAGAAAAAGTACAGCCCTGGGGGTGCTATGGAGGTGGGGAGATACCCAGCCTTATGCAAGTGTCTGAGGGCGGCCCTGAGTGCCAGCTAGGGGGAGAAGCACAGCCCTCAGGTGCAGGATCCCACTCTCTTGCCCTCCCTGGCCCAGGTACCGCACAGTACTCAGACCCAAATACAAGGTTGGCTACAAGACAGTGACAGACCTCGCCTGGCGTTGCTGTCCCGGCTTCACTGGGAAACGCTGCCCTGAGCACCTCACGGACCATGGGGCTGCCTCACCCCAGCTGGAGCCTGAGCCTCAGATTCCTTCAGGGCAGCTGGACCCAGGCCCCAGGCCCCCTTCCTACAGCAGAGCAGCCCCCAGCCCTCATGGTGAGTCTGCCCAAGGAGACCCTCCAAGGTGATTGGGTTTCTTGGGCTCAGTGGCAGGGGCAGGGAGGGGACTGATCCCAGGCTGGCTGAGCTCCGGCATGGATGGGGAGGGGCAAGCCCCAAGCCCCACTTTCACCCCACCATAAAGCTGAGGGAGTTATGCCCAGTGAGAAGGTAGGCTTAGAACAGAAAGTCTGGGCTGGGCGCGGTGGCTCATGCCTGTAATCCCAGCACTTTGGGAGGCCGAGGCGGGTGGATCACGAGGTTAGGAGATCGAGACCATCCTGGCTAACATCGTGAAACCCCATCTCTACTAAAGATAGAAAAAAAATAGCCGGGCGTGGTGGTGGGTGCCTGTAGTCCCAGCTGCTTGGGAGGCTGAGGCAGGAGAATGGCATGAACCCGGAAGGCGGAGCTTGCAGTGAGCCAAGAGCACACCACTGCACTCCAGCCTGGGCGACTGAGCAAGACTCTGTCTCAAAAAAAAAAAAAAAGAACAGAAAGTCTCTTGGGTGGCCTGGCATTGTGACAAGCTGAGAGGGTGAGGCCAGTGATGCCCCTGGGGCTCTCTTCTCTTTCCCAGGAAGGAAAGGCCCAGGGCTGTTTGGTGAGCGGCTGGAACGCCTGGAGGGTGATGTCCAGCGCCTGGCTCAAACATATGGTACCCTCAGTGGCCTGGTGGCTAGCCACGAGGATCCCAACAGGATGACTGGTGGCCCCAGGGCTCCTGCTGTCCCTGTGGGCTTTGGGGTCATCCCTGAGGGGCTTGTGGGCCCAGGAGACAGAGCCAGAGGGCCACTAACACCTCCCTTAGACGAGATCCTAAGCAAGGTGACAGAGGTGAGCAACACTCTTCAGACCAAGGTGCAGCTTCTAGACAAGGTGCATGGGCTGGCACTTGGCCATGAGGCCCACCTGCAGCGGCTGCGGGAAGCCCCACCATCCCCGCTCACCTCCCTGGCCCTGCTGGAGGAGTACGTGGACCGACGGCTGCACCGACTCTGGGGGAGCCTGCTGGATGGCTTTGAGCAGAAGCTGCAAGGCGTCCAGAGTGAGTGTGACCTGCGGGTGCAGGAGGTACGGCGGCAATGTGAGGAGGGTCAGGCCGCCAGCCGGAGGCTGCACCAGAGCCTTGATGGCCGGGAGCTGGCCCTGCGCCAGGAGCTGTCACAGCTGGGCAGCCAGCTGCAGGGCCTGAGCGTGTCTGGCAGGGGCAGCTGCTGTGGGCAACTAGCCTTGATCAATGCCCGTATGGATGGCCTTGAGAGGGCCCTGCAGGCAGTCACCGAGACCCAAAGGGGCCCCGGTGCCCCGGCCGGGGATGAGCTTACGAGGCTCTCTGCTGCCATGCTCGAGGGAGGTGTGGACGGGCTGCTTGAGGGTCTGGAGACGCTCAATGGGACAGAGGGTGGAGCAAGGGGATGCTGTCTGAGGTTGGACATGGGGGGGTGGGGAGTGGGCGGCTTTGGGACCATGCTGGAAGAGCGCGTGCAGAGCCTCGAGGAGCGCCTAGCAACATTGGCTGGGGAGCTAAGCCATGACAGCGCCTCTCCGGGCAGGTCAGCTCGGCCCCTTGTACAGACAGAGCTGGCTGTGCTAGAGCAACGGTTGGTCTCACTGGAGACTTCGTGCACCCCGAGCACCACCTCAGCCATCCTGGACAGCCTCGTGGCAGAGGTGAAGGCCTGGCAGAGCCGGAGCGAGGCCCTCCTACGCCAGGTGGCCAGCCACGCAGCACTGCTCCAGCAGCTCAATGGCACTGTGGCCGAGGTCCAGGGACAGCTGGCAGAAGGGACGGGCAGCTCACTTCAAGGCGAGATCACTCTGCTCAAGGTCAATCTGAACTCAGTGAGCAAGTCGCTCACAGGCCTCAGTGACTCTGTCAGCCAGTACTCTGATGCCTTCTTGGCTGCCAACACGTCCCTGGATGAGCGGGAACGCAAGGTGGAAGCCGAAGTCCAGGCCATCCAGGAGCAGGTCAGCAGCCAAGGCTCCAGGCTTCAGGCTGGCCACAGGCAGGTCCTGAACCTGCGTGGGGAGCTGGAGCAACTCAAGGCTGGTGTGGCCAAGGTGGCCAGTGGGCTGAGCCGCTGCCAGGACACAGCCCAGAAACTTCAGCACACAGTGGGACACTTTGACCAGCGGGTGGCACAAGTGGAGGGTGCGTGCAGGAGGCTGGGCCTGCTGGCCGCGGGCCTGGACAGCTTGCCCACTGAGCCACTGAGGCCCAGAGAGGGCCTGTGGAGCCATGTGGACCAGCTGAATCGTACGCTGGCCCAGCACACGCAGGACATTGCCCGCCTCCGGGATGACCTACTGGACTGCCAGGCCCAGCTGGCTGAGCAGGTGCGGCCAGGGCAAGCCAACTAGACAGGCTGGCCAGGACCCAACCCCTAGATCCCACCAACTCGGGGAACATCACCCCAGAGCCCAGCCTTATCCAGCAGCGCCTTCCAGCCTTCCCTGGCTAGCCCAAATGGCACTAAGGAGGCCACTGAGGGAATCCTCCACGTGGCTGTCCCAGCCACCAAAACCCATGCACAGTGCTGCAGAAACTGGACAGTTCCGGACAGCGGTCAAGGCAAGGATGTCATGCTTGAAGGCCAGGGTAGACTTGAGAGAGTTCACATTCCACTGTCAGCAAATCAGTGTCTGGACAGCCAGCTGCAGGGCCTGAGCATGGCTGGCAGGGGCAGCTGCTGTGGCAAACTGGCCTTGATCAGTGTCCGTATGTAAGGCCTTGAGAGGACCCTGCAGGCAGTCAGCACCAGCCTCAGCAACTGTGCAGAGACCTACAGGCCCACAGCCAGTGGCCTGTCCGCATTGCCCTGTGCCCACAAGCAACAGTCCACAGCCCTTGGTGGCTTCTGTTCCTTGTCCCCTCGGCTTCTCTTCGCAGCCATCAGGACTAGGTTTGTGCAGGAAGGTGATGCCCACTGGAACTCTCCTCACACCTGGCAGCTTCATGGATGTTGTATCTGAACTAAGGACCAGAGGCTGCCAGATGTTTCTGGCTCCTCACGTGTCCTTCAGGACAGAACAGAAGCACAAAGACTCAGCCAAGAGTTCTCTTTATTCCCTTTGATCCTCCCCCAAGGTGAGGGCTTAGGCAGCTGTAGAACCCCAGGAAAGAACGGAATCCAGGCAATCTGTTTAGAGACCCCCCACTCCAAATTTATCCTTTTCCTTTCCTTCCCCTAAGATGTTTCCAGGGCCCTCTGGTGCCCACACTGTCCTCTTCCTTCCACTTGGGGGTGGGGAAATCCTTCCTGCGAGGTCAGGGCATTTCTCTACAAAGTGGCCTGAATGAGGCCAGGCCCTGAGAAGGAGCCACCAGCTGGAGGAAAGGGGCTCCAAGCCTTGCTTTTAACACCCCTGCAAAACCCCCACCCTCCCAAGATGTTCACAAAAGGTGAGAAATTCAGGTACGAAACCATCAATGGACAACTTGAAAATGCATGTTCCTCAGGCCTATGCAGTTCCCAGAGACTCTTGACACCGGTCTCTGCTGAGGCTCCCAGCCTCAGTTTCCCCCACAGCAGCACGGGCCCCACTGTGCTGCTCTTCAGGTCCCCACAGCCCTGCCTTTGGTTCCTGGACATTTGGTATTCTGCCCTCCACTCTGGTACTATCAGAGTAGGGCAGGCTCTGGATTAAAGCTTTTAGCCGGTCTAAAGCTACTTTCTTCAAAGACAGTGGGAGGAGAGGTTGCTGGGGCATCAGCCCTGCTTCCCACAGCTCCTTAGGCAAGAGCTTACCCAGCAGCTGTGAGCACCAAGCTGGCCAGCAGAGGCTGGGGGAGGACTTTCAGGCCAACACCTGCCCCAGCTGAGTTTGGGACTGTCCTTAAGCGAGGTCTGGAGAGAGGCAGCGGCAGCAGCCGGACGGGGAGCAGGCCAAGCCGGAACCACAGCCTGCAGGTGTGGGTGTGTGTCATGTGCTGAGATGCCAGGGCACCAGCAAGGGGGATATGTTGGCAGTGATGTCTGGCTTCGGAGGGTACAGTCCTGGCTCCCAGACAAGGGGCGGGGAGAACACTGTGTCCTTCCAGAGGCTGTACCACACTCCCACTGCTGTCACCCTTCACTGAAGCCTCGAGCCTCGGTAGGGCCTCCCTCTTCTCCCTGTCCTATCAAGACTTACAGCAAGGTCCCAGGTTGACAGGGAGACAGATATCAAGGGCATAGAAAACCCTGCAAGGAGGCCTGGCATGGTAGCTCATGCCTGTAATCCCAGCACTTTGGGAGGCCGAGGTGGGCAAATCACTTGAGGTCAGGAGTTCGAGACCAGCCTGGCCAATGTGGTGAAAACCCATCTCTACTAAAAACACGAAAATTAGCCAGGCGTGGTGGTACACGCCTGTAATCCCAGCTACTTGGGAGGCTGAGGCAGGTGAATCGCTTGAACCCGGGAGGCGGAGGTTGCAGTGAGCCGAGAGATCATGCCACTGCACTCCAGCCTGGGCAACAGAACAAGACCCTGTCTCAGGAAAAAAAAAAAAAAAAAAAAAAAAAGAACCCTGCAAGGGCCCAGATGACAAGCTAATTGCCCCAGGACAGTGCCACACTGACGCCTGGAGCAGCTGCAGCTTAGCTGGCAAAAATATGACGGGGAAGATGGGGGAGTCTCTCTAGCTGCCAACCAACCTGCAGCCTCCTCCTTCCCCTTCAGTGGGTTTGCCCCATGACACTCCAATTCCCACCCTCCTATACCCCAGGACACCTAGCCAGTCCTGGGCCGGGCCAGGGAGGAGGAGCCAGCCAGGGCAGGTTCAGTCCAGGGTATCAAGGTCCACAGCAGGCAGTGGCTCCCGCCAGTAGCAGAAGTTACTGTATTCAGGGTTGGCCAGGTCTGTGCTGGGGCCACGGGCCACAGGTGGGAAGAGGAGCTCGACCACTTCACCAAGCCGCTCATACCTACAGGCAGAAGGGGGCCAGCACTGAGCCTGAGCTGCCACCAAACGATGGCCTTGGCCATGGGTCTGTCCCAGAGTAAGGGACAGACTCCCCGGTAAGAGGTAAAATTGGGGCCCAGGGAGAAGCCAGGGCAGGGGGACGTGGTAGGGCATGGGGAACATGGCAGGGTTTAGCCTCACGTGGATTTGTGGTTCTTTATGAGCTCCTGGATGAGCTCTCCCCGGGGGTTGACTGTGAAGATGCGTGACTCAGGCAGGCCCACCTGCCGGTAGGCAAAGACATCCTGTGGGAGACAGGAGGGGCCCATGGAATGGAGGCCTGCAGGCAGCTGGGGAGAGGTGGCTCAGCAGAGTGGAGGGGACACACTCACATTGGGCCTATTCCCAAAGGCAGCATAGAAGGGCTGTCCGTGGGGCAGAAACAGCTGCTGGATGTCACTCAGGCAGGCGACCTTGAACACCTCTGGTTTCTTCTCGATCACCTCTCTGGGGTGGCCAGAACCACAGCAGGGAAGGGGGCCAAAGTAGGGAAGAAGCCAGAGGGGATGGCAGGCTCAGGTGATGGGGGGTCTGACCCCACCCTCCTTGCCACCTGAGAGCTTAATGCCAGCCTGCTAAGGCTGGCCTGGCAGTGGGCCTGCCTTTCCCCACCAGGGGGCCACGGGCTTGTATGTGTAGGGGTGGTTACCTGTGGAGGGCAGAGAAGAGGCTGCTGGGAGACAGAAGGATGGGGCCCTTGGGGAGGCTACAGCCCCCCTCGCTCACCCACTGCAGGTACCCCTTGGTGAGGTCCGCCATGCCAATGGCCCGCGCCGAGCAGTACAGGAACTTGTACCCATTTCTGAGAGTGGGGGACAGGGTGGCATAGAGCCATCAGAGACCAGCCAGCCCCCATCTGTTTCTCTGGCTTTAGCCTGCCCAGCCCAACTGTGGGACTCTGATGTTCCAACCTTTGCAGGGAGGGGACTTGAAGAGAACGGCCAGGCAGTGGACTCAGCTGGACGGTGCACAGAGTCCTGAGGCCTGGGTGGACCAGGATGGAGAGGGCCTCCCCTCCGGCTGCAGGCCAGTAGGTGGGCCCTGATCCTAGAACACAGCCCCAGGGGATGAGCCTTTCCCAGAACTGCGGGCCAATAGAGAGGTCTCAGCACTCCAGGCACCTGCCCTGGCAGCCTGCCTTGTGGGCCCTGCTGGTCCCCAAGATGTCCTGTCCTGTCACTCCCTCTCTAGAGCTGGGGGCCTCGCCTCAGCCCCAGCCCCAGCCCAGGCACTCACAGTTGGATTTTGTGATAGAGACTGGTGATGCCCTGGTGTGTCCAGTCTTTCCCCAGCTGGGGCAGGATATGGCCCAGAGCATCTGACCTAGAGTGAGAGAGGAAGGGTTACTCCAAGGCAGCTCCACGTGGCCCAGCTCCAGCCCCAGGATGGCCCACCAGGAAGGGAGGGCTCCTCTCACTCCCCACCACACCCAGCACAGAGGGAGGCGAGTCCACAACCCCTCTCCCTCCCCTTCCCACAGCTGGGTGGGCCTCACTTGGTGATGGTGCCGTCGATGTCAGAGATGACCACCTTGTCGTCCCATTTCCACAGGTAGATGGTGGCCTTGCAGCGGCAGGTGCCCTGGTACTGAGTGGTCACGCTGAAGACCACATCATTGGCACCTTCTTGCAGGTTCAGGCGCCGCTGAGGCCAGACAAAGGGGGGTGTGTCGTGATTGATGACAGCCAGGCACTGCCTACCTCTCCCCTTACGCCGTGGCCTCCGATCCCCTCGGGCCTCTCATTCTCCTCTTCCTCCCAGCTCAGAGATGCTTCTTGGATTCATCAGAGATAGCCATGCACAGACACATCCATGTGGGCAGAGGGTGGCCATGCTGATCAGGGCCCTGTCCAGTGCAGGCCACAGGAGCCCTAGCCTCCCTTCACTCCCCTTTGAGATGTAACCCACAAAGCCGCATCCATGACTCCCTGCCCAGGATTCCCAGGCCAGCCCCAAGGCTGGGACTGCTGTTGGCAGGAAAACACCCCCCTCCATAGATGGGGGTCCTGTGGGGATCTCCATAGGAAGCCCCTCCTTGGGGCCAGGGTACCTGAGTCAACATTGTCCTAAGGAGAGGCCTAACCCTGTACTTGATCCATAGGGAAGGATCAGGGCCGCTTCCCACCAAAGCCCTGAGTTGAGTGTGAGCTCCAGGGTACCAGACAGATGGCAGCTGCTTTGTACTGGCTGGTCAGCCCCTCCTGGACACTTCCCTGACCATGGAGCCACAACCATGAAGAAAATATGTTCTTATTCCAGGAGCCACCAGTTACTGAGCTTAGAGAAGAGGTGACTTGGGGCCAAGGGTTGCCAGAATCTGAGGGGCTGTCATTAGCATTTGATTCTTTTTAGTGTTGCTTCCAAGGGCTGACCTAGAGCCTGCTGGCTCACTACAGGTTGATATCTTAGGAGGACCTAAGAGACAGCTTTCCCGGTGTCTGACAGACAAATGGGCTGTCATGAGAAGTGAGCGCCCTGCCCTTGGAGGTATTCAAGTGGAGGCCATCAGGGAGGCTCCCAAGGGGATAGATTCTGGCCTTTGGTGAACATGTGGCTCCCTGGAGCCATTTCTCAGCCAGGTCCTGAGGGACTCTAAGACAGAATTAGCTCAGCCCCTCCCCAACCTCCACACAGACAACCCACACTTACGATCTGATCGGAGGAGAGGCGGAGGGACTTCTTGTAGGTAGGAGTGGAGGGTGGAGTGGAGGGTGGCAAGGAGGGGATCTCCAGGATCACAGGGCTGTCTGGGGCATCGTCATCACTGCTCAGGACTTCTGTCTTCTCCCTGTGGACCACACTGGCTCTCAGGCCATCTCCTCCAGCCAAAGGGCCTTCACTCCCGGGAGATGCCAAGAGGAGGCTGGACCTGTCCCCGCCATGCCAGGGCCTACCCAGGGTATCAGTGATCCCTCCCTCTAGGTGCAACCCATTTGGAGTGGTGGCAGACACAGGGGTGCAGGCTGGCAGTCTCCACCCAGCCAAGTGACAGCAGAGGGTGCCGAGACCCAGGGTTGCCAGCCCTCAGTGTCTGCCTTGGAGATATTTACCTGAAATACCTAAAGTGTATCTCTGGGCTTATTCCCAACCCCACCTGCTTTGGTTTCAGTCAGGCCATCCTTAGCTACTCTCCACCCAGCCTTAGGCAGCTGGGTCACTTCAGATGTGGAAAAGAAACAAAGTCAGCTGGCTTATTTGGGCTGCGAGAGGCCCTGCCCCTCCTTAATAGGGATCCCCTTGTCTGGGGCAGGAGCCTGAGGACCTGTGTCAGCTCTGCCATTTCCTGGTTGTTGGCCAGGAAATGTGTCTCTAGGCCTCATTTTTCCCATCTGTAAAATGGGGCCATTTCTCAGGAGAAAGAAAAGGTATAGAAGTGCTTGCGGTGGCTCACGCCTGTAATCCCAACACTCTGGGATGCCAAGGTGGGCAGATCACCTGAGGTCAGAAGTTCAAGACCAGCCTGACCAACAGGGTGAAACCCTGTCTCACTAAAAATACAAAAGTAGCCAGGTGTGGTGGCGGGCACCTGTAATCCCAGCTACTCAGGAGGCTGAGGCAGGAAAATCGCTTGAACCCGGGAGGTGGAGGTTGCAGTGAGCCAAGATCGTACCACTGCACTCCAGCCTGGGTGACAGAGCCAGACTCTGTCTCAAAAACAAACAAAAACAACAAAAAAAGAAGTGCTTGGTGCTTGAGGAATGACAAAAAAAAAAACCCACAGCTGGAGACAGGGTGCTGGCTCCTCCCTGCCACCCACCTGCACCCAGGGCCATCTTTCCCAGGCTCCCCCTGCAGAGCCCCAATAGGGGGTCTCACTCACCCCTGCTGCTCCTTGGCTGCAGTCTTCTCCTTCTGGGCACTGCGCTGTGGAAAGAACATCCATTAGTGAATCCCACCTCCCGCCCTGTGCTGGCCCTGGCCCTGGCCCTCGACTGTGACCACCCACCTCCTCGGCCAGGAAGTCCCTGCGTCGCCAGGAAAACCACCATCGCCCACCCTTCCGGGGCATCTTCTCCCTCTCCAGCTTGTCCATGGTGCTCTGTGGGCAGATGAAAGCCATGGCAGTGTTTCCTGCACCACATAAACCTCCTACCTTACGTTGTTCTTGGGACCCTCCACGCATGAGCCCAGAGTCTGAGCCAACCCTAGGGTAAGGTGCTGTCAACATCTGGAGGCCAAGGAAGTGTGCTCACCTCCATCCTGGGATTCCAAGCAATGACTTGGGTGAGCTATACTCAAAAGACCAAGGGCTATTCCTGCCCCCAGCCCCGGTCCCTAGCTCTAACCCAGCCTCAGCCTGGCCTCCAAATCTTGTGGATCCATTCCTTTACTAGAGTAGTTAAAAGCAATGCTTTGGGAGTTTCTCAAGATCTGGTACTCCCTATGCTGTGACCAAGTGGCAGCAGGGAGAACAATCTTTAGCTGGTACTCCCCTCAACCTCCAAGACTGCCCCAGGCAACCTCCTAAGGTTGGTGATCCTATTCCATGAACAACCCCCTTTTCTGTATGTTACCATAACTGTCTGGTTGGGGGCAAGTTGACCTTGTGAAAAAATGCTGATTAGATCTATGCTATTATAGATAACCCCAGGGAGAGGCCAGGCCAAGTCCCATCTGGGGGACACACCAGCATCCTACAGACCCAAGTCAGGAGGATGTGGGCTTGGGCTGGGAATAGCCAGGGGGCCCCCTTGAGCTGGGAACAGGCTGGTGGGGTAGGGGTCTCTCAGGGGCCTCAAGCGGTGGGTCTGTCTGGGTAAGGTGAGGAGATCCAAGCAGGGAAGGGACCCTCTTCCTTCCCACAGACTCTGGGTCCTACCTCAGACCCTGTACCAGCCAGAGGACAAAGCTGTCACCCAATGGCAGTGACAGCTGTCAACATCTGTTAGTGATGCTCTTTGGGCAAGCCAAGAACAATAGGCCATGCCAGGTCAGTGTGGTGCCTTGGATTGCTCCCAGAGGGGCAGGTGCAGGTTGGCACAGGCTGGCACTGCCCAGGAGGGCACCATCCTCCATGAGTAGGGGAAGGTGGCTGGGAAGACCAGGGAAGAGGTTCTGGGAAGAGTAAAGAGGCTAGGCATACCCTCATTCCTTTCCCCCTCTGGGCATCATACATGCTGTTCCCCACCCCTGGCCAGCTCAAGGCCCACCCATCCTTCAATCTCTGCACAGCGGGCACTTGCTTATCAAACCCCCTTGCCATAGGCTCTGCAAGCACTGCACACCCATCCTTCCCAGTGCTCAGGACTGAATTATATTCATCTGGATGAGTCTTTGGTTAACTTCGTCTTCCTTTGAGAGCAGGGATAATTTTGTTTCGTTTATTCATGACTGTCCCCAGCCTAGGCCTGGGACATAGTAGGTACTCAAGAAATGTGTGCAGATAAAGAAAGTAAGCACCCTTCAGCCCAGCCTGGAGGAATAGTCTTCAGGCAAGGTGAAGGGTGCAACTTCCATTTCCCAAACCCCGTATTTCAGATCCAAAGGCTTCCCCATATTTCAGATGCAAAGGCCTCCTGCTAAAGACATGTCCTTGTTTAAGCATCTGTTGGATTTTTCTTCCCCTCTGGTTTGTCCTGAGCTCCTCTGAAGTCAAGTTTAAATACAACAGGATTCAGCCACGGCCAGGAAACCAGGGAAGGGTGAGGCAAGGCTTCAGGGACGTGTGTCGCCTCTCCCAGAGTGAGTCTTGCAGCCAGCTAGCCCCTGGCTCCCAGGCCCATCTCTGCTCACCCTTCACTTCCTTGCTAAGGGTCTCCGTGCCCTGAGTCTATGGCTACCTTCCCCAGCAGGGGCAGTGGTGCTCTAACCATTACCTTGGGCAAGTTTTTCTGGAAGGCTTGCAGGGAGAGGATCATGGGGGCAGCCACAGCCCAGTTATAATGCCTAGAGAGACAGAACAGGGCATCAAGCTGCAGCAGCTGCAGGGTTGTGAAGAGGGAAATGACTCTCCGGCTGCCAGCAGCCCCAGCTCTGGGACTTACTTTCCATTGATTTTCACCACTAGGTTTGGGTCATCCAAAAGTCCGGGGTTTTTGGTGAGGTCCTGGTAAGAGACGCTGTGCTGGTTGAATTTCTCTGGGCACAGAGGCAGAGTGAGGGGTGAGGCTGGCACATCCCATGTGACCCGCTGCCCCAGCCCCCTGGTGCTCCCCACTCTGCTGCTCACCTCCTGTCGGTTGGCTTTGTAACCTGGCAGTGCTCCTCCCTACCTGTGGTTTTTACACCTGTTCCCACCCCAGGATTCACAGGATAACTCACAACTTAGCGTCAAGCATTTTGCTTCATGGGGACTTGGGAAGGTCCAGCCCCTGCTGGCGGAGTGTGGACTGCACAGGGCAGAGAGCTGCAGGGAAGCCCAGCCTCTCACCTCTACTGCCCCACCCTCACAGTCTTCCCTGCCCTCCCCATCCTCTGGGCTCAGCACCAGCCCTCAAAAGGGCTTGGCCATGGTCGAACATACCTAGGGAGATGTCCCGGCTGTCAGCCAGTCCACCACAGAGGGACAGTGCTATTGTATCCACTGTGTCCAGAGTGGGTTCAGGTTCATGTTCAGGGTTGGGGTCCCTCAGGGACTTCTGACTGCTGGGTTCACTCCATCTTCTGGCCCCCAGCCCAGAGTCACTGCAGGCAAAGGGGCCAACAATGACAAGAATACGAGGAGGGCGGGAGATGGGTCCTCCCTCCTCACAGGCCCTTGATAGTGGACCCTTGGCCCCAGGAGCCCAGACCCAAGACACCCTGGCATCCAGAACCCAGGCACCTTTGGGGGAAGTAAAGCGCTGCATTCTCAGAGTCCAGGGAGGGCAAGTCATCCAGGTAGATGTCACTGGGGCCCAGGTGCTGGCTTCTCTTTGGGGAGCCTGAGAGTTGAAGAGAGGATATCTGTAGAGCTGACATGTGCTCAGCAGTGTGGACAGTAAGTGCCCTCTGACTCTGAATTCTCTAAGGCAGTGCTGCCCAGCAGAACCTTCTGCAGTGATACAAATGTCCCATGTCTGCACTGCCTGATATATTAGCTGCTAGCCACATGTGGCTATTGAGCACACTTAAAATGTGATCACCGTGTGACAGAGAAATGGAATTCTAGGCTGGGCGTGGTGGCTCACACCTGTAATCCCAGCACTTTGGGAGGCTGAGGCGGGTGGATCACAAAGTCAGGGGATCGAGACCATCCTGGCCAACATGGTGAAACCCCATTTCTACTAAAAATACAAAAATTAGCTGGGCGTGGTGACATGTGCCTGTAGTCCCAGCTACTCAGGAGGCTGAGGAAGGAGAATCACTTGAACCCGGGAGGCAGAGGTTGCAGTGAGCCGAGGTCGCACCACTGCACTCCAGCCTGGGTGACAGAGCGAGACTCCATCTCAAAAAAAAAAAAAATGGAATTTTATATTTTAATTGCAATTAATTTAATTTAATTTTTAATTTTTATTTATCTGTCACCCAGGCTGGAGTGCAGTGGTGTGATCGCATGATCATAGCTCGCTGCAGCCTTGAACTCCTGGGCTCAAGTGACCCTCCTGCCTCAGCCTCCTCAGTAGTTGGGACTACAGGCACATGCCACCATGCCTGGCTAGTTAAAAAAAAAATTTTTTTTTTTTTGTAGAGATGGGTTCTCACTACATTGCCCAGGCTTGATCTTGAACTCCTCAAGCAATCTTCCCACCTCAGCCTTCCAAAGTGCTGGGATTACAGGCATGAGCCACCATGCTGTCCCTAATTTGATTTTAAATAGCCACATATAGCCAGTGGCTACTGATTTGGACAGCACAGGTCTCGTGCTTTCCTAGCACTTTTAGATAAACCTGAGCTTGTGAGCTGGAGCCATCTGAGTCTGCTCATCTCCCCAACTTCCTATCCCGGCCGTCTTCCATTTCTTGCTCAAGGCACGCCAGCTGCTTTCAGTTTCTGGACATGAAACTTCTCTCCAGCCTTACATCCCTGGCACATACTGTTTCCTCTGCCTAGAATTCCCTTCCCCTGCTCCTCACTTGGCTGAATCTTCATTATCCATGTCTTAGCTCCAACATCACCTTCTCGGAGGGGCCTTCTCTGACCACCTGGTTTAAACAGCTCCCATTCCAACCAATGACTATGCCTGTGGCACGCCCTTCCACACATGCAGCATCTGTCTCCCACACTGCACTGTGAGCTTCATGAGGCTGGTGCCAAGAACAGCACCTAGCACACAGCAGGTGCTCAAAATGTACTTGAAGTCCCAGCACCCACCCAGGGGACAGAGCGAGGCCAGGGAGGCAGTGGGAGAGACCCAGCGTCACTCACCTTTCCCCCTGGAGACCCTCTCTGGCTGCCCGGTGGGAACTGGAACCTCCAGAGTGGCCCAGCTCCATGACTTGGAGGCAGGAGGGAGGCCCATGTCCCCAGAGCTCTGAGTCTTGCTTTCCTCTGTCTCTGGGGTGTGGAGAGGGGGACCCACTAGAGTGGGATCCTCTGTGTCAGGCTGAAGGTCGGCACCAGCCTCTGTTTGCTGGATTGGGAGTCCCAAAGGGTCCACGCCGCCAGCCACAGAGGTAGAGGGAGTGCTGGGTCCTCCCCGAGGAGGAGAGGTTGCCCCAGCTCTGCCTTCAAGGACCACTGAGGACTCGGGCCGCTCAGCTCTGGCCACCTTTAGTGGAACAAATGGAGGAAGATGTGGGCCAGGGTAAGGCCCATGCCCCACAAAGCTTTTGGGGCAGTGGCCCGAGTTTCAGTCCCTCCAACCCTGACCCATGGGGGCCACAGAGCCCCTGAAAGGCCGGGCCTGGGGTTGATACAGAGGGACTCACCTTAGGCAGCCTCCCCCAGGCCCACTGCATGTGGGACTCGGCTCTTAGGGGACTGGGCTCCGGGGTCCGCACCTCCAGCTCCGAGTCGCTCTTAGGGGATGTTAGCTCACCTGCTGAGAGGCTGCAGGAGACATATTGAGAGGCCTTGAGCCTGCCTACCCATCCCCGCTGCTGCCCACCCCAGCCAGGGAAAAAAATATGTGCAACCTATATTTATGCCTGTGTTGAATCCATAATATATAAGGAATATGTAAAGATCTAAAGAGTATACAAATATATGAATAACTTATACTAATCAACAAGAAGAAGACAATCCAGTAAGAAGAAGGATGGGAGGGAGGAAGGAAGGAAGGAAGGGAAGGAAGGAAAAAAAAAGAAGATGGCAAAGTTGTAGCTGGATTGCCTAATGGGCATAGGGTTTCCATTTGGGGGATGGGATGTTCTGGAACTAGATAGTGGTGATGGTCATTCAACACTGAATGTACTTAATGCCACTGAACTGTATACACTTTGAAATAGTTAAAATGGTAAATTTATGTTATGTATATTTTACCGCAATTTAAAAAAATCAATAAAAGACTTGAACTCTTTACAAAGGAAAAATACGAATGGCTAGTAAACACATTAAATGGGTCCTGTGTCATTAGTCATCAGGAAAAATGCAAATGGAAACCTCAGACCTTGATCTGGAGTCCTGGCCTGCAGCCCACCTGGACTCTTACCTGGCCTGGGGGGGCCACTCGCCATCCGAGTAGGGGTAGATGTCTTTGGGCTGCAGTGAAGACTTCTCTTCCAACTGGACACTGCTAAGGGGCCACAAGGAAATGGTCACTGATCAGGCAGGATGCCCCAGGCAGGCATGAGAGCCTGGACATCAGGGGCTTGGTAAGGTGAAGCAACTACTGCTCAGAGAGGTCAAGGCCCTTGCCCAAAGTCACACAGCATGAGCAGAGGAAACAGCACTTGAACCCCCAAACTGGGGTTCAAGTCCCTTGGTCCTTACACACCCTGGGGGCTCTGGCCTCAGCTTTTCCGGCAGGGATAGCTCACTCTCAGCGCCTGCCTCCAGTTCCTCTGGACTAGAATCAGTTGCCACTGCATCCTCTTTCTGCTTGGGTTTCCTCCTGCGACGCCTCTTCCTCCGCCCAGTGGAGGCCGTGCCTGCCATGACGAGGCCCTCAGGCTCACTGGCAGTGCCCAGCTGGGAGTCCGAGGGGAAGCCAGACAGACCCCCCCAAGGGATGGGTGAGGTGCACAGGCCGGGAGGCACATGTTCCTGTGGAACAGACCAAGAACTGAGGTCGGGGGCTGACCCTAGTGGGGCTGCGCTCACCACACAGTCATCTTGAGCCTTGCCTGGGTCCCAGCCCTGGAGTGAGCTCATTTAGGGTCAGGAAAACAGGTGTGGAGGCACCAGCCTGGCCCTGTAGCCACTGCTGGCCTCAGAGGTCCCCAACAGAGCCACCTGCCACCCTGGCAGGCCAGGCAGAGATCTTGGCATCGGCCTCTGATCTCCTCTTCTACCCAAGTCTATGACAGCAGACATCTACTTCTGCTTTAAGATTCAGCCATATGTCTCCTCCTCCAGGAAGGAGCCTTGACTATCCCTCTCCCAATCCCAACATCCCTCACTGCAATGACCAAACGGCTCATCATCCATTGTTTATGTGTCTAGCTCCCAGAACAGCCTGGAACTTTCTTTGAAGGCAGGGGTCACCCGTCATCTGAGTCTGTTGCACAGTGTCTGGCCTACAGTAGGGACTCAAAGTTTTTCAAGTTCTGTTTCAACTCCTCTGCTGGCTTCTGCTGGGCCCTGCCTCCCCTGTGCGAACACCCACCACTTACACACTTCTAGGTTCCAGCCACACGGAGCTGGCACCAGACCCAGGACAAGCCAGATGTTATACTTCCCAGCCCCTTTCTTCAGCTCCCGCCTCCTCTTCAAGCTGCCTGGGGAAGGCCTCCTTTTCATCCCACAGGGGCCCAGCTCAGGGGTCCAGTCTTCTGAGAAACCTTCCCCAACTTCCCAGTAAATAGAGTCAGTTGGTACCCTGGCCTCTTCCTCTGGGCCCCCACAGCATATCACGTGTGCCAGAGGCCAGCCCCAACTGATACCCCTGCCTCAGACCTCTGCTGGTGGGGTGCTCCCGGGGAAGGGCGAGGATGGTGACAAATCCCAAGGCTCTGCCCAGAAGAGGCACAGGAAAGGGGTGGGCGGGGCAGGTGCTGTTAGGAGGGCAGACTCACATCATCGCTCTCCAGCTCCTGAACAAAGAAGGCCTCCCCGCTGTCCCCAAGCTTCATGTGCAAGTCCACAGGCTCCCCATTGAGCTCAATGTCTACCTGCAAATGGAAAGCGGTGGCAGGGACATGGGCCTTCACGCCCATGCTTCCGACCACAGGCCTCCTGGCTGGTCCTCCAGTGGCTCCTTGCCGCCCCAAACACCATACTTGCTGGGGTTCCCTCCCTCCGGACCTCAAGTGCCTGGCTGCTCCCCACGAAGGGGGGCTCTGCTGCATCTCCCCTTCCTCAGAGAGGCCTTCACTGAGCTCCCTACCCATCTCTCCCTCACTCACACTGCCCCACTGTCTGAGCCTCATTGTACTTGTCACTGTCTCGGTCTTCTTGTGTATTGCCTGGTTTCCAAGTTCTTCCCTCTGTCTCTCACATCCATAAGAATAGGGACGTGGTCTCTCTTGTGATCGCTGTGTCCCCAGCCCCCAGGTTATTGGCTGCATAAACAATGGTGGGAATTTTAGTGTACTGGCCCTTTGTGGAGTGTTTTCTATAGATTATCTCATTTAATCTCTGCAACCCCTTGCAGTAGCTCCTATCATTACCTCCACTTTACAGATGAGGAAACTGAGGCTTTGGGGGTTTGAGTAATTGGTTAGGAGGCAGCCTCACAGCAAGTGAGCTTATGAAGCCAAAAAGGCTGAGTCTACAACCCAAGCTACTAGCCTCTTAGATATACTATTTCCCATAGGCTACACTTTTCTATTAGGATCCTGGAAACGTCACAGTTGCCTCAGTGTGAATCTTGATTCACACCCTAGACCTTGCTGCTAACAAAAATCTCTGCTGTGCTTGCCTGAGCCCTGTGAAGGTGGAATGGATTTATTTATTTATTTTTATTTATTTATTTATTTTTTGAGACGGAGTTTCGCTCTTGTCGCCCAGGCTAGAGTGCAATGGCACAATCTTGGCTCACTGCAATCTCTGCCTCCTGGATTCAAGCGATTCTCCTGCCTCAGCCTCCGGAGTGGCTGGGATTACAGGTGCCCACCACCACACCCGGCTAATTTTTCTATTTTTGGTAGAGACTGGGTTTCACCATGTGGGCCAGGCTGGTCTCAAACTCCTGACCTCAGGTGATCCACCAGCGTCGGCCTCCCAAAGTGCTGGGATTATAGGCGTGAGCCACCATGCCCAGCCTGAAGTGGATTTATTAAGAGAGAGAAACTAACATTTGAGTGTTTCCCACATAGCTGGCCCTGAGACAGTATTATCAGTTGCTATTGACTTGTCCCACCAGCATCATTAGGCCGATAAAATCATATCCATTTGTGCAGGTGAAGTAACTGGGCTCAGAGGCATGAAGTGACTTACCAAGAACACACAGGTAAGGTCTTAGTAAGCTGAGCCAGGTCTGACGGCCCCAGCACTGGGATGAGCCCTACTGGTCTGTTTCCATGAGAAACTAACTGTGAACCCTCCCAGACCAAAACCCCCAAATCAACCCAAAAACCTTCAAAGAAAGTACAAATGAAGGGAAGCCTGTCCAGAGGACAGATCCCCACCTAAGGGAGGCCCCAGGTCCTGTCCTGGGACTGTAGTGGCTGCCCCAGCTTAAAAAGCCCACTCTGCAGTAGCCACCTCAGCCAGCCTGAGCACTCACCACCTTCTCCCGCGACCGCAGGACGCCCAGCTTGCCAAAACGCACGTGGAAGGGTGAGCACCGGAACGAGCCGTCCACCTGCTTCACCACCAGCACGTCAATGCCGCCGCTCAGTGTGGCTGGGTTCAGGCCCCGGTACAGCTCCTTCACCGTCCCAAACACCGTCTCCGCCAGCTGCCCCACGTAGTTCATGGCTGGTGCTGGCAAAGAAAGGCAGTGGCTTGCACAAAGGTCTGCTCCAGCTCCTCCACAAGAAGCTCCTGCAGCCTGACCACACAGACCCCCAAGTTTACATTTGTGTCACGCCTTGGAGTGCCTTTGCACAGATGGCAGCAGCTGTGCGATGGGAGGTACACCTGTAGATGTGGGTCTAACCCCAGCTTGCCCACTGCCCTGCTAAGGGACCCTTGGGCAGCCGCCTCCTTCCCCAAGTGCCGATGTCCACATCTGTAAAATAGGGCACAAGGTAAAACAATACCCAGTTGCCTCGTGCCTCTAAATGCCATGACTAATGATAATGACCACAGTGTTCCGTGGGTACGGCTCATTTCATCTTCACAACAACCCTGTGGGGCTGGCTGAGCGGGTGTCATTATTCCTGTTTACAGATGAGCCAGCAGAGGCTCAGAGAGGTGGAGTGACCTGCCCAGAGCCTCATAACTATGAAGGAGGGAACCTGAGATCTGAACCCAGGTTTGTGTGGTTCCACTGGGATGGTCCAACTGTGAAAACGGAGGGGGTGGGAAGAGGGGGCAGCCTCATTAGATAGCAGGCCCAGGGCCCTGCTGGATAATGGGTGACTGTGCTAATGAGTACTCTTCTTTTCCCAAGAAGTGGGAACGAAGGAGCCTCCACTTTTCCATCTGAGAAATGGGCTCAGCTGTCTTGCTATCTGCTGGTCCTGTGAGTTGGAAGGTGTCTTGCTGGGCGATTGTAGCTGACTTATGGGGGACCAAGGGTGGGAGCACCCCAGGTACTCAAGGCTCTGTTCAGCCCCATTCCTGGGGTCAGATGCTCAAGGCAGAGCATCCCCTATAGCTGGGGGCTTAAGGCCCCAAACTACAAATTCCTTCCCAGTTTCCCTGGTGGGAAGCCTGTCCATGCACAGCCTGACCCCAGCGGTGTCCAGGCTATAGTTCTCAGACCCCAATTTCAACCCTAACCCCAGCTCCTCAGACCAGGGCTGAGCTGGCTAGGCGCTCAGACCCACAATCAGGCCTTGGGCTGGCCTCAGCCCACTGAAGCTGCTCCCTCCCCCAGCCAGACCGGTCTCTCCAGCTTTCCCACACCAGACAGGCCTGGGTAAGCCCAAAGCAGGAGGCTGAGGCGGCCTCAGAGAAAAAACAGGGCTATGATGAGAGCCTCCTCCAAGCTGGCACAGTGCCTGCCCCAGCAGCTTCAGGTGATCACCCCTGCCCTCCTGGCCAGGCCAGTGGCCTGCTGCCCCTCTGCCTGCCAAGACCCAGACTGTCCTATCTCTACAGAGCACTTTCTTCTCTCAGACCCTGGGTCAGAACCCCTGGAGGACAGCCTGCCATGCAAGACCACTTAGCAAAGAAGCTAAGTGACTTACCCAAGGTTAAGTGACTTTACAGGTGAGGAAACTATTCAAGCTCTTCTAAGCTGACAGGCCATAGAAGGGGTATAGGGAGGGGAGAGAGGGAGTAAAGACTCATATCCAGCTCTCCTGACTCTAGAGCATGGTCTCCTTCCACTCCATGCTTCCAAACCACCCAAGAGTTGGTTGCATGGCCCATGGCCACTTCTGCACAGCCCTGCAATGCCCTGCACTCAAAATGTGGTATGCACCAGCAACAAACATCAGCATCAGCATCACCTGGGAGCTTGTTAGAAACAGAAACTTAGGCCCAACTCAGCCCTACTGAATCAGCATCTGCATATTTTTCTTTTCTTTTCTTTTCTTTTTTTTTTTTGAGACAGGATCTCACTCTGTTACCCAGGCTGGTGTGCAGTGGCACCAAAATGACTCACTGCGGCCTCAACCTCCCAGGCTCTAGTGATCCTCCTGCCTCAGCCTCCTGAGTAGCTGGGACTACAGGCATGTACCACCATAACTGGCTAACTTTTAAATTTCTTTTGTAGAGACAGGGTCTCACTATGTTGCCCACGTTGGTCTCAAACTCCTGGACTCAAGTGATCCTCCCACCTTGGCCTACCAAAGTGCCGGGACTACAGGCGTGAGCCATTGCACCTGGCCTAGCATCTGCATTTTAACAGGATCCCGAGGTGATTCCTGCAGCCTTTCATGTGTTTGAAAGGAACTGCTTTTGTGTTCCCAGTCCACAGTCTACTCTTGGAAGAGCCTAAACGACAAGACCCCCACCTCCACAGCATTTCTCAGATAATGCCACATCCTGCCCATCCTAGGACATCGGATGAAGCAGTGGATTCTTTCAGTCTATGTCAGAGCGTCACAAACATAAGACACAATTCAAATTGCCAAAGTGAAAATGGGATGAAATGAAACTCCCTGGACCCCTAAGATGTCACTCAAATCAAGTTTATCTGCAAGGCACCTGCCATGTGCTAGATGGGACATTTCCACTTTGGTTTCTCCCTACCTAATGCCAAACTCTGAATACAGGTCTGGGGAGACAGAGTGGTGACAGACACTTGGTGGGCAGACCTCTAAACCACTGTGCCCAGGAAAAGCAGAGAGGACTCCAGAGGCTTCCAGGAATTAAGGAGCAAGCATGGGGAGGGGCAGAGCCGGGGTTGGGGCAAAGGTCCATCCAGCTGGAGGCCCAAGCCTGAGCTTTCTGCCCTATTAAGCCCTAGTGCAGTTTCTCAGCTTCAGCATTACTGTCCTTTGGGGCCAGATAATTCTTTGCTGGGGGGTGGGTGGGTGCACTGTAGGATATTCAGCAGCATCCCTGGTCTCTGCCCATTAGATGCCAGTAGCACTTCATCCCCCGCAGCTCCAGGTTGTGACAGCCAAATTGTCTTCAGACATTTTTAAATGTCTCCTGGGGGACAAAATTGCCCCCAGCTGAGAACCACGATCTAGTAGAAAGGGCCGAATAGCAGAGATGGCACCCGGGGTCCTACTCGGATCCAGCCCTGGAGTATTCTCAGGCAAGTAACTGGCTGGCCTCAGTTTCCCCTTCTGTGAACCAAGGCCTCAGTTTTTTAGACCCATCTCCCTCAGATCTAATGTCACGGGAGTCCAGAATTCTCTCCTCTCTCTGTTCCCCCCACTTCACCAATGGATGTCCCCCACATCTGCCTGCTCGGCATTTTGGGGGCCTTCTGTGAGCCCCCCACATCTGCCTGCTCAGCATTTTGGGGGCTTCCAGTGAGCCCCCCCACATCTGCCTGCTCAGCATTTTGGGGGCCTTCTGTGAGCCCGCCTCTGTCTTCACCTATCCCTTAGGCACCCCCTTTTCCCAGGACCCAGCTCTACCTCCTTGTTCTTTTCCAGACAGAGGAGAGCTCTGCTTGGCTCCCCTCTATCACCCTCCACCCACAAACTAACATGTCTAAAATCAGCCACTTCACTCCTCACACCTTCCCAGGAAGCCGAATACCCCTTAGGACTAGTCACTACCCCTCTCTCCCTCCCTAGCCCTCTGAATCTTCTCCCCCAATTTCCTGCTCATCCAGCCCCTCCTTTCTCCAGCTGTCCTAGGTTAAGACTTTATAACCAGATGCCCAGATCACGGGTGGCCACAGGACATTAGGAGAAAAGGCACCAGATTATCTGGGTGCTGATCCCCACTCCGCCATTTGCTAGCTGTGACCATGGGCAAGTGACTTCATCTCTCTGACCCTCAGTCTCAGCCTCCAAAATGGGAATAACATCAGGCACGTGTGAGTAACTAATGACTTTGTGTAAAGCCCTGGAATGCAATAAAAACCTGTATGTACACCTATCAGCAGCAGCATCATGACAGCCCCACTCATGCAGGCTGGTCCTGTGGGCACTGCAGGTCATACTCTGATGAACTGCCCCTGCCAGCAGTTGAGAGTTTGGACTTCTTTTATTTATTTATTTTTTTGAGATGGAGTCTTGCCCTGTCACCCAGACTGGAGTGCGGTGGCATGATTTTGGCTCACTGCAAGCTCCGCCTGCTGGGTTCAAGCAATTCTCCTGCCTCAGCCTCCCGAGTAGCTGGGACTACAGGCGTGTGCCACCACACCCGGCTAATTTTTTGTATTTTTAGTGGAGACGGGGTTTCACCGTGTTAGGATGGTCTCGATCTCCTGACCTCATGATCCACCCGCCTCAGTCTCCAAAGTGCTGGGATTACAGGCGTGAGCCACCGCGCCCAGCGGAGTTTGGACTTCTTAACTTGGCACTCAAGGCCATGCACAATGGTGGCACCACTATTTGCAAAACGAGCATGTGCACTCCACGTAGGCCTCACACCCCACCTTGGGGATGTTCACAGGCCTTCCAGGCTAGACTACAACTCTAGCACAGGGAAGCCAGAGCAAGCTGCCCTAGGACTAGGCTCTCAGCCCTCGGGGCTCCCAGGTTTGGGTGGATGAAGGGTGTGGCTCTCCACCGAGGACCAGAGGGAGCAGGAGAGTAAGCACTCCTAGTGCCCCAGTAGAGAGAAAGCGCCACCCCAGCCCCCAGCAGCTACAGCATCTGATCTGCCCAGTCTCAGGGCAAGCAGGGCAAGGGCCAGTCACTGTTTTGCAACTGAGGACACTGGGTACCAGAGAAAGTGGCTGTCCTCCTCAAGGTCACACAGTCAGGCTGGGGTAAAGCTGGGCCAGCCTCCCCTGGGAGGTTTCGACGTCTCCTCTCCAGACTCTACGTTCTGGGTGTCCAGGGGGCCTGCAGCCGCTGGGCCAGGGAAAAAGGGACAAAATGAGGCCAGTCCCTCCACCCCTGCGTCCCCATCTTACAGCTAGGGGTGGACCCAGGCCCGCGGACAGGAAGGAAGGAATGTAGGATGGCAGGACAGATGGGCAGGGCGGGAGGGGAGAGGGTCATCTCTTCTCCCCCCGAGTTGGGCCCTACCTGGGGAGCTGCCCACTGGAGCTCCTGGACTCAGAGCCGCCGCCTCTACCTACGTGCACAGGCTCCACAGGTGAGTGTCTTCGGCCCTCAGTCACTTGGCGCTTCCGGGTCCTCTAAGACAGGGTGAGAGCACGGCTCCACTCCTTCTACGATCCTAGTGCGGCCTCCACAGGCCCCAATCTGCCCAGGCTCCACTCCCTGGAAAGACCCCGCCCCTGCTCCGATCCCCGCCCAGGGCGCCCTTTGGCCTCGGAGGCGGGGGCGGGGCCAGACTTCATGCCCCGCCCACCAGACCCCGCCCCAAGTCCCTGTGCCACCGCCTGCCCCACCTCCAGAAAAGTGTGGATTTCGGAACGGGGCGGACCTAGCTCCTCCCAGATTTGCTTCCAGCTTGCTGTGTGATCTTGGGTGAATTCCTTCCTCAATTTGATCCCATTTCCTGTTTTGTCAAGGGGGAAAGCCGCCTTGCAGGATTTTAGAGATGACATGAAATGACTTTGCGCGGCTCCTGGCGCTCAAACGTCCCCTCCTGGGGGCAGCTTTTCCTGAACCCACCCGTATCTCCCAGACTGGACAGGCCCCTCGCGTCATCTGTTCGCATAGCCCACAGTTGTAATTTCATATTTGCTTGAATGACTACTTGATTAATGTATATCTCTTCATTTAAATTTGAACTCTGAGAGCAGGTCACGTACATCCTTACACTCCAGCGCTTATCAGTACCTCGCCTGACAAACAGCAGGCGCTCCATAAATGCCCGCACCTTCATTCCATCCCTGGGACGTTCTGGTCGAGCGGCAGCGGGCTCAATACTGACACTGGCCAGCAGGGGGCAGGCGGTGATCAGCCTTCTGGCCCAGCCGCGCTCCCTCCCTGTCTGCAGGCACTGCGGGAGGGGACAGGTGAGCCCAGGTGCGCCGAGGCACGCGGAAGGTGCATTTACTCTCGTGCCTTGGGCAAGGCCCGGGCCGGGAACGGCTTTTTCCTCTTGGATCTGTGGCTCGCGGCTTTCCTGGACCAAAGACCTTTCCGACGCCCTATGGCCCCTGCAAAGAAGCTGCCCTGAGAAGGGCCTGGAGATGAAGTAATTTGTTCTAAAAGAGAGAGGGCACCGAGGAAAGGCTTGGCGGAGCAGCAACGGCGACGAGCCAGGCTTAGAAACGACTGGGCGGTGAGGAGGAGAGGTAGCTGCCATTATTCTGACTCAGGGTGACAGAACCTGTTTGGAAGTGACTGGCCTCAGTTGTCCTCATTTTGGCAGAAGTCATTTAGTATCAGTCCTGATCCCAGGTAGTGTCTGGCTGCTATCTCAGAAGAGCCCTGTTGGGAGCAGAGCTATGTCAAGGTGGCCAGGAGGGCAGCGTCATACATACCATTTTCTGTAACATCAGGAAATCCCTGAAGGGAGCCCGAGAAGGAAGGAAGGAGAGGTCACAGGTTGGGGCTACAGATGCCGAAATCAATTTACCTCTTTGAGCCTCAATTTCATCGGCAAAGGTGGTGATAAAAGCTACCTTGCAGGATTCTATTGTGAGGATTTACAGGATGAATTAAATAAGTGGTTCTCAACCTTGACTGTGTGTTAGAATCACTGTGCCCTAGACGAATACTGATGCCCCGGATACTGGGAGTTTAAAAACCTCTCCAGTTGGTTGTAATGTACAAACAAGGCTGAGAACTGCTGATCCAAATTAAATGCAGAGCACAGCGCCAGGGCACACACTAGGCATTCAGGAATGTTTATCACATATTTATTTTTATTTAAAAAATTTTTGTGTCACACATTTTTAAAGATGGAGCACAAATTGTTTTCATTGTTCATTGTTAGAGGAAAAAAAGTTGATATAAAGGTTGTTGCAGAAATTGCATTTGCGGCTGGGGTGAGGTGGCTTACGCCTGCAATCCCAGCACTTTGGGAGGCAGAGGTGGGCGGATCGTCTGAGGTCAGGAGTTGGAGACCAGCCTGGCCAACACGGTGAAACCCCATCTCTGTTTTTTTGTTTTTGTTTTTGTTTTGAGATGAAGTCTCGCTCTGTCACTCAGGCTGGAGTGCAGTGGCACCATCTCTGCTCACTGCAAGCTCCACTTTCCGGGTTCACGCCATTCTCCTGCCTCAGCCTCCTGAGTAGCTGGGACTACAGGGGCCCATCCCCATGCCCAGCTAATTTTTTGTATTTTTAGTAGAGACAGGGTTTCACTGTGTTAGCCAGGATGGTCTCGATCTCCTGACCTCGTGATCCACCCACCTCAGCCTCCCAAAGTGTTGGGATTACAGGCGTTAGCCACTGCGCTCGGTCCCCCGTCTCTATTAAAAATACAAAAAAAAAAAAAATTAGCCAGGCATGGTGGTGCACAGCTGTAGTCTCAGCTACTCAGGAGGCTGAGGCAGGAGAATCACTTGAACCGAGGAGGTGGAGGTTGCAGTGAGCTGAGATGGCGCCTCTGTACTCCACCCTGGGTGACAGAGCAAGACATTGTCTCAAAAAAAAAAAAAAAGAAAAAGAAAAATTGCATTTCTGACAGGCTCGTTTCTGGAACTCTCAATCATCTGGGATTTGGTGATGAGGGTAGGAGAAGAAAGGCAGATAGAACAGCCTCTGCTAGTATGACTTGTTCTAACACTGAATGGAACTGAATAAGGCAGAGACTGTCCCACTCTAGCTTGTGGTTGACATCACCATCTCCAGGGCTTTCTCTGAGGGTGCAAGCAGCATGGACACTTGTGTTTGCCCATTTCTGGGGTTGAAGGTGGAGGCCATTTTTTCCTCTGCTTGGGTATACTCATCGGATGAGCCTATATCACTGGCAGCTGTTTGTTTCTTCATTAATCCAAGAATGCAGGTGGTACTTCCTTCTTTACAGAATTTGGTAGCTTATGTGTTTTATTGTTTTTTTGTTTTGTTTTAGACAGGGTCTGGCTCTGTCACCCAGGATGGAGTGCAGTGGCACAATCACAGCTCACTGCACCCTTGACCTCCTGGGCTCAAGCAATTCTCCTACTTCAGCCTCTCGAGGAGCTGGGACCACAGGCATGCATGATCACACCTGGCTTTTTTTTTTTTTTTTTTTTTTTTTTAGAGACAGAGTCTCGCTCTGTTGCCCAGGCTGGAGTGTAGTGGCACAATCTCGGCTTATTGCAACCTCCGCCTCCCAGGTTCAAGCGATTATTTGCTTCAGCCTCATGAGTAGCTGGGATTACAGGTGCCTGCCACCATGCCTGGCTAATTTTTGTATTTTTAGGAGAGATAGAGTTTTGCCATCTTAGCCAGGCTGGTCTTGAACTCTTGACCTCATGATCCACCCGCCTGGGCCTCCCAAAGTGCTGGTATTACAGGCGTGAGCCACGGTGCCCAGCCACATCTAGCTAATTTTTAAAAATTTTTTGTAGGGATGGGTGTCTCACTATGTCACCCAGGCTGGTCCCGAACTCCTGGGCTCAAGCAATCCTCTTGTCTCTGCCTCTCAAAGTCCTGGGATGAGTCATTCCATTCACCCTATGTGCTTTGTTAATTTACAGACCCAGTGGTTAGTGACTGTGCCCCTCTACTTTCTTGCTGGGTGAACCTGGCATGAGGTGAGAGGGCCCCCTTACCCAGGCCTGTAGTTGTGATCACTCAGAGCAGCAATACTGGCTTCTGGGAGCAGCTCATCAATCACTCCTGGTGGCTTTGTTGAAGGTGGGAAGGGAGGCAGTGGACCCTGGGGCTGGGTCTCCCACTGCATGCAGGACTAAGGGCTGGGGGGCAGGCAACTGGTGTCTAGTTGGGATTGCCAGATTCAGCAAATAAAAATAAAGGACACTCATGTAAATCTGAATTTCAGATGCACAGCAACTGCTTTTTAATATAAGTATACCCAAGCAATATTTGGGACATACTTATACTAAAAGAAAGTATTCATTATTCATCTGAGATTCAAATTTAACTGGACATACTTTATCTTCTTTGCTAAATCTGGCAACCCTATGTCTAGCCAAACAGCCAAGTCTCCAGCACGTGGGACTTGCTGCCGGCAATGGCCTCTGCCCCATGTTGCCACATTCAGCTTCCACCTGTCACTGCCCAGCTCCAGAACTGTGCGTGGCTCCCAGTTACTTCTACAGGACACTCCCTGGCTGCTGTGCTGGGCCTTGGCTCTTCTGCCAGCCCAGCTGACCTGCTTGGGACCTTTCCCATCTCTGCTCCTGTTCATGCTTTCCCTGCCTGCCATGTCTCCTGCCTACTCCCAGGAGGGATCGCTAACATTTATTGAGCACCTACTGGGTGCATGAGTTCTTCATTTGCATTATCTCATTGGATTTTCACAAAACCCAGGATAATGGGGACAGTAGTTATCCCATTTTACCAGTGAAGAAACTGACACCCTGAGATGGGGATTTGTGTGATCTTGGCTCACTGCAACCTCTGCCTCCCAGGTTCAAGCAATTCTCCTGCCTCAGCCTCCCAAGTAGCTGGGATTACAGGCGCCCACCACCACGCCTAGCTAATTTTTGTATTTTTAGTAGAAACGGGGTTTCACCATGTTGGGCAGGCTGATCTCAAACTCCTGACCTCAAGTGATCCACCCACCTTGGCCTCCCAAAGGTGCTGGGATTACAGGCGTGAGCCACCATGCCAGGCTAACAGTGATTCTTTTTTTTTTTTTTTTTTTTTGAGATGGAGTCTCGCTCTTTCACCCAGGCTGGAGTGCAGTGACGCAATCTTGGCTCACTGCAACCTCTGCCTCCCAGGTTCAAGTGATTCTCCTGCCTCAGCCTCCTGAGTAGCTGGGATTACAGGTTTACAGGTTCGTGCCACCATGCCCGGCTAATTTTCGTATTTTGAGTAGAGAGGGAGTTTCACCGTGTTGGCCAAGCTGGTCTCGAACTCCTGACCTCAAGTGATCCACCCACCTTGGCTTCCCAAAGTGCTGGGATTACAGGCGTGAGCCACAGCACCCAGCCCCAACAGTGATTCTTAAAGTGTGGTCCCTGGACCAGCAGCAGCACTTGGGAACTTGTTAGAAATACCAGTTCTCAGGCCCTACCCCAGACCTACTGAATCAGAAACTCTGGGGGTAGGGCCCAGAATCTGTATTTTAATAAGTCCCTCCCTGCCTGCACCACCAAGTGGATTCTGATGCTCACTCTAGTCTGAGACCTGCTGCTGTAAAAGATAAAGTGACTACCAGACTCTCCCATCCCGGCAGAGGAACAGAGGACAACAGGGTGATTGTGTTCTTCCTGAGCACCATGCCTGGGCCAGGCACTAGAGATGCTGCAGGAGCCCCATAGTCTTAGAGGATGGGGAGGGGAGGGGAAGAACAGACCAGCAGCCAGGGAATTGCAATATAAGATGATGAAACCTGAGGTGGGGCAAGCCCAGGAGCCCATAGTGGGGTGGGAAGGGTCAGAGAATGCTTTCCAGAGAGTGGAAAAGTAAGTTGGAATTAGGTGAAGACAGGTGAGCACAGTGATCCAGGTGCAGGGACTCATTTGTACAAAGGCCAGGCTGAGCCACCTGGGGATAGTTTAGGTTGGGAGGTGGGAAGGGTATAAAATCCCTGCCCTCAGAGCGAAGGAAGACGCTGTAGTGAGTGCTGAGGGTAAAGCCTCTGCCTTCCAGGTGGAGTAAATGCTGGAGAAGATGGAAATTGGGGTGTGAAGAGAGACCCAGGAGGTGCCAGGCCTCCCCACTTCCTTCAATCCAGGAGCTTTTGCTCTCAAGACATTTGCTCAACCCCCAGCCATGTCAGTGAGCAGTGGGCAGGTACGTGGTTGCGAGGTCGGGGCTGCCGGGTCCAAGCGCAGCTCCTTCCTAGGCTAGGTGAGAGATGGAGCTGGGGGAGCAGCCCCCTCCGCCCCCGGCTGGAGAGGTTCCTGCTCTGTGTCCCTGGCTGGGTTGCTTTTGCCTTCCTTGTTTCCTTCTCCTGAGGATGTGGCCAGAACTGTGCACAGCCACTGGGGGCCTCTCCTCCCAGCCAATGGAAACAATTCCTGGATGTTATCAGGGACCCTCAGGCTGGAGGGCAGGAGACTTCTGTTGCCATCCGCAGCTCCTGCTAAAGGTACCTTTTGTGCCAGATGAGGAGTGACCCGGCTTGTCTAGATTGCAACTGTGCGGTTCCCGACTCCCGGAAAGACGTCAGTTTAGCAGCCTTTTTGGAATTTGTTTGTAATTTCTAGCCTGGAGAGGAATCCTGAAAGATCATTAACCAATGTAGGAAGTGGAGCTTTCTGTGGCCTAAAAATCCCTTCAGGATTTCCCAACTGCCCCATGGGTTTGATCCTCAACAAAGGGACCTCCTATTCTTTTTCTTCTTGGGGTGTACCTTCTGCCCCCACCCGCCCTCCATCTGGCATGTGGACCATGTCTTAAGCTTTGCAACTCCAAGAGGATCTGGCACAGTGCCCTCCACTTAGATATTCAGAAATATTGTTTACAGAATATCAGTTTATGCTGGGCCTTGAACTATATATAGATGGGGTAAATATAGGAGGCAATAGGCAGTCTAAGTGGGTGGAAGTGGTGAGTGAAGGCATGGGTATTGAAGACAAAGCGAATGCAAGGAGATAACCTTGAATATGGGGCAAAACCATGGGCACTGGGGAGCTATCAATGATTATTGAGCAGGAGAGTGATACGGTATTGCTAGTCACTAGACTAGGCCCTTTGTATAAGTTGTACACACCATCTGCTTTCACCGTCCTGCCCCTTCTCTGCTTGGACAGTTCTTCCCTCCCTCTGTCCACATTGTTGATGCCAACTCATTTTTCAGATTCCAGATCCATTGTTACTGTCTTCAGTGGCAGACAGACTCTAAGGTGGCCCCTGCATTTCTGCCTCCTGGTGTTCATGCCTTTGTGTCATCCCTTTCACTGAAGTGTGGGTAGGACCTGTGACTTGCTTTTAACCAATAGAATATGGCAAAGGTAATGGAATATCACTCCTGTGATTATGTTACATTTTATAATATTCTGCTTTGGCCAGGTGTGGTGGCTCACGCCTGTAATCCTAGCATTTTGGGAGGCTGAGGCAGGAGGATTGCTTGAGCCCAGGAGATTGAGACCAGCCTGGGCAACATAGTGAGACCCTGACTCTACAAAAAATAAAAAAAAATTAGCTGAGTGTGGTAGCACGTGCCTGTAGTCTCAGCTACTTGGCGGACTGAGGTGGGAGGATTGCTTGAGAGCAGGAGGTTGAGGCTGCAGTGAACTGTGATTCTGTGATCATGCCACTGTACTCCAGCTTGGGCAACTGAGTAAGACCCTGTCTCCAAGAAGAAGGAAGTTGCATTTTACAATGACCATTTAGAAATGAATCCATAAAAAAAAATCAGATCAGCACTTTATCAGAGTAAAATTTGACAGAAGAAAGCCCTATGATATTTATGTTATCATGGTTCCTGTCTACATTTTAATCCTTTTTTACAATTTTATTTATTTTTTTAAAGATAGAGACTCTGTTGCCCAGACTGGACTGCAGTGGTGCGATCTCAGCTCACTGTGACCTTTGCCTCCTGGGTTGAAGTGATTCTCCTGCCTCAGCCTCCTGAGTAGCTGGGATTACAAGCGTGTGCCACATGCCTGGCTAATTTTTTGTGTTTTTAGTGGAGACAGGGTTTCACCATGTTGGCCAGGCTGGTCTCAAACTCCTGGCCTCATGTGATCCACCCGCCCCAGCCTCCCAAAGTGCTGGGATTACAGATGTGAGCCACTGCACCTGGCCTTAATCCTAAAATTAATAATTTCAGGATTAAAATGTACACAGGCACCATGATAATAACATTTAAGGATCGACTTTCCTCTGTGCAGTGAGAAACAGACCCCCAAGACCAGTGTGAAAGTAATGAAAAATTAATTTTAACATGAAAAATTTTCATCCAGTTTTAGAAAAATACTTAGAAAACAACCTGACCTTCTAAAACATGAAATTTATTTGGGGTTTTTCTATGATTATAACGAACTAGGCATAATTGTGTCTTAGAATTGAGTAGAGTCTTAGAATTGAGTAGAAAAATAACGTACTAATTCTCTTGATAAATTTTAAAATACTAATTCTGTTAAAATCTTGATTGTGAAAGAACCTAGACAACTCGCACTGAAAAAAATACCAACACAGATAATATACACATTAATCACATACATATACAGTCACACAAAGAATCTAAACTGGTGATTTTAACAAGCTAGGCAAAATACCATATATACTTGAATATAAGATAATGCCAAGCCATGAGCATAAAATTGAGGCAGTCACTTTATTTTGTTTTGTTTTGTTTTGTTTGAGATGGAGTCTTGCTCTGTAGCCCAGGCTAGATAGAGTGCAGTAGAGCAATCTCGGCTCACCGCAAGCTCCACCTCCCAGGTTCACTCCATTCTCCTGCCCCAGCCTCCCGAGTAGCTGGGACTACAGGCGCCCACCACCAAGCCCGGCTAATTTTTTGTATTTTTAGTAGAGACGGAGTTTCACCGTGTTAGCCAGGATGGTCTCAATCTCCTGACTTCGTGATCTGCCCGCCTCGACCTCCCAAAGTGCTGGGACTACAGGCGTGAGCCACCGCGCCCAGCAATGACTTTATTTTGAACAAGAAAGTGGCATAAGCAACTCAGAATGTGTCGCCTAACATAAGAGCTCTTCCCTCTATGTGTATAATTCCCCACCTCAGTGTATAATTTTGGGAGAAAAAAAGTGTCTTCTATCTGGTTATCTACCATTGCACCTTGTTACAAGGCAGGCACAATATCATGTCCAGATAGAACATCTAAGGAGATACATTTTGGGAGATGAAACTCTCATTTGGACTAAAGATGAGTGCATGTACTAACACAGGGCTACTGAACCACTAGTCTTGATTGCATTAGACAAAACGAAGGTGACTTGTCTTCATTTCCACAGTTGCTTCCATGTAAAAATCAGTTTTATTGCTCCTTTCATTAAAAAATATTCTGAGCCAGGCACGGTGGCTCATGCCTGTAATCCCAAAACTTTGAGAGGCTGAGTCAGGCAGATCACTTGAGGCCAGGTGTTTGAGACCAGCCTGGCCAACATGTTGAAACCCTGTTTCTATTAGCCGGGTGTGATGATGTGCACCTGTATACAAGCTACTCAGGAGGCTGAGGCATGAGAACCACTTGAGCCTGGGAGGTGGAGATTGCAGCGAGCTGGAATCATGCCACTGCACTCCAGCCTGGGCAGCAGAGTGAGACTCTGTCTCAAAAAATAAAAATAAGATAAAAAACATTCTGATCAAATAATCTTGCAAAGGAAAGACAAGTTTACCGTATAAAAGCAAAGAGAAAAATGATTTTGTGCTCAGTTACGTTTAGGACCTTCACAAAGTACATGTTCTCAGGGAGCCCTGCTATGCTGTCTGTGCCAGAAATTTCATGTATTGTCCCTGGACATTGAAATGGTCAGCTGGCCCATTGTATGCTGTCCACACTGGGTCTCCCTGAATGGCCATATGGCCTTCACGTACTTCTTTTCATCCAGAGTGAGGTGGTGACGAATTCCTGTGGGGAGAGTTATGTCTCCTTTCTCCATGAAGATGTAGATTCACTTGTCTTCTTTATCTGTCATATCAAAAGTATCCACTGCCACCCGGGATGTAACAGATCCGATCATCCAAGTGTAAATGCTCCCCATAAAACACCTTAATCTTTTCTTCATAATTTGGTAATTTATCTTTACATATGGTTATTATGTCTATCCAGGAGTAGCTTCTCTCTCTTTGAGTCTTTTCTAATTCTGGATCATTCTCTCATTTGTCAGTGTCCAGCTTTAGTAGTGCACCCTGAGCCAGCATGGCTGTTTCTGGCCCACTGGGTGGCCAGGGGCTCGGGGTGGTGGGGCTGCCTCCAGCAGTCTGGGAACTCATCCATGTACTAGGCCTGCACCATGGCTGCAGATGCTAACAGGCAGAGTGGGGCTAGAGAGGGGAGGCTGCATGGAAGGGCTGCCACTGGGAGTGAGGGGCTGTTGTGATTAGAACTCAAGGCTCTCAGGAGCTGGACAAAAGGTAGAAACTGTTGTTATAGATGAGGAAAAGGAAACCAATTATTGAGTACACTTAAAAGTATACTTGGTCAGATGCAGTGGTTCATGTCTTTAATCCCAACACTTTGGGAGGCTGAGATGGGAGGATCGCTTGAGCCCAGGATTTCAAGGTTGCAGAGCTGTGATTACACCACTGCACACCAGCCTGAGTGACAGCGTAAGACTCTCTCTTTAAAAAAAAAAAAAAAAAAAAAAAGCACACTGGCTGTTTCCTCTGCCCAGAAGTTTCTTTCCCTAGATGCCTACCTGGCTGGCTCCCTCACTAACCTCAAGACCACACCAATGTCCATGAAGTCTACCCTGACCATGCCCAGACACCTCTCTGTGCTCTAATCTTTTCCAGTAGCCCTAACAACTTCCTTGAGTGCTAATTCACTTCTTGAGGATGTCTGGTATGTGTGTGTCTCCCTCCAAAAGAATGCAGGCCCCGTGAGGACAAGACATCTGATCTGTCTTCACTGACAGTTCCTAAGAACAGTCTGGGGCCGGGCACGGTGGCTCACGCCTGTAATCCCAACAGTTTGGGAGGCCAACACGGGTGGATCACTTGAGGCTAGGAGTTCAAGACCAGCCAGGCCAAGATGGTGAAACCCTGTCTGTACCAAAAATATAAAAATTAGCCAAGTGTGGTGGTGCATGCCTCTAATCCCAGCTCATGGGGAGGCTGAGGCAGGAGAATTGCTTGAACTGGAGGTGGAGGTTGCAGTGTGCCGAGATGGTGCTACTGCACTCCAGTGAATGAGACTCCGTCTCAAAGAAACAAACAAAAAGCATCTGGCACATAGTAGGTCTCTGATAAAGATTAGTGAGTGAATGTCCACATCTTTAAAGGTTTTGCCTGTACCTTGAAGTCTCTGTTCCTTGGGGCTGCCTCTTTGCCCAGTACTCTTGACCCTGTCCCAGGTGATATGACCTGTTGCCCAGTGTCTGCCTGATCAGTAGGGTCTTCCTAGAGTGCCAGCGTTTTGACCTCCATGTGTCCCCACTAAATTGCCAGCATGTGTGAAATACTAAATTCCAGCTGTTTTTGTTTTTGCAGGGCAAGAGGGTTAAAGAAGGAGTAGGAAGAGGGGGAGCTGATGAGAGGAGCAATGGTCAGAGTGGAGGGGGTGGAGAGAGAATACAGTCACAGATTTCCCCACCCCATCAACTTTCCAAGCAGCTCAGAGCGGCAGCAGAGCCGCGAGTGAGGGCTGCGCACCACATATCCGGAGCTGTGTGCCACGTGGCAGAAGCTGTCCCGTTGAGTCATGGGATGTACTGCTGCACTGCTCTAGAGTTTGGTGTGTAGAGTATTTTTGGTTTTTACAGTCCAGCTCTCTGTGTAATGACTTCCTTCCCGTGGCCTTGTTCATCGAGGTGTCCCTGAACGACTAGCTGAGTCACAACATTCCTTGCAGCTTAAAACACTGACCCAAGGCAGTTTCTCCATGTAGTTAGGGACTTAGAAGGCTGCCAGGGAGTGCCTAGGGAAGACAGTCTGTAGTGCTCCTGTCTCTAACAGGCACCCCTCCCCGAAAACATTTAAAAAGCAAGTGAAAATAGAGAACAAATTCCATCTGTTAAGTCACTAGGAAATGGCCTCAGCCCTGCCACAACCTGAAGAATAATTTGTCAGTGACCATGAAGTCAATTTCAAATTGAATCGGGGCACCAGGAATGAACATCCATCGTCTCAGTGTTACTGCAACGCGAAGGGTCAGAAACCCATGTGAAGAGATTGGACTGGTGGGAATATAAACTTGCTCAGCCCTTCTATAAAATAAGCCAGTAGTTCTGAGTAAAATTAAGTATGCATAGGGCTCAGTAGTGTAGCAGTCTCATGCCTGGAAATACATTTTGAAGAAAGTTTGCTCAGATCCGCAAGAAGACAAGCAGGAGGTTATTTGTTACAGTGTTAATGGCATACAGGAACTAGAGGCAAAGGAACTAGGGGATGAGTTAGTAAAATGTTGTGGATACATACCTTGGAATTCTACATGAAATAGACATAAAACAGCATGGATGGAATTTATAGTGTTAAGTGGAAGAAAACAGTAAAAGATTTAAAACACAAGGCCAGGCGTGGTGGCTCATGCCTGTAATCCCAACATTTCAGGAGGTCAAGGAGGGAGGGCTGCTTGAAGCCAGGATTTTGAGATCAACCTGGGCAACAAAGCAAGAGGCTGTCTGTACAAAAAAAATTTGTTTAATTATCTGGGTATGGTGGTGCGTGCCTGTAGTCCTAGCTACTCTGGAGGCTGAGGCAAGAGGATTGCTTGAGCCCAAGAGTTGGAAGCTGCAGTGAGCTATGATCACACTACTGTGCTCCAGTCTGGGCAGAGGAGTGAGACCCTGTCGTGCCAAAAAAAAAAAAAAAAAAAAAAAAAAAAACGGTGGGGAGAGATTTAAAACACAACCTTTTTTCAGTTTTACTGAGGTATAATTGATGTATAATAAAACACATATCTAGGCCAGGCGCAGTGGCTCACGCCTGTAATCCCAGCACTTTGGGGAGGCCGAGGCGGGCGGATCACGAGGTCAGGAGATCGAGACCATCCTGGCTAACATGGTGAAACCCCGTCTCTACTAAAAAATACAAAAAATTAGCTGGGCGTGGTGGCGGGCGCCTGTAGTCCCAGCTACTCGGGAGGCTGAGGCAGGAGAATGGCGTGAACCCGGGAGGCGAAGCTTGCAGTGAGCAGAGATGGCGCCACTGCACTCCAGCCTGGGCGACAGAGTGAGACTCCATCTCAAAAAACAAAACAAAACAAAAAAACACATATCTAAAGTGTACACTGAGTTTTGATGTGTGTACCTGTGAAATGATCACCACAATCAAGGTAATAAGTATATTAATCACACCCAGAATTATGAAGTTTCCATCACCCCCTAAATTATGAAGTAGGTCTCTATGTATTAAAATATGTTTAACAGATGTTTAGCAGCTACTGTTAAGTTTTAAAAAGGTAAACAATACATGTAATATAATACCATATTTATAATAAAAAACGTTTAGATACCCTAAAAAAATCTGGAGGAACATACAACAAACTTAATTATGTTTATTGTTGAGAATCTTTCCAGAGCTGCATGGCCTTCTTTTGCTAATGTGCAGTGCACCTCAGGAATTGCTTGTTGTCCCATATCGTGGCCTCCAGTGCCTGATGAAAGTTTAGCATGCTATAAATGGGTCATTATGACCCCCTAACTTTCAGTGACTTTATTAAAATAACCCTGTAGCTGGGTATGGTGGCTCACACTTGTAATCATACCACTTTGGGAGGCTGAAGCAGGTGGATCACTTGAGCCAGGAGTTTGAGACCAGCCTGGGCTACATAGTGAAACCCTGTCTCTACAAAAAAAAATAGAAAAATTAGTTGGGCATGGTGCTGCGTTAGTCCCAGCTACTCAGGAGGATCACTTGAACCCGGGAGGTCGAGGCCGCAGTGAGCCATGATAGTGACAGTGCACTCCAGCCTGGGTGACAGTGAGCCCCTGTCTCAAAAAAAAAAAAAAAAAAGTAACACTGAAGTCATCACAATGGATTCTAACAGAAGGGTGGCCTGACCGTAATAATGTTCTCTATCCCCACAGCAGAGAGCTGTCAGTCACTTCCTTGAATTCCCTCACCTCGAAGGCCAGTTTCTCTCCTCATCCCTGCATGCAGGAGATATTCCAGTAGGGGGTTGGTTTTCTGTGCCTGGGTACAAAATGGTGATTCCCTAACTAGTTACCATGAAATCTGTCTCTATTACCACTCTTTCTGTGTCTCATAAGTAGAGGAGTGGTGGGGGATTGTGGGGGAGGGACATGTTTGGTTTTGTGTGGCTATGGGTTTTATAGAAAGGCAGTCTTAAGATGTGTGTGTGACTTCTCTGGCTTCACACTCGTTATCAGATTCTTCCATGGTACTGTGCACAGCTATACTTCACTCATTTTCAGTGTTGTCTGTAGTGTTCTGCTGAGTGAATATATCACAATTTATTCCATCTGCTACTGATGGGCATTTGGGTTGTTTCCAACGTGGGGTTATTATAAATAATGCTGCTGTGAACATTCTTGTACATGTCTACTGCTGTATCTGGGCATGTGTTTCTCATGGGTATGTATTTTGGAGCAGAATTTCTGGGTTATGAGCTATGCCTATGCTTAACTTAAAATAATGCTACTGGGTGCGGTTGCTCACGCCTGTAATCCCAGCACTTTGGGAGACTGAGGTGGGTGGATCACAAGGTCAGGAGATCAAGACCATCCTGGCCAACAGGGTGAAACCCCGTCTCTACTAAAAATACAAAAAATTAGCAGGGCATGGCAGCATACACCTGTAGTCCCAGCTACTTGGGAGGCTGAGGCAGGAGAATTTCTTGAACCCTGGGGGTAGAGGCTGCAGTGAGCCAAGATCGCGCCACTGCGCTCAAGCTTGGGACAGAGCGAGACTGTGTCTCAAAAAAAAATAATAATGCCAAACTGTTTTCCAAAATGTTTATACAAGTGCACTCCCTTCAGCAATGTATAAGAGCTTCCCTTATACATTCACCAACAGTTGTTACTGTCAGACTTGGAATGTTTAGCCACCTGGATCTGTAGTAGTTGTTCGCTGTATTTCATTTTCATCATTAATGAGGCTAAGCACTTGCTACATGTTTATTGGCTGTTTGGATTTGTGTCTGTGTGTGTGTGTGTGTGTGTGTGTGTGTGAAGAGCCTATTTTTGCCCATTTTTCTATTGGTCTATATAGTAGTTTTTGTATATTTTGGATATAAAACTTTTGTTATGTGCATGGCAAATCTGTGGCTTGCTTCTTCACTCTCTTAGTGATGTCTCTTGTTGAACAGTTCTTAATTGTAAAAAAAAAAAGTGCAATTTATCGATCTTTCCTATGGCTAGTGCTTTTTCTGTTCTGTTTAAGAAAACTTTTTTTCTTTTTTTTTTTTTTTTTTTGAGGCGGAGTCTCGCTCTTGCCCAGGCTGGAGTGCAGTGGCACGACCTCGGCTCACTGCAAGCTCGGCCTCCTGGGTTCACGCCATTTTCCTGCCTCAGCCTCCCAAGTAGCTGGGACTACAGGCGCCCGCTACCATGCTCGGCAATTTTTTTAGTATTTTTAGTAGAGATGGGGTTTCACCATGTTAGCCAGGATGGTCTCAATCTCCTGACCTCATGATCCGTCTGCCTCGGCCTCCCAAGTGCTGGGATTACAGGCTTGAGCCACTGCGCCCGGCCAAGAAAACTTTTTCTACCTTGAGGTTATGAAGATATTATTGTATGTTATCATCTAAAATTTATTGTTTTACCTTTCATGTTTAAGTCCATATCCAAAAAAATTGGTTTGGCTGTTCATTGAATAAGTGAAGTTTAGTTGGAGCAACATATCACATATATGCACCCATTCATTCAAGATATATTTATTGAGTATCTTCTGTATGTCAGGCCATGATTATAGTTTTATTTTGTGTATTTAGGTCATAAGCAATCCACCTGCCTTAGCCTCCCAAAGTGCTGGGATTACAGGAGTGAGCTACCAGACCTGGCCAGCGTCAAATAGTTGAGTCTTGTTTGTTTGTTTTAATTTCAGTTTGTTAATTTTCCCCTTTTGCTAGAATATTTAGTCCATTCCCATTTAATATAATTACAGATATGATTTCAAACCATTTAAGTATATAATCTGGCTATTTAAAAAAATCTATTTGTCCTACCTGGCTTTTGTCCCTGTTTAATTTTTTTGTCCTTCTTTTGGAGTAGCCAAGTATTTTTTATTCCATTTTATTATCTCCATTTGATTTTTTTTCTTTCTTTCTGAGACGGAGTCTGGTTCTGTCACCAGGCTGGAGTGCAGTGGTGTGATCTCAGCTCACTGCAACCTCCGCCTCCTGGGTTGAAGCAATTCCCCTGCCTCAGCCTCCCAAGTAGCTGGGACTACAGGTGCATGCCACCACGCCCAGCTAAGTTTTTGTATTTTAGTAGAGATGGGGTTTCACCATTTTGGCCAGGATGGTCTTGATATCCTGACCCCGTGATCTGCCCACCTTGGCCTCCCAAAGTGCTGGGATTACAGGCATGAGCCGCCCGGCCCATTTGATTTATTTATTTTTTTTAAACTGCGGTAAAATCTACATAAATCTACATAAATCTAGGTATTAACTTTTTTTTTTTTTTTTTGAGATGGAGTCTCTCTCTGTTGCCCAGGCTGGAGTGCAGTGGTGCAATCTCAGCTCACTGCAACCTCTGCCTCCCAGGTTCAAGCAATTCTCATGCCTCAGCCTCCCAAGTCGCTGGGATTGCAGGTGAGCACCATCACACCTGACTAATTTTTGTATTTCTTGTAGAGATGGGGTTTCACCATGTTGGCCAGGCTGGTCTTGAACTCCTGAGTTCAAGTGATCCACCCACCCTGGCCTCCCAAAATACTGGGATTACAGGTGTGAGCCACCGTGCCCGGCCCTGTATTAACCATTTTTAAGTGAACAGTTCACTAGTGTTAACTTCATTCACATTGTTGTGCAACCAATCTCCAGAACTCTTTTCATCTTGGAAAACCAAAACTCTATACTCATAAAACAATAACTTCCAATTCTCCCTTCCCCCCAGCCCCTGGCAACCACCACTTTACTTTCTGTCTCTATGAATTTGACTATAGTAGGTATTTTACATAAGTGGAGTCATACAATATTTGCCTTTTTCTAACTGGTTTACTTAACCAGTTAGAAAAATGTCCTCAAGTTTCATCTATGTTGTAGCATGTCAGAATTTAATTCCTTTTAAAGATTAAATAATCTTTCATATGTATATACCATATTTTTCCCATTTATCTGTTAATAGATGCTTGAGTTGTTTCTACCTTTTGATTATTGTGAATAATGCTGCTATAAACATGGGGGTACAAATATCTCAAGACTTAGCTTTGGACCTGGGAGTGATGTATGGTGAATTATACACCACACAATGATGTTTTGCATATACAATGGTGCAACACTGTACGTGCAGTCAGTGATGAACTGCATGTACAGTGGTGGTCCCATAAGATGGTAATGGAGACTAAAAACTCCTGTCACCTAGTGGCCTTATAGCCATCATAACATCAGAGTGCAACACGTTAGTCACAGGTTTGTGGTGCTTCTCATGTAAAGAAACCTGTGTTGCCAGTTGTCTAAAAGTACAGCACATACAATTATGTACAGTACATGATACAGGTAATACAAATAACTTGATACTTGTAATAAATGACTATGTTACTGGTTCATGTGTTTACTATTTATCATTATTTTAGAGTGTACTCCTTCTACTTATAAAAAATAACTGTAAAATAGTCTCAGGCAGGTCTTTCAGGAGGGATTCCAGAAGAAGGCATTTTCATCATAGGAGTTGACAGCTCCATGCATATTATTGCTTCTGAAGAGCTTCCAGTGGGACAAGATATGAAGGTAGAAGACAGTGATATTGATGATGCTGACCCTGTGTAGGCCAAGGCTAATACGTCTTTTTACAATAAAGCTTAAAAAGTTAAAAAAAAGTTAATAGAAAAAAGCTTATAGTTGGGAACCCAAGGCGGGTGGATCACTTGAGGTCAGGGGTTTGAGACCAGCCTGGCCAACATTGTGAAACACTGTCTCTACTAAAAATACAAAAATTAGCCAGGCATGGTGGCACACACCTGTAATTCCAGCTACTCGGGAGGCTGAGGCAGGAGAATTGTTTGAACCCGGGAGGTGGACGTTACAGTGAGCTGAGATCACTCCACTGCACTCCAGCCTGGGCGTTGGAATGAGACCCTGTTTCAAAAAAAGAAAAAAAGGAAAAAGAAAAAAAGCTTACAGAACAAAAATATGAAGAAAGAAAATGTACAGCTGTACAGTGGGTTTGTGTTTTAAGTTCAGTGTTATTTCCCAACTACTTGGGGAGCTGAGATGGGAGGATTGCTTGAGCCTGGGAGGTTGAGGCTGCAGTGAGCTGAGATTGTACCACTGCACTCCAGCCCAGGTGACATAGCGAGATGGTCTCAAGAAAAAAAAAAAGCTAAGTGTTATTACAAAACAGTCAAAAAGTTAAAAATATTTAAAAGTACAATAAGCTAAAAAAGTTAAAGTAAGCTAAAGATAATTATTAAAGAAAATCTTTTTTTACCTATTTATTTTCCTTTCCTTTTTTTTTTTTTAAGAGATGGGCTCTCCATCTGTCACCCAGGCTAGTGTGCAGTGCCATGATCGTAGGTCACTGCAGCCTCAAACTCCTGGGCTCAAGTGATTCTCCAACCTTAGCCTCCTGAGTAGCTGAGACTATGGGCATGTGCCACTACACCCAGCTAATTTTTACATTTTTTTGTAGAGATGGGGGGTCTCACTGTATTGCCCAGTTTGTCTCAAACTCCTGCCCTCAAGCAATCCTCCCACCACGGCCTTCCGAAGTGTTGGGATTACAGGTATGAGCCACTGTGCCTAGCCAAATAAAAGCATTTAAAAACTAAATTTAGTGTAAGTATGGCCGGGCATAGTGGTTCACTCCTGTAATTCCAGCACTATGGAAGACCGAGGCAGGCAGATCACTTGAGGCCAGGAGTCTGAGACCAGTCTGGGCAACATATTGAGACGCTGTCTCTACTAAAAATATAAAAAATTAGCTTGGCATGGTGGTGCACACCTGTGATCCCAGCTCCTAGGGAGACTGAGGCACGAGAATTGCTTAAACCCAGGAGGCAGAGGTTGCAGTGAGCCGAGATGGCGCCATTGCACTCCAGCCTCAGCAACAGAGCGAGACTCTGTCTCAAGAAAAAAAATTTAGCAGTAAGTGTATAGTGTGTATACAGTCTACAGTGGCATACAGTAATTTACTAGGTCTGCACATTCCCTCACAACTCCCTCACTGACTCACCCAGAGCAACTTCCAGTCCTGCAAGCTCCATTCATAAGTGCCCTGTACAAGTGTACCATTTTAAAATATTTTATACCCTACTTTTACTGTACCTTTTCTATGTTTAGATATGTTTAGATACACAGATGTATACCACCGTGTTATAACTGCCTACAATATTCAGTACTGTAACATGCTGTACAGGTTTGTAACCGAGGAGCAATAGGTTATACCATATAGCCTCAGTATGGTAGGCTTTACCGTCTAAGTTGTGTAAGTACACTGCATGATGTTTGCACAATGAAGCAATAACCTAATCACACATTTCTCAGAACATATCCCTGTCATTAAGCAATGTGTGACTGTACTTCTACTCACATTTTATTGACCAAAGAAAGTCACATGGCTATTCACAAATCCAAGCTATTGTAAGGAAGTACAATCCTATCATGTGCCTACAGAGGTCTTATGGAGAGCATCCCAGTTTTTGTCCCCTTTTTTGCTGGGAAAAAAACAGCTTTCAGGCCAGGCATGGTGGCTCATGCCTGTAATCCCAGCACTTTGGGAGGCCAAGGCTGGTGGATTGCCTGAGGTCAGGAGTTCGAGACCAGCCTGGCCAACATGGCAAAACCCCATCTCTACTAAAAATACAAAAGTTAGCCAGGCGTGGTGGTGCACGCCTGTAATCCCAGCTACTTGAGATGTTGAGGCAGGAGAATCACTTGAACCTGGGAGGCAGAGGTTGCAGTGAGCCAAGACCATGTCATTGCACTCCAGCCTGGGTGACAGAGCAAGACACAGTCTCAAAACAAAACAACAAAAAAAAAACAACTTTTTTTTTTATTGCCACTTAAAAAAGGCCTCCCTACTATGCAGAAATCAAGAACTCAACAATTGTTTCCTGTGTCACTACCAAATGTTTCCCAGGGGTTTTGCCACTATGTGGAACCAGCAGTTCTGTGAGGGACTTCTTTCAAGATACCGCCTCAGCTAGAAACAATTTCCCTTTTCCTGGTAATTGGCCATTTCTTGATTCACAGAGGTGGCTTCCTGGTGAACTTCATGCCTGTAAGCTGGCATGACTGTTCTGGAGGAGAGTACCTACCACAAGTTGGGTCAGTTAGAGCCTTTTCTACATGATTTTGTGATTAGAATGATTAGGGAGTTTTAGTCTCTGGGTAGTTGGAATTGTATCTCATACTTGGGAGAGGTTGGTAGACACATTTCCCATTGTATTATTAATACCTGGAGGCAGAGAAAACAAGTTTGCTGGAGTCATACTGGCTCCCCTTACTCTGCTTCCAGCCCATCCAAAATCCCAGCTAATTATTTCCCTTGGCCTCTGTGAGATCCATCCCACCCAAAGCCTAAAGATAAAGTCCCCTTTTATTTTCCTTGAATTGGTCTGATGGGTTTCTGGTCCTTGCAGCCAGCAAACTTCAGATAGTTCTTTGCCTCTGGACCCTGGCACAAAAAGTTCACAGGTGTAGCCCATTCCAATAAAACAGAGGTCAGGTGGTAACTATTGCATTAACTATACTAGCAGTTTCCTTACTGCTTGAGAAAGCTCATTAGAATGTGAGTGCAAATGACATTATTATAGGGATTACCTGAAATCTGCTTAATTTTTTTTAAAGGAAAGTAATATGCCTCTGTGTGTAAATATCATTTGTGACATACCCCCCAACACTGGTATTAAATGGCTGTTTCTTCTGCCTGGAATCTCTGTCTCAACAACTCTTTAGATGTGGCCCCAAAGTCACCTTTTCTGGGAAGCCTACCCACACTCTCCTGTATATTGTTAATTATGCTATTCTCTGTGCTTCCCAAAGCAGTTGGCACATCCATCTTTGTTACATATTTTCTCCCAGAAGTTTTTTGTTTGTTTGTTTTTGAGACAGAGTTTCGCTCTTGTTGCCCAGGCTGGAGTGTAATGCTGCAAACTCGCTCACTGCAACCTGTGCTTCCCGGGTTCAAGTGATTCTCCTGCCTCAGCCTCCCAAGTAGCTGGGATTACAGGTGCGCCTCACTATGCCTGGCTAATTTTTGTATTTTGAGTAGAGATGGGGTTTCACCATGTTGGTCAGGCTGGTCTCGAACTCCTGACCTCAGATGATTCATCCACCTAAGCCTCCCAAAGTGCTGGGATTACAGGCGTGAGCCACTGTGCCCGGCCAGAAGTATTTTTTTTACATGACTGTTTCCTCTGAAATACTGTTCCTCAAAGGTCGGGAGAATACCTCATTTTTCTCAGGATCCCACTGTGCCTGGATCAAAATAGATGCTCAGAAAAGTTTGTTGAATAAATGAAGTTGTATTGGAGCAGTATAACCTATATACATTCTCATTCATCCCAGAAATACTTATTGAGTACCTGAACATGTCGACCCATGTTCTAGATGTTGAAGATGGGAAAAACAAAGTTCCCACCTTCAGAGATATTATAGATGATATTCAGGTTAGAAGGGCTAGGCAGAAAAGTAAAGCAGGCTTAGAGGATAGTGATTGGAGTTGGGACTTGATACTTTAGTAGAGTGGTCTGGGAAAGTCTGGGGAGGTGACTTTTGAGTAGAAACTTGGAAAGCACACGCCTTTCTGATATCTGGAGGAAGCAACACCAAGTACAGAGGTTCTGAAGTAGAAGTGAGCCTCCATATTCCAGGAGCAAGAAGGAGGCTAGTGTGCCTGGCATGCAATGAGGAGGCCGAGTGGAAGGAGGTGCAGTTAGAGAGGTGGAGAGTATAAGTGGACGAAGGGCAGACACATAGGATCTTGGAAGCCTTTGGGAAAAAAACCACATTTTGGAAATGAAAAAAATAGGTGGGCATGGTGGCGTGCACCTGTAGTCCTAGCTACCTGGGAGGCTGAGGTGGGAGGATTGCTTGAGTTTGGGAGGTTGAGGCTGCAGTGAGCTGTGATGGGGCCACTGCACTCTAACCTGGGAGACAGAGTGAGACTGTGTCCCACTCTCCACCCCACTGCCCCCATATTTTTTTTTTTTTGGCTTTTACTCTGAGATGGGAAACCTTCTGGGGGCTTTTGAGCTTAGGTTTCAACAGGATCCCTCTGGCTTCTGTGTTGAGAGAAGGCACCATGAGAGCACAGTGGAATCGTGGAGAACAGGCAGGAGGCTACTACAATATTCCAGGAAAGAGGAAAAGGGGTATTTTAAAGGTAGAGCTGACAGGCTTTTCTAATGGGTTGCATGTGGGATATGATAGGGAGAGTGGAGTCCAGGATGACTCCAATGGTTTGTCTGGAGTCATCAGAAGAATGGAGTTGACATGAACTGAGGTAGGGAAGGTTGTGAAAGGAGCAAGCTAAGGTGCCACGTATGGGTGTTTGACTATCGACTTGTTTACTTGGACACATCGCTCACACTTGTGTATATGCTCCCTGGTTTTCAGGATCTGAAGGTTCTAAAGTTACTTGAAGTTAAAGGCAGCCTTACTTATTGAACACCAAGCACTGTGCAGAAATCTTTATATGTGGTGTCATTTAACCCTTTTAATATTTCTACTGATTTACTCATGTTTCATTGCCCTTTTACAGTTGAGAGATTAACACGTCCAAAGTCACTCAGACAATTATTAACCTGCTAGATTAATGCAGATCTGGGATTCCCATCCAGGTGTGTCAAGACCGTAGAGCTCCTGCTGTTTACTAATCACTGGATTCTAAAGGTGGGAGCCACTTTCTGAGCATATTTGCTGCAGACTTGGTTCCATAACTAAAAAGGTGCCTGGATCATGTGACGAGAATTCAGGAAAGAACCCAACCCCATCCCAGGCATTACAGGTTATACAACAGCTATGAAGAAAGGACGGTATTAGTGGACTCGAGGAGGCTGACTGATGTTTGAAAGTTCAAGTACTTGAAGACTCAATGTTAAAACAGTGATCAAGAGTTAGTTTTTTTGTTATTATTCTTAAGAAAACAGAAAATATTAAAAATTGCAGTGAACCCTTGGTTGGATAAAAGACCACTCCTAGTCGACGCTTGTTGGGAAACACTGGAATTGGAGGAGTGGGGGCAGACAGGAGCGAGAGCCCCTGCCAGCCTACACACACATCCTTTTGAAAGTGTAACCTGGTGTGACCTTCTTTAAGTGGTCCTCTGGAAAGAGCAGGATATGGAGTACAAAAGCCAGGAACCTCTGGGACCGCAGCATCCGCCCCCAGCGCCTCCTTCCCCGTCTTCTTCAGCCTCCACACGGTGGGGCGGGGAGGAGGGGGGAGGAGGAGTGCTGGCGCATGCGCCGGGGGCAAGGTCCGCTCCCCGCGACGTCAGGGGGCTCGCACCCGCTCGAAAGCCCCGCCCCGCGGCCGCCAGAGGCGACCTGGGCGGACTGGGGGGCCTGGGCCACGCCCCCAGCCGAGTCGAGCAAGGCCGAGGGGAGCCGTGCAAGGCCGAGCAGAGCCGAGCGCCTCCGAGAGCGGCCGAGCCCAGCCGAGCGGCCCGGAGTCGGTTGGTGCAGCTGCGTCCCCGCCGCTCAGCAGTCCGCGGCTCCGGCGTCGCCGCCGCCGCCGCCTCTGCGGGGCCTGCGCCGGCCGCCCGCCCGGCCGCGGGGAGGGAGGCCCGCAGCGCGGGAAGAGCGGCCCGGTCGCGGGCGCCGCCACCGCCGCCGCTGCCAGGTGAGCGCCCGCCACGGCCAGCCGGCCCCGCGTGCCCCCGCGGCTGTCAGTCCCCGGTGTCTGTATCTCTCTCTGCCTGTCAGACCCTGTGTCTGCGCGAGCTCCTTCCCGCCACGCCTGGCCCGCGGCCGGCCCGCAGTCTCAGTCAGCCCCCTCCCGCCGGCTGCCCCTGGTCTTTCTGTCAGCCGCCAGCACCCCCATGCTGAGAGGCTCCGCCCCTTCCCCCCGGAGCCCCGCCCTCCGCCATCTGTCATCACCCCCCGGGCTCCAGGAGCGGGCGTCCAGGGGTCCTAGGGGTCAGGGTAGCCCCGCGTGCCACCATCGTAGAAGGCGCAAAAGGGGGTGGTAGAGGGGAAGCGGGGGCGTTCGCGCAGGCCCGCCTGACCGTGTGAGAGTGCATGCCCGAGTGTGCGTTCCGCGTGTGCACCCGAGAGCCGCCTGCGTCCACGCCCGAGGGCCCTTGCACTCTGCTGGGATGTGGCAGCCCATGCCCCCGGTGTAAAGAGCGTCAGCTCGACCAGTGAAGGCGGCAGAGCCAGGACTCGAACCACTCGGGGTACAGTAGCACCCTGAATCTTGGGACCCTTGTCTGCCCACGCGAAAACACTACACGTGGGCCCCAGGTCCTCGGATTCCCTGAGTGGCGTGTGAGTGGAGTTTGGAGCTTGTTAAGCCTTCCCAGTTTGGGATTTTCATTCAGGGAAGCCTGTTGGAAGTGATTGAGGAGTGGATGGGATGTAGGACTTAGGTGGGGAGTGTTTGAGGGCTTGAGTCATTTTGAGTTGCATGGTTTACATTTCTGAGCAGTGATTGCCCTGGGCTTGTGCCCTGCGAGAAACTTATGTGACTTGGGGTGGGGGAGTGAGGTAGGAAGGAATGCTCCTTTCTGTTTTTATCTATGTGAACACATAGTATATATTTATCCAGATATCCTAAATGTTTATTCATGAGGCGTCCACACGTCCTTAATTTAAAAAAGGATTACAGTAGTTTCCATTTATACACGTTCTTGTGTGTTGTTATCTCAATGCTCTTTATTTGTGGTAACTTAGTATTGCAATATTTCAAAACTAAGAGAAAATGCATCCTAAAACAATTGGTATTTTGCCGGATAATTCTGAACCACGGAGAAGGAGCCAAAAGCGCACTTCATTAGCTGGAACAACTTATTCGAGCTTAATTTGTTTCTAAGAGACATACAGTGGAAAAATCCAGAAGCGCAAAATAGTATCAAAGACACATAGAAAATGAATGAAAAGGGCCCTTCTGTTGCTGCCTTGGAAAGATGGTATCAAAGTTGCTGTAGAGGACAGAGCCACTATGTAATGATCAACATATTAACCAAGTTGGTTTTGTGACCTTGATACATTGAGCGGGGCTTGATTTGTGCAGTGGTTCATGACAGGCAAACATTGCATGGGAAGTGTGGTAATTTTTGGAAAAAAATGTTCCCCATGTTGTTTTGGTTTTTGGTTTTGAGTTTGTTTTTTTTTTTTTCATATTGAAGTAAGATTTCAGACAAGGGAAGTCTCATGGTGGAGTGCTTTTTTCTTTTTAAAGATAACATTAAAAATTACCAAAGTAATTCATGTTTAAGGCAGAAAACTTGAAAAACAAAGAAAAGCATTGCAAACAAAACAAAACAAAAAAAACCCCATAATCCCACAAACCATAGTAAATCACAATTTGGTATTAAGCCTTTTAGCCTTGTTCCCATGTATACGTGTTTTTTCTTACAAAAATGCTATCATACTACACAACTTTTATTCTATGCTTTTTTTCTTTGACTTATAACTAGATTATGAGAGATACATCTTTGTTTTATGAGTAGGAACTTGTGTTTCTCTTTGCAATCCTTTAAAAAATTCAGATCATGTTAGTCCTCTGCTTAGAGCCCTCCAATAGCTTTTTGTCTTAAAGTAAACTCTGAAGGCCTTGCTGTGGCCTGCCAGGCTAACCCTCTTCCGAACAACCATCCTCACTTCGAGCCTTGCCAGACAGATCTCTTTGCTGTTTCTTAAAAACATCAAGCTTACACTTGTAATCACAGCACTTTGGGAGGCCGAGGCGGGCGGATCACGAGGTCAGGAGTTCGAGACCAGCCCGGCCAGCATGGTGACACCCCGTCTCTACTAAAAAAAAAAAAAAAAAAAAAAAAAAAAGCCAGGCCTGGTGGTGCGTGCCTGTAATCCCAGCTACTCAGGAGGCTGAGGCAGGAGAATTGCTTGAACCCGGGATGCGGAGGTTGCATTGAGCCAAGATCACACCACCGCACTCCAGCCTGGGAGACAGAGCGAGACTCTGTCTCAAAAAAGTCAAGCATACTCCAGCCTCAGTGCCTTTGCATTTGCTGTTCCCTCCGCCTAGAACTCTGGTCCCTGGATATTAACATAGTTGACTCCCTTACTTCAGGTCTCTGCTCAAAAGTTAGGTTGTCTGGCTTTGCTTGACTGCATTATCAAATACACCCCATTTCCCTGTTGTTCTTATCCTGCCTTGCTTACCACCACTTGGTAATACATATTTATTTGTTGGTGTATTGTCTCTCTCCCTCATTAACCCTGAAGTGTGAGACTTTTTTTTCACCGATATATCCTCAGGGCTCAGAAACTGCACCTGGCCCATTGTGGGTACTTAATATTTGTTGAATGAATGAAGGAAAGAATGAATGCTCATTATCCATCTATTCATATGACCTTGCTGGTAGCCTTCTAGGCTTCTAGGTAGCTGTGTCATGAGTTAAAATGACAATCTCTTAAAGGTCAGGATATTTCTTTCTCATCTATATCTGAGAAGAATTTTACAAAGTGAGGCTGTGGTCTTAAAAAGAATTACGGTCTTGATTTAACTTGAACAATTGAGGGAAGGAACATTTTTGGCAAATGTTGTTGGCTTTCCTTCTTATGCGTTATCCCTGTGTCACACTGGATATTTTTGAAAAGTATAAAGTTTCCCAGTTATGTTTACAGCTGTGATTTCAATTTGGTAGTTGATAGTGATAGTGTAAGCCTCAAGAGCATAGTGGGGTTTTTGTGTCAACAGATACCCAGAGATATAATTATAGCTTTAATGTGTTTTCATTTGGGGAATAGCTGTTACATATTTACTTATTTTTCTGGCAATTCTGTCCTTTTCCTCTCCCTGCTTATCAGTTTTTGGATGGCCTAGCAGGTATACTTAATTTTTTTTTAACATTTTAAAATAAATCCTTGACCTTTTGCAATTTTACATCTCTCCTGTGACTCTTGAACTGTTTGAAAGTACCAGTTTCATCTTTCAGGATGAAACATCTGTAGTAAAATGTATAATTGCATTTTAATTTATGAGGATGGGAAAATTGTATCTTGGGGTAGAATTTTTACAGAGAAGTCGTAATGTGAGCGTAAGCTTTTCAAAGGTTTGAATTTCAGGTAGACTACTTTTCATTTTAGTGACTTTTTGGAAAAAAACAGTTGCTTCTTATTTTTAAGAAAAAGGATCTCCTTGAACACAATCCAAACAGAGACCTTCAAAAACTTGTTTTTCTTATCCTCCAAATATACAAGAAGTTGGTAGTGGTGGTGGTAAGGGGGGAATCCTAAATGAAAATTATTTTCTTAAAGGCCTAAAAGGAGGCTGGGCGTGGTGGCTCATGCCTGTAATCCCAGCACTTTGGGAGGCCAAGGCGGGCAGATCACGAGGTCAGGAGATCGAGACCATCCTGGCTAACACGGTGAAACCCCGTCTCTACTAAAAATACAAAAATTAGCCAGGTGTGTTGGCGGGCGCCTGTAGTTCCAGCTACTTGGGAGGCTGAGGCAGGAGAATGGCGTGAACCCAGGAGGCGGAGCCTGCAGTGAGCTGAGATCTCGCCACTGCACTCCAGCCTGGGCGACAGAGTGAGACTCCATCTCAAAAAAAAAAAAAAAAAAAAAAGGCCTAAAAGTATGTGTTAAGAATTTATTTTTACTTGTTCCACAGGTATTGATTGAGCATGTATTTGAGCCAGTTCTATGTTTGTGTGGGCTGTGTTACCATGTTCAGTTTTAAATTATCAACGTGATTTTTGATTATTTCTTTTCTTTTCTGGCTCTGCTACCTCCCTTCTCTCATCATATTCTCTCTCTAAATGATCTCATCAATTCCCAGGACCCTAGAACCCCCTGGATGCAGATGACTCTTTCTGTTACGTCTCCCCACCCTTTCTCTGGTTCCAGACTTGCAGTTTTAGCTACCACCTTCCTGTCCCAGTGATCTCAAATTTCACAGGTTCAGAACTGATCTCTCAATCTCCCTCTCAAGCTTCGAAATTTGTATTCCTCATTCCTGACCCTTCCTTACTCTCCCCTTCAGCCTTCCGTCTCACTGTTAGTTAGTACTGTCTATTCATTGTTCAGGCTGGACACCTGAAAGTTGTCTGTGATTCTTCTCATTTCCTCACTCCACATGCAACCCATCTGTATGGCTTTTTGGCCTAGCCTCTAGAATATCTCAAACCCTCCCTTTTTTCCATCTTCCTAATTCACCTACCCACCTCTCTCAGATGGATGATTCCCTGTCTCCTGGTTGGTCTCCCAGCTTCCACTGTTGCTTTCTTCTAGCACATTTTCCTCACAGCAGCCAGAGTGATCCTACTAAAGAGTAAACCCAAGCATGCCACCCCCCTGCTTGGTGGCTTCCACTGCACTTGGACTCGCATCCACACTTACTCTGACGTGCTCCCTCTCCAGGCTCCCCTCCTTGTTTGCCATGCTTGTCAGATTGAACACCTTCAGTTCCTCAAACATGCCGTATTCTCCTCTTCTGTACAGGCTCTTCAAGACCTCCACTTGTCTCATAGAAAGATCCTTAAACGTCCAGTCTCAGCTAAAACATCTCCTCCTCAGAGGGGCCTTCCCTGATCACCACTTCTATAGTAGCTTCCTCCCCATTGTCCTCTATCTCAGCACATGTGCATTTATTGCTTGCACTTCACTAAAATTCATAGTGTGTCCGGAGTTCATTCCTTCTGGTAGGTCTGTGGTCTTGCTGACTTCAAGAAAGGAGCTGCGGACCTTTGTGGTGAGTGTTACAGCTCTTAAAGATGGCATGGACCTAAAGAGTGAGTAGCAGCAAGATTTATTGTGAAGAGCGAAAAAACAAAGCTTCCACAACCTGGAAGGGAACACGAGTGGGTTGCTGCTACTGGCTGGGGTGGCTAGCTTTTATTCCCTTATTTGTCCCTGTCCATGTCCTGCTGATTGGTCCATTTTACAGGGTGCTGATTGGTCCATTTTACAAACCTCTAGCTAGCTACAGAGTGCTGATTGGTGCGTTTTACAAACCTCTAGCTAGCTACAGGGTGCCGATTGGTGCGTTTTACAATCCTGGCTACAGAGTGCTGATTGGTGCATATTACAATCCTCCTGTAAGACAAAGAAGTTCTCCAAGTCCCCACTCGACCCAGGAAGTCCAGCTGGCTTTACCCCCTCAATAGCACTTCATTTATATGTTTCCTTCTTTTGTTTTCTTCTTTATTGTCTACTCCCCCAATAGAGACTACAAGATCTAGGAGGGCAGGGACAGCCTTGTCCTGTATATGGTACAGTCCTAGCACCCAGTGCTCTGCCCAGAGTCCAGTAGGTGTAGGGCCTCAGAACATTTTGAATAGTTATTTTAATAGCTACTTTTTTCGAGAATTCGTATGTACCAGGTCCATTGCTATGTGTGTTCACACATTATCTCTAAATCTTCGGGAGAACCCAGTATGGTGATGATGGTAATTATATTACCACTTCTGTTTTTTTAGTTGAGAAAATTGAACTTAGAGAATTTAAGTAATGTTTAAAGTTACATAGCTAAGAATATGGTGGAATTAGGATTTTAATCTATGTGATGTGACTTTAGAACCTTCCCCCTTATTCATTACTGCCTTCTGATATGAATGCAGGAATGAATGAATATGAAATATGCTGCAATATTAATCCCTGATGGTTTCTCTTGTTTTTCTAAGCATGTATGAGAGCATTAAAAATAAGAACACTTGGGTTAGGATGTTATATTCTCCTGGGAAGCTTCTGTTAATAACCACTATGCCAAAGCATATAGATAGTTTGCTTTCAGGCTCTGTGTTCTAATTTTACCTTTGCCACTTTCTAGCTGTAAGCCTTGAGGAAAATTACATGTCTAAGTCTGTTTTTTCAGCTGTAAATGGAGAAAAATAATAGTTCTTATCTCATAGGATCTTTTGAGGAGCAGAATTATACACAAAAAACTATCAATGTTAGCTATTACTATTATAAGGAGAAAAAAAAATCCTCAAGAAAAGACTTGTAAACTCATCAACAATTTAGAGTTTGGATAAGAGTGAATGACAGACAATAACTAACTTAGTGTTCTTTCACTGACCGTAGTTTTGAATTTATAAAAATTATCAGAGAATTGGCCGGGCACGGTGGCTCACGCCTGTAATCCCAGCACTTTGGGAGGCCTAGGCGGGCGGATCACGAGGTTAAGAAATAAAGACCATCCTGGCCAACATGGTGAAACCCTGTCTCTACTAAAAATACAAAAAATTAGCTTGGTGTGGTGGCACGTGCCTGTAGTCCCAGCTACTCAGGAGGCTGAGGCAGGAGAATTGCTTGAACCTGGGAGGGGGAGGTTGCAGTGAGCCGAGATCACGCCACTGCACTCCAGCCTGGTGACAGAGCAAGACTCTGTCTCAAAAAAAAAAAAAAAAAAAAAAAAAATCAGAATTAACTATCTGGGTTGGGATTTATAATTATTCTATTGATGTATGACAACGTATGTTTGGATTTGTGCTTGTTAAATGCTTGTGAAGTAAGATAGCTTTCTTTAAAAAAAAAAAAACCTCTTCCCCATCTTTAGAAGTATTCTCAGGGTAGAGAGATCTTTCAAGAAGCTGGCTATACTATTTTATTTTATTTTTTTGCACTAGAAAGATATTCACCAGCATACTGTTTACGTCAGTAATGCTTACCACCAGGGAGTTTATTTCAAATAACCAAGTGAACAGTAGACTCAGTTTAAGCATAATGGGCTTGACAGCTCGCATGTTGGAATATCTGGGCACAGTTATATTTTCTGGTGGGATGCCTTATGAGCAAGTGCCAAGTCTGGTGGTGGTTATCATCTCTGTGAAATAGAGGTGAGGTCTGCTAAGAATAAATGGGAAGAGGTCAGAGGAAAACAAGGTTTGACATACCATTGAGGTCAAGAAGAGTGGGTAATGAACCTGAGACAATGTCCATGATCTCCAGGCAGTATGCAGGGCTCCACTGAGATAGGACCATGGATTAACTGGGGCACTGGTAGCATTCAGCTGCCTGGTTTTAGGAGCAAAGAAGGCATATAGTTGGATTGAGCCAGGGTTGGGGTTTGCTGGGGTGAGTGGCAGAAAGACAGTGGAGCAGAGGAACTGGGATATTGGCCAGGGGGTGACTAACGTGATAGCTAAAGGTATCTAGGCTAGATGGGGAGGAGAAAAGGACCAGTGTTGTTGAAGTCAAGGAATGGGTGTGTGGAGTGATGGAGTAATAGGATGTGGCTAGAGAGGGACGCATGAGTGGAAGATTTCAGAGTTGGAGCAATTAATTACTGGGCATGACAGATTCCTGTGTTTTGCTACAGATATAAGTGACTGAAATGAAGTGAACTCAGTGAAGAAGGCTGAATTCAAGGAGGTCAAGTAACTGAGAGGCTGGAGAGTTGTTTCAGCCATCTGTGTGGTCAGAGAAGCCATCAGAAGGATTGTAGGATATTTAGGATGGAGAAAAGGAAAGTGGGCCGAATCTTCAGCAAATGGGGTGGGGTTGGAGATCCCAGCAATGAGATGTTGTGGTTACCCTGCAGGAATCTGAAAGGATCAGGGGATTTTACCCGAGGGAGATGGAAAAGTAGTGACCTGGAAGGTTTATTGGTTGCCAGGTCTCTCAGGAAGGAGTCGGCCATGGCCCAGGTTCATTATACTTCTGAAGGAATCCCAATTCAAGAGGGCAGCACTAGAGGCATGTAGTATTGTGTTTCTAAACGTGTTCATGAAAATCATATGAGGATGTATGTTAAAAAAACAGATTCCAGGCTCTATCCCGGGCCCACTGAACTACAGTCTTTAGTAGGAGGAGACTGAGAATGTGTATTTTTAACACCCTCCCCACTTGGTAATTCTTTATAATTAGGCAAGTTTGGGAAATGCAGCTGTAGTGATTAAGAACATGGCATCTGGAAGCCTATTGCCTGGGTCTGAAGAAGGTGGGACTGGTGGGAGGGAACCTTAGCCCATGACACTTAAGAGTTTGGCTTTCCTGATACATCTGATATCAGAAACAGTGAACTAAGAATGCTCTATCAGAGGCAAACACACTGACAACAGCAGGAAGGGACAGCTAGTAATGACAGAAACAGAAATGCTCTATAAAATAATTCAAAGTATAGCTGTTTGGAGACATTTATTATAGAGAAAAACATAACCTGTTTGCCTCGGTGGTCTCTGAATACATCAACTGATTATAATTGTTATCATGTTCAACAGGAATAGGTCGAATTAGGGTTTAGTTTGTTCAGAAAGGCTGAGAAGGAAGTTGTGCAATTTAGAAAGCTTTCCGTCATAAACCAGCATGCTTAGTGCTTTAGGTATTTGTAAAATTATGTGCACAATTCTGTCTCTGAAGATACTGGATTTAAAAACAAAGTTTTACTCAACAAGCCAAAGTTAAGAACAGTTGTTATCCCCAAGGGGTTGTCTATATGATTAGATATTTAATATTATGATACTGGTAGCCTTACTGCCCCATTCTCCCTATTTTCCCTGGGAAAATTCTTTCCATGACAAGGAGAGGAATCCTGCAAAAGAATAGCTGCTCACGAGGGAACTTGGAGTTAGTCATTCTTGGCTGACCACTTACACTCCCCCTGTTGCTATTAAAGAGGTTCTGAATTTGAGTTGCATTGTTTAGATTACTTAACACTATACCACCTGGTTTATCATACCCAAACACTAAAGCTTTGGGAAAAGAATGTTGTCAGCACTGTTGAAGTGGTTGCTATGGACCTTGAGCCTAAAACTTGATTTGCTCAATCATGTGTTCCATTTCTTATTTCCTCTTGGACTGAGAAGGCTGGCTTTCAAACTGGTGAATAGCAGCACCTCAGTTGCATTCCAGTCACCTACCACATCCTTCCAGTCACTGTCTCCTCTCCTCAGTGAACTACAGGGAGCTAGTCAAATGTACATCATGAGGCCTAGAAAATGTGGCCGTGGAGGATTAGCAATGCCATTTCAACCAGAACTTTCATTTTGCAAGTTGAGATTTGTAAAAAGTGATTCCATTTTAGAGAAAAAAAGGAATTCAGAGTGTTGTTCCCTTTTAGAAAAACATTTTCTTCTAAAGCTGAGGAATACTCAACCGATCAGTGTGATGGTGATAATATGTTCTTTAATGTCACACTTTTCCTCCCGTCAGAGCTCAGGAACCCTTGCAGGCTCTGCTGTATTACGGTGCTCTTTATAATGTTTAAGTCACTAAAGGTATTCATCTTGTGAAGTGTTTGTATTCCTGCTGTGAACTAGGTACCTTAGTTGAAAAGAGGGTCCATGTCCTCAAGGAACTTTTTAAAAAGTCGAGGTGCATTTAGATCTCTAACCTCAAGCAGACCATGCTATGTGCTGTGAAGGAGATATAATCAAAATGTTATAGGATCACAGATGAAAGAGAGGTTATTTCTAGTGGTGGATGGAGGTGGCAAGAGGAGATTGGAGGTTGCTTTAAGGGAATGTTTGTATTCAGACTGGATCTTGAAGTTTGAGTAAAATTTTGGAACTAGTAAATTACATTTGATATTTTATGTTTACTAAGGCATCATTTATTTTAGCAAGACTACAACATGGTGCTTAATGAATTAGCCTTCAGTTATCTGAAATGACTCAATTGCTTTGGATACCTTGTTTCTGTAATTAATGTGTGATGCATTAAGGAATATTTGGTGGAGAAGGGCTTTTATGGAAGCATAGCTGAAAATGATCTTGGGATCATAGTAGAGATCTGAAAGAATGGGATATATAGTGGTATGGTAGTGAATAGAAAACCAGAATGATAATGGGATGTATATGTTTGAATATATGGTTTAAAATGGAGGGAAAATAGAGCTCTAAATGATGTTAATGAGGCCTTCATAGGAAATGAATAGTCTGCCAGGTTAACAGGACTTTTGAATACTCACCATCTCATTTCTGGGTATCTTTCTCTGGGGTGGTTGTCAATGTGGTCGGTAGATCCCTGTGGGGTTGGCCACAGTAAACCAAAGGAGGTCAGCTGCTCCTCATTCTGCCTTGCTCTAGGTGGCTAAGCACAGATGGTTTTACAGAAAGCCTGTGAAGCCATGTCCAGAGTGGCTCTTTCTGCCCTAGACCTTTGCACACTTGGTTCCTGGGCTTGGCCTACCTCAAAGCTATGTCTTCCTGCCATGGAGTGGATTCTCTCTCACTGGTGTGTGTACTCTCTGGATGAGTTCACACTCCTTTGGCAAGCCCATTTCTTGCCATGGTAGGTTAGCTATAGCTGGACCATTGTGCTAGCCTTGTAGGTGGTCATCGTTATGCCTGAAATCTTGCATTCAATTTTTCCTTTCCCATGTTAAGGCTCTTCCACTTGACCCCTCCATTCAACTCTTAATTTTCCAGGAAGCTGAAAAACATACTACTTGCTACCTTTTGTGCTGAAATGGGGCCCTGGCCCAGAATTTTGATCCCCTTGGGAATCAACATATATAGTTCACAGAAGATAGCATTTCCTTTTTGTTTATTCCTGATAATGACAATACCATTTAAAAAGCCAAGATATTTGGCAATGCTATAGGCCCCATTTTACCATACAGGTAACTAAAGCCACTTAAGAAAATGATTTCAGTAATTCACCAAATAACATACTTATTATGTGACTACTATGTGTCAGATACTATGCTGGACACCAATGGAGAGCAAATCAGACATGGTCTTCTGTGGTACTCACAGTCTAGTGGACCTATGGCCAGAAAGCCATGAGAGCTTTATAGAATGACTGTAGGCTTTGGGGAAGAAAGGCCTGGTGTCTAGTCCCACTTTTGCCTTTTATCAATTACATGACCTTAAGCATTTGACCCTATTTTCTGTCAAGTAAAATAAAAAGGATTTGCCCTGGCTTATAAGATTTTTCTAAGACTGGATGAGACCACGTAGAAAAGAGCTTTGCAAAGGTCAAGTTACTATATATGCAAATATAGTTGGGAGTAATCAGCCGTGTCTTCTTTAACAAGAATGACTAATGGAGTATTTTCACTTCTCTGTGGCTTCAGAGAATGCGTCGCATCCCCAAATACAATGCTTGAACTGAATATTAACATTTCACTAATTCTAATGTATATTAATAAATAAGGAAACCAGCTACTTAGGTGGTACCTAGGGCTATATAGTTATCTTTAAAGTCGTAGATTTAATACATATTGGCTTTATTTCAGAAAACAGTGCTTCTGGATATTTACTATATAACCAGAAATTTTTTATTACAACAATGGATATATAATTCTAATAATACAATACATACCACAATATAGTACAAAAATCAGAACAATAGTTATAATAAAAAGTATTCTTTGTAAATAGTAGAAGATTACTTTTTGCAGGTTTATGTTGATAAGGAGTTTTGAGCTGAGCTGTTACTTTTTGGTCGTTGGTTGGGGTTTATTTATTTATTTATTTATTTATATTTTTTTTGAGACAGAGTCTCGCTCTGTCACCCAGACTGGAGTGCAGTGGCGCGATCTCGGCTCACTGCAAGCTCCGCCTCCCGGGTTCACACTATTCTCCTGCCTCAGCCTCCTGAGTAGCTGGGACTACAGGCGCCCGCCACCACGCCTGGCTAATTTTTTGTATTTTTAGTAGAGACGGGGTTTCACCATGTTAGCCAGGATGGTCTTGATCTCCTGGCCTCGTGATCCGCCCGTCCCGGCCTCCCAAAGTGCTGAGATTACAGGCGTGAGCCACCGTACCCAGCTGGTTGGTTTTTGAGACAGGGCCTTGCTCTGTTGCCCAGACTGGAGTGCAGTGGTGTGATCCTAGCTTACTGCAGCTTCTACCTCCTGGGATCAAGTAGCCTCCCTCCTCAGCCTCCCGAGTAGCTGGGACCACAGGTGTGCACCAACATGCCTGGCTAATTTTTGTATTTTTTGTAGAGGCAGGGTTTCACCTGGGATCAAGCAATCCACCCGCATTGGCTTCCCAAAGTGCTGGGATTACAGGCATGAACCACCGCTCCCAGCCAACTTTCTGTTGTTTTAATGTTCCCTCTTACCTTGCGTATCACTGAACAACTAAGACATTTCGTTGTAGGTATTTTTTGTAGCAACCTAGACAAGACCCTTAATCTTTGAACCTCAATTTTACTCATAAAATGTGACCTTTTCTTTGCCATGCCAACTTAACAGGGTTGTTGAGACATTCAAATATAGTATTGAATGGATATGCTTCTATCTGTGTAATGGTCCTTGTTCAGTCATGGGTGTAGTGATGCGGTAATTCTGGCAAATGAATGCCCCAGAAGGGCTATGTCTTGATTTGTAACATAGTCCTTGGTCAAGTCTTGATTCTTCCCCATGATGATTCATCCTATTGTCCCATTCTCATTTAATAACATCTCACTTTATACCCACTTGGCCATTAGCCAACACTTTCTGAGCTTCTGCTGTGTGTCAAGTCTGTGTAAGATGCTGGGGATATAGAGGAGAGTACCTGTCTCCTGGGTACTTGTTCGAGTAGGGGAGTTCAAAACTGCAACAGCAATTCTTGCCTCCATTTCTAGCCTGCTGGTCTGCCCAAAATTTAAGACTTGTCAGCCCTACAATTGCGTGAGCCAGTTCTTAAAATAAATCTTAGTGTGTGAGTATGACTGTGTATTCATACAGATATCCATTCACACACACATATATATAGTTGTTTCATATTGGTTCTATTTCTCTGTAGAGCCCTTACTGAGACAATAATAAATGCTCTCCTTATGGATGCAGTAAGAAGAGGAATAAGCATGGTAAACAAGATGCTTGCTGTGGTTTTAGCCATGTTGAGTTTGAGCTGGAATTCCACCCATGGAATCCAGGTGGAAATACTGGCAGGCACGTGTAGCCAGATTGTGGAGAGCTCACATGAGTGGTCTGGACTGTGGAGATATAGCTACACTTCCACAGCTACACACTGTGGAAGTCTCCAGTGTGTAGCTGTCAGTTGAAGTTATATCTGTGGATGATTTCAAACAGAAAGTATAGTATGTAGAGTAAGAGGAAGTATAAAGATGGAACCCCAGGAAATACCAACATTTAGTGAGGAGGCAGAGGGGAGGAGACTATACTGGAAACCAAGTAGGAGTAGACAGACAGGGGGAAGATCAAGAGAGAATGGGGCCATGGAAACTAAGGCAGGGGATAATTTCAAGAAGGTGGGAGTACAGCAGTGTTAAGTGCCATGAAAAGGTAAAGTAAGAGAAATGTTGGAAGTTGTCCATTGGATTTAGCTCTTAAGAGGTATCACTGGAGGTGAATGTTTCAGCATCCCACCACCACATTACCTTGGGTGGGGGTGGAGTAGAGAATCCATGGTAATGAAGTAGAGATGCATTTTCACTGCTGATGCTTAAAAGAGCTCAGCTAGGAAGTGTGAGGATAAGAGGGGGCTATGGGCTTCCCAAGGAAGGGGTGATTTTAGGATGAGAGGGGCTCTAGCATGTTCAGAGGCCGAGGAAAGGAGGAGCCAGGAGAAAGGAAAAAAATCAGAGATTCAGGAAGAGAAAGGATAAGTGCTTGAACAGGGTCTCTTCTGTGGATGGAGGGGCATGCACAGGAGATGGCCAGTAGCATTGCCAGAGGAGGAGTGCCTGTTTCATTTGACTGTGTGGAAAGAGGAAAGGCTATTTGGGGATACAGAGAAGTCTATAGAAGGCAAGGGGCTGGAATTTTTGCCCTTGTAAAAGCTTCTATTTTTTTGTGTAAAGTGGAGCATTGGTATCCACTGATAGCCAAGGGTAGATGATGCAGTAAGGTCTTTGAAGGCAGGTAAAATATAAAATTACTGTGTGGAGCTTGGAAGTGGGAGTTGATTTTTGCTTCTCATTGTGTTTTGAATAAAAGTTATACTCCACAGTCTGATATTTACGAAGACCTCCACAATCTGCCTTTTATCAGTTCTACTAGACTACCTATCCTTTTTGTTTCATTCTAGCACCCTTGTACCTTAGTTCAGTGTGTCTGATGTGGCACTAGAATGTGGCTTTGAGAGATTAGATGCTGCAGGGAAGATGCTGTTAGACTAAGAGTCAGGGGTCCTGTGTCCAGTTTGGCTTCGCCACTTATCAGCTATGGGATCTTGGACATACCTTAACTTCACTAAGTCCATTTTTTTCATTTGTGAATTGTTAATAACAATAGTATTGATGAAAGTGTGTCAAATGAGAAAACATATTTTAAAGTACTTGAAGAGGATAAGTAATACAGAAATGGAGATGGTCGTCAGGCTATGCCTAATCCTAGCTCCAGGCTTTCTTCATTACCACTAGAGTCCTCTCCCTTCTCTCCAGCTGCCATTTTAATTCAGCCTGTATTGTGTAGAGAAACACTAGCTACTGTAATAGATAAACCCTGCAGAAACTTCAGTGGCTTAAAACAGTAGACATTTCTGTGCTCATTTAAAATCCAGTCACCTGTGGGGATGGAGGGGGCCCAGACTAATGATGCTCTGCCATCTTCAAACCATGGTTTCCAGGTTGCCCTGGGTGTCAGTGGCCTGCCAGCAGTGTTGGAGAAGAGAGTGAGAGGGCATGATTGGGAGGCTTTTGTATACCAGGCCTAGGATAGGAGCTAGTGACCAAGGCTAAAAGAGAGATGGTTGAGAATAGGCATCTGTCTACTGGATAGGTGGTGAATTGGGTGTGTGTGGGTGTTTATTTGCAGAAAATGGTTGAGGTGGCTCTGAGAAGAGTGAGGTGCAGGACCTGCGCAACCCCAGGAGGGAATGGAGAAGCTCCTGCCTCTATGGGCAGAGTTCGGGAAGGGCCAAGGGGCCTAGGACTTGTTCCTGGTAAAGAAGGCAAGTGATGCAAAGGTGGGAGAGAGGTCCCTGGGTCAGGGAAGAGGGAGCTGAGAACTGGGGTGTTAGTACACCTTTGTGGTGAGCTTCTTAAAGGCTAGGGAGACACTGTTTATCTTTTTTAGGATAAGAAAATTGATGCAGTGGTGCCTTGATAAAGGGCACACAACTAATTGGCAGCAGAGAAATGAGCTAGGGCCTGGGTCTTTTGACATCAAAGCCCCTACTAGTGAGACCCAGGAAACATCCCACTGGGAGGGCTGGAAAACCTGGGCTCTGAAGAAGTTGATTTGAGGTAAACCGTTGGGCACGGGGTTGGAAGAGCACTTGCGGTGGCCTGTTCCTTTTTTTTTTTTTTTTTTTTTTTTTTTTTGAGATGGAGTCTCGCTCCGTCGCCCAGGCTGGAGTGCAGTGGCGCAGTCTCGGCTCACTGCAAGCTCCGCCTCCCGGGTTCACGCCATTCTCCTGCCTCAGCCTCCCAAGTAGCTGGGACTACAGGCGCCCGCCACTACGCCCGGCTAATTTTTTGTATTTTTAGTAGAGACGGGGTTTCACCGTTTTAGCCGGGATGGTCTCGATCTCCTGACCTCGTGATCCGCCCGCCTCGGCCTCCCAAAGTGCTGGGATTACAGGCGTGAGCCACCGCGCCCGGCCTGGCCTGTTCCTTTATAGGTAACTCACCCTTTGCCTGCATCTGCTGGATGGGAGGTGATTTTGGGGTGTGTGGGTGTTTATTTGCACAAAATGGTGGAGGGAGCTCTGAGAAGGGTGAGGCAGGACCTGTGCAAACACAGGAGGGAATGAAGAGGCTCCTGCCTCGATGGACAGAGCTTGGGAAGGGCTTGGGGGCCTAGGACTAGTTCCTGGTAAAGGAGGAAGGGCAAAAATCCTAAGGCAGGACTGTTCTTAATGAATTCAAGGACTGAAAGGAGACCAGGTTGGTACAAGACTAAGAGGAGGAGAGGTGTATGAGAAGATACTGGAGCGCAAAGCAGGTCCCATATCACTCAAGAACTTACAGGGCATAGCAAGGCATTAAGATTCTATTCTAAGGTCAGTGAGAAGCCATTGTATATTTTGAGTATGGGGTGGTATGATGGCCTGATTTATAGTTTAAAAAGACCACCCAGACTGTTGTATGGAGAATGGGTAGTGGGGAGGCCAGAATATAAATTGAGTGTAGTCGGTGGGGGAAAAGGAGGAATTCAAGAGGAGATGAAAGTCTGGAGCTTAAAGAAGAGGTTCAGGCTGGAAAATACAATTTGATCCAGTATTTCCTGTTAGCTCACTCCCTGTTCTTAGCCAGGCTTCCTGCGAGTAGCCTTATCCATGGTCTCTACTTCCTCACCTCCTGCAATTTAACCCTCTGTACTCTGGCCTCTGTCACTGCCACTTACTTCCCTGAAATGTCTCAGGCAAAGGGCACCTTAGGCCCTTTGTGGTTACCTAAGTCTAGGCCTTTTAGCCCTTGTCTGACTTGGTTTGCGTTCCTTCACACTGTGAGCGACTTCTGCCTTGAAAGGCCCTCCTCCTTAGCCCTTCTGTCTTTCTGGCCCGTCTGTCTTTCTGACCCATCATTCTGTGGCCCCTTTCTGGTCCCCAAGTCCTTAGGCCAGCCCTGAAATGTTAGCATTCCCCAGTCTTCTGGGTTTCCAGTTGGTCCTCCTGGCTTCCCCTGTGCCCCTCTGCATAGAATAAACCCTATCCTGCCCATTAGGCCAACACTACTTGCCTTTCCAGCTTCGTCTCAGGTGCCCCTCCTCCAAAAGCCTTCTCTGACCCCTCGGGCTGGGTAGGTGCCACTTCTCCTTTTCCATTTCTCCTGGAGCATAAAGTAGATTACCTCTGTGATAGCACTTAGCACCCTGTTGACTTGTCTCCCCAGTCTAGTAGTGCTTGAGGGATAGAGTTACAATGAAATACTGCGTGATCTAGGACAAAGATTGCTTTCTCCAGTTCAGGTGAAAGCCACACTTTATAATGAAGGTATCTATACTTGATTGTATATCCTTTAATAGTGCATTCATTTCTCACTGGGTCTGAAGGCTGGAATTCTGGTATAATATATTCTATGAACAGATTAATTTAACTAGAAATAATCAGTGTCTCAATTTTCTGAAAGGAAAAAAAAATGACTAAGAATCTGAATTGCTTCAAAAGGGCTTCTGAAGCCTTGAATTTCTTGCCTGGTAATTTGGATCTCCACTCCTACCCTCCCATCCCAAAGCCTGTTACATGTGTCTCATATTTTGTGATTCCACAGTTCTGGGTTTGACATTACAATTGCCTCCATGGTGATGAGCACTAACATTCTTGTGTGCTGAATTGTGATAGCCGTCAAAGGCAGCAAATAGACTGAATGAAAGATGAGCTTCTGCCTTTATATCCTTCTCTCCTGCTACCCAACTCATTGTGGTGAAGGAAAAAGAAAACGCGGGTGGAGACTGCACTATATGCTTAGGTATACAAATCATACATCTGGAGTTTCAGGAAGGTTTTGGGTGGTTAATGTCACTAAACTCTCATGCTTGGCTTTTTTTTTTTTTTTTTTTTTTGAGACCGAGTCTCCTTCTTCTCCTTCTGTCGCCCAGGCTGGAATGCAGTGGTGTAATATTTGGCTTACTGCAACCTCTGCCTTCCAGGTTCAAGCGATTCTCCTGCCTCAGCCTCCTGAGTAACTGGGAATACAGGTGCCTGCCACCATGCCTGGCTAATTTTTGTATTTTTAGTAGAGATAGGGTTTCGCCGTGTTGGCAAAGCTGGTCTCGAACTCATGACCTCAAGTGATCCACCTGCCTCAGCCTCCCAAAGTGCTGAGATTACAGGCATGAGCCACCGCACCTAGCCTCATGCTTGTCTTTCATATGTCTTTTTCTACTCTTGAATTTTTTCTTTTTGTCTTTCTCAGCTCCAAATTCACTCTATCATTTTTGGCAGGTGGAACAAAGAAAATATAATGTTGAATCACTTTCTTCTCAGTGGCTGTGATTTTTAGAATATTTCTTGATTTTTTTCAATGTTTAGTTTTCTGAGCCTAGCAGAGCAAAAAAGCAATGATGCCTTTGATTAAATGAAACCCTTAGCATAATTACTCAAAATCATGTGACAGATTATCCTTGTGCCTTTTTTGATATAGTGTTGGGCTGATTAATTTATCTTTAAGAAAAAACATTATAGAGTTGTTATTTACCTTTAACTAGAATGCCTCTCAAATGGAATAAGACTGCCCAAGTAAATGTAATAGCAGACTAAATTTGAGCTGTTATATTATTCTCTGAAGGTTTTGTTGTTAGCAGGGTGAGAAATGCTGGCACATAGGAGCTGCACTCTATTGATTCCCAATTATGTTTATTTCTGGTGTCCAAATAAGACATTAGGATTGCAGACTTTCAGGTAGGAAGTGACCACAGGGTTTTCCAGTATGCCCACTGGTGAGATGCCAACTCATCATCTTACGTAGGGGACACCTCTTGGTTAGCACAAGAACAGTCTTCCTCATAGGAAGCCACAATATTTGTCCTGGGACTCTTGACCCACTGGACTTCCTTAGTCTTTCCCATCATATATAACATATGCAACCCTTCAAGTACCTGAAGAAGCTTTCTTCACTTTCATCTCCCAAGTCCCTCTCTTCAGATTCTGGATCCCTGGTTTCTTCAGATGTAAACTTCCTCCTTAGTCTGCATATTGTGATCCTAATGAATTATCCTGAGGTTTTGTTAGCATTTTAATGGTTCAGTCCCTTACTAAACTTACTCCTGGCTGACACCCACTCTCATGGAACTCCCCTCTGAATGTAGGTTCTAAAACATCTATTCAATGAAGTATTTCTAGCTCAGTGATCTTACTAGCATAGTTTTACTGCTATGTTTTGTTACATTTGTTAATATTGTAATATACTTCCTCTAAAAGTAAACAAAGGCTTTTAAGCCCTAGGGTGCAGGTAAGATGCCAGTAAGGCTGTAGAATTTGATTTCCAGCTAGAGGAGACTTAACCAACTTCAGTTTGGTCTGATTATAAAAGCAAGCATTTATTGAGCCCTCATAGCATGTCACTCACTGTGCTAAGGACTGCTACATGTATCATTAACCCTGTGTTAATAGTAGTGTCATTAATAGTGGATAGTGTTATTGACCTCATTTTAATGATGAAGAAATGGAGGTTTGGAAAGGCTGGGGCATGCTCCATGTTTCACATGTCACAGTGTGACCCAGAGCAACGAGCTCCTAATGTGCCACTATGCTGCTGCTTTAATGCCTTCCTGCTGGGTAATGCTCTGTGTACAGTTCCTTTCTCTTGTACTTTGTATTTACTTCTCTGGTCTTCTTAAAATATAAATAAAAAAAAAAAGAATTGGATGACTCTTTTTAACTCACCAGGGCATCTGGAAGAGCCCTCTGCACATGGCGGGTGCTGACAGCTAAGGCTGTCCTTAGCTCTATATCTTTAGACTCAATAGAAATAGATGAAACTTCTGTGAGTTCTTCAGTCTTAGGATGACTAGGGCCACTCTAGACCTTGTAAGTGCATCTTAAACCAGTAAAAGTCTGACACATTATGGTGGGCTAGGACTCAACTGAGGGGTGTTTCCTTTAACTCGCCTTTGGACACCTGGACAGCACAGACCAAATGGGAGAAAATATGGCCGTTGTCATTAAAGTTGGACTGGCAGTCAGTTGCCTTTATTCAGTCCTGGCTCTGCCTTACATACTTACTTACCCTGGGTAACTAGGTCCCCATTTCCTCACTTGCTCTGGGAATTGGAAAGGAGAGAAAGGTGTGTGTAGGGGGGTTACTTCATATTCTTTCCCACTCCATCCGAGGCTAACACAACCCTTTGGTTTTGGAGAGTCCATTCTTGTGCTCTATTTTCTAACTCCACATGAAACCATGGCACAATAGGAAAGATGGGATGTTTGCGAGGCTGCTATGTTTCCCCTTCCCCCAGTCTCTGAGAGATTGGTAATTTGGACACCTTTATTAGTTTGAGATAAAACTGGGACTCACTGACTGAGGCTGGACTGAAGATTTAAAACATGGGGGTGCCTAGAACTTCTTGTCAATTCACAGGGTCCCAAGGGTTTAGAAGCTGATGTTATTCCTCTGGGGTCTGAGGAGAATGGCTCAGCTGTGGGACCAACTCAGGCCTATTGGGGGAACACAGGCTAGCCTTGGGAGTTTTGAATCATCAATACTTGGGAGTATTTTAGAATTATCAGATCCTGCCTGCATGTGCATCTCAATCTGAAACCCCAGAACTGCCATTCTCCTTGTGTTGATTCAAGATATAAATGATTCTGGAATTCTATAGACAGAACTTTATCTGTCAGAGTCCCAACAGGAAAAGTTGGCATTCTCAACTTAGGATAATTCCAAGAGAGTTTACTTCAAGAGGTATGGGCAGGATGTAGAGAAAACCATAAGGGATAGTGCAGGAACCAGGGTTTATAGTGATGGTGGAGCTGTTACTACCCCTAGCTCCAAAGAGACAAATGGATGAAAATGGATGAAAGTAGTTATCAGGAGCCAGAAGAGATTGTCATTATCAAGTGTCAAGAGGCTACCTTGAGAGGAGCAGTGAATTTTGGTTGAGGGATGCATACGCCACAAGTAGAATGAATTCTCAACTTTATTCCCTCCCTCGCTTCTCCCTTCCTCCCCCGATCTCTTTCTGGGACTTAGCATTGGCTAAACCCAATCAGAGGTCAAGGTCATAGGGACCTGTTGATGTGATTCATAATGATTAGCCTGCCAAGACAGAGAGCAGGGTAGAGAAAGTTGGAGTGGGCATCTGGGAAATAGTAGACTTAAGGACCCCTGTAGTTTTAGAATGGGCAGAGCTCATGTGCACGTGTGTGGCAGAAGGTGGGGAAAAAAGGATGAGATGAGCATTTCTTGAGCATCACCATGTGCTAGGGACTTTCTTGTGACATCACCTTTTGGGGCAAGTAGTATTATTTCCATGTTATAGATGTGGAAAACTTGAGCTCAGATCTCTTGGCCCTAAGTCAACTCAGTCCTGGTGATCCCCGTGGTGACAGGTAGTATTTGGATATTTCTCTTATCTTACTTTCTCTGTGGCCCATTCCAGAAAGCCGCATTTCATACATAGTATTGCTGGGAGAACAGTGAGGACTGTAACAGAGCTGCCATGTATTTTTTTTTTTTTTTTTTTTTTTTTTTTTTTTTTTTTACTTTATGAACTTGAGGAGAAGGGAAAAGAAGAGGAAAAAAACTCAACTTGGCATGAGTGATGTTAAGTGAGATCAAATAAGGTGAAAAGCAAAATAGACTCCAGAAATTTAGTTTTGCTTTTACCCAAAGTTCATGGGCAGTTGCTGAACAAAGTCCTTTTTGCTTTCCACAAATGTTAGGCACTTTTAATAACATGAATCTCATTATCTTTACTTTTTGGTTGTTTATGAACTTAAATAGCATTATAAAGGACAACCAACTGAACGAGAAGATCAAACTGTGTGTGTCACCTTTTACTATTTCATTTCTTGCGAATGTACAAATTCTTACACTTGTAATGAGTTAGTTATTTTGGCTCCTGATAATTTTTTTTTTTTTTTGAGACGGAGTCTCGTTGTGTCGCCCAGGCTGGAGTGCAGTGGCGCAATCTCGGCTCACTGCAAGCTCCGCCTCCCGGGTTCAGGCCATTCTCCTGCCTCAGCCTCCTGAGTAGCTGGGACTACAGGTGCCCGCTACCACGCCTGGCTAACTTTTTTGTATTTTTAGTAGAGATGGGGTTTCACCATGTTAGCCAGGATGGTCTCGATCTCCCGCCTCGACCTCCCCAAAGTGCTGGGATTACAGGCGTGAGCCACCGCGCCTGGCTGGCTCCTGATAAATTTATTATAAAAGTATTGTACAGCCAACAGTGAAATAGAAAGTTTAAATTTTTTAAAAAGGGAATTCTAATACTCTAGAAAATTCTTGGATTTTCTTTTTTCCTACTTTTTGATCACATGCATGCATAATTTTATATGGCTAGAATTATACAAGTTTGTATTGTTCCCATGTCATTGTAAGCATTTTTCCATGTTGCTATGTAACCTGCATAATTATATATGATAGTTTCTCAGTTTACCTTAAATATTGTCTTATTATATATTTTTAATTTTTTATGCCTTGCTGCATTCTATGAAAAGGATTGCATTCTACTGAAGTGTTTTATGTATTATTTTTCTTTATAAATATTGTTTATTTGCATCTCAGGCAACTAGTTTCCCCACCCCTCCCTCTTTTGTTCTTCTGGAAGAAGAAATGGAATTATTTCTTTAGGATAATTTTGGGAGTGGAATGAGCAACTCTGAAGCTACATCAAGGAACTGGAAATATAGTAGTTTGAGGGATAGCTGAGAGAAGAGTACAATTGAAATAAGTCATTAATACAGAGTTTTTACTTAAAATATTAATGTGGGCTGGGCGCAGGGGCTCATGCCTATGTATAATCCCAGCGCTTTGGGAGGCCGAGGCGCATGGATCACTTGAGGTCAGGAGTTCAAGACCAGTCTGGCCAACATGTTGAAAACCTATCTCTACCAAAAAATATAAAAATTAGCCAGGTGTGATGGCACATGCGTATGGTCTGGCTGAGGTGGGAGGATCGCCTGAACCCAGGAGGCAGAGATTACAGTGAGCAGAGATTGTGTCACTGCACTCCAGCCTAGGCAACAGAGCAAGACTCCATCTCAAAAAATCAATCAATAAATAATGTGGATTTTTATTAAATCTTAGGTTTTAAAAACTATTGCTAAGGCTGGGCACAGTGGCTCATGCCTGTAATCCCAGCACTTTGGGAGGCTGAGGTGGATGGATCACTTGAGGTCAGGAGTTCGAGACTAGCCTGGCCAACATGTTGAAACTCCATCTCTACTAAAAATACAAAAATTACCCAGGTGTGGTGGGGGGGTGCCTGTAATCCCAGCTACTCGGGAGGCTGAGGCAGGAGAATCACTTGAACTCAGGAGGCAGGGGTTGCAGTTAGCCGAGATCATATCGCTGTACTTCAGCCTGGGAGACAGAGTGGGACTCCATCTCAAAACAGCAACAACAACAAACTATTACTAAATGAGAACTTAGACATCATTTACTCATAAGTTTAAGGTATGACATCATTTACATACAAAATTTAGCTGTTAATTCTAAATTGTTAAGTTTTAAAAATTTTGTTGTCAGCTAAATTGAATGTAGCATAATTCTAAACAAATCTTGGATTAATGTCATTGACCCCAAGCATCCTCTAGCCCTGGAATATTAGCATTGGCCTGTTAGTCCCCTGAGCTACTACTCCCTGGGAGGTGGTCATCCTTTCTTAACTCATTCTTTCCAGCCCTGGGGAGCCTCGGAACTTTTGTCTATTCACTTCTTTACAAAGCTGTAGCCTTCTGGCCAGAAGGGGCTTCCTTGAATGGTGCCCATGTCCTTCCACTTGCCTTTGATTGTCTGGAGTTGTGCTTTCTGGAAAAACAGGCAGGTTTCTTCCATTAGGCAAGAAACATCAGAAAATTAGAGATCTGTTCTGGTTTTCACTCTCTGTATCCTTAGCTCCTGGCATGGTGCCTGGCACATAGCAGATGCTCAAAAACACATTTGTAGAATGAAATGTCTTGAGACAATCTTTCAGATGTGTGAATATGACCATGATGTCCCCACATTGTCACCTCTTCTTCAGGTTTAAGATCCTTCAGTTCAGCCATTCTTTTCGATAGAATTTCCAGATCCCTTTCCCTCCTTGTTTCTCACCAAACTGTGTGACCACAGTTCACTGTCAGTCACTTAGAATGTGTGACCAGACTTATAGCTAGTTCTCTAGAAGTGGTCTGATTTGTAGCAGTATACTCAAGTGTGCCTTACTTTTTTTTTTCTTTAGCAAATCTCTGGTTGTTTATATTCTTTTACGTGATCAGCTGTCAAGCCTGGTCTCTTCCAAGAGGTGCTTTTGCAATTGTTTCCTTCTAGTTTAGTGTTACTTGGGATTTGATGAGGGTTCTTCAATATCCTTATGTGACTCATCAGTAAAAATGAGGAACAGGAGGGGCCCAAGGAAGAGTTTTGTGGAAACCTCCTTCCAAACTGACAATAATCCTCTAAATCCATGCTTTTCAAACTGTGATGTGCATACAAATTACCTGGGAATTTGGTTAAAATGCAGATTCTGATTCAGAAAGTCTGGGTGAGGCAGAGCTTCTGCCTTTGTAACAAGTTTTCTCTAAGCTTGTGCTGATGTTGTGGGTCTCCCTGATCATCTTTTGAGTAGCAGGGCACAGTTCTTGGGGAAAGTTGTTCATGAAAGCAAATCCTTTGGTATTTGGGTAGCTGTGCTGTACCCATCAGAGCCCCCAGCAGATACTATCTGATGCCGGTATTTGACACCCTATAATCAAACGTGCGTCTCCCATCTCACTAGGTAGATGAAGAAAACAACAGCAGGGCTGTCTTGCCAGCTTCCAAATGGTGGCACACCTCTGTGTATGTTCAATTGGACCTTTTATTCTAGCCAGACAAGCTGTTACCCAACATACTTAGTATCTTTTCAAGTTTCTTGTCATCTGGACATCTGATAAAGTGGTTGTGTATACTGTTTTTTTGAGTTATTAATCTGAGATACTCTCACATACCAGAAAGTTACAGAAAAGAGACAGTCAACAGTTTTTTAAGCATTGGCTAGAAAGTACAGTGTTACTGATAAAATTCTTTTATAAGAAATGTTATGGAGCATCCAATTTTTTTCTTACTCTATTGGAATTTGGATAAAATGGATGCACTGTTGAAATTACATTCCTAAACTGAAAGGTACTCATGCAAAGGGCAGCTTTTGAATCGTAGATGAGCAAGTGAGTTCTGTAGAAACACAGAGTAGAGAGTTCGTGATCACCTGAACTCCCTTTTCTCCAAGTTTTTAATCTTTTAGCTTAGGGGAGAGGTGCTTTTCTCTTGCCCTTTGTACATGGCAAACAGCACTGTGACCCATACTTTTTTGGTCATTTCAAAAAAAAATTACTATTAAGCATTGGTTAGAAAGTAAAGAAGTTTAGACAACAAAGCATTTGCACTTGTTTATTTTGTAGAGCTCATTGTGACCTGGTCAGTGGGACAGGACAGTTCTGTATACTGTTGATTAATATGTTCAGATAATTCTGGTTCCTAAATATTAGAGACAGTGTCTTCCTAATGTGTCACAAAAGTTGAATCCTGTAACTAGACATTAAATTCAAAAGTCCCAATCGGAGGATAAAGACAACAGCAAAAAACCCCAAAGCTTTGACACTGACAATTCAGCTGCTCTATTTTCATAAAAAATAAGCAATAATGCCAATATTCAATCCAGATTGAAAATGAAATGACTTGGATGTATTAATAGTAATTGAATTATAGAACTCTTTTTTTTTTTTTTTTTTTTTTTTAAAGATGAGGTCTTGCTGTGTTCCCCAGGCTGGTGTTGAACTCTCCTGGCTCAAGCGGTTCTCCAGCCTCAGCCTCCTAAATAGCTGGGATTACAGGTGCACGCCACCTTGCCAGGCTTGAATGATAGAACTTAAAAACAACTAGAGTGCCATTAACTTACCCCTAAATAACAATAGTTCTTTAATATCATCTAATACTCAGTCTATATTTAAATTTCCCTGATTGCTCAAAAATGCATTTTTTTTAGATTCATGCTTTACTTTTAATTGATGGCCCATACAAAAACTTTTGTAGGTTTTGAATATATACATATATAAACTTATATCTGTGTGTGTATACATATGCATACACAAACACGTGTGTCATACATGTATGTGTGTATACGTATACACACATATATTCCAAACCCACAAAATATATAGTATATATATATTCTTGTCCATCAATCTTTTATTTATGTAACCACAGCTTTCATATGGTACTTATGCTCTGTGCTTGCTGAATTATTAACAAAGAAGAGTGTAGTCATTTCTATCATAATTACTGCGTCTTCGTTAGAAGAGATTTAAAAAGTTGATGCAGCCACCCTTTCCAATCCTGTACTAACATGGTGTTAGCATCTTCTTAGAGATGCTGCCGTAATCCTAATTCTGCAACATTTGTGTCATTTTGAATTTGCCTTTCTCTGGCAGCATTTCTCATCTACTTCCACATATTTTTAAGATTTGTTGTGACTTCTGTTCTCTGATCTTCTCTTTCTATATGGATTACTGACCTTGAATTTATGCAGCTTCTCTTTCGGTTGTGGAAAGAACACTGCATGGGGGAAAAAGTCTGAGTTCACATCTCAGCTCCGTGTGGGGAAAAATGTCTGGATTCAAATCTCAGCTCCATCACTTACTAGCTGTATGACCTGAGGCAATGTATTTAACTTCCCCAATTACTTTGTAATTGAGCAACATATTTACTTCCCTTTCAGTGGGCTTCATCAAACAATACCACATATTGCTTAAAATATCCTAAAGCTCCCCAAAGTTGTAGGCAGGGAGGAAGCAAATTATTGGGTCACTGTTTATTGTCCCAAACTACAAGTTAGCATTGCCTAAGGAGCCAGGTTGGGAGGCCCCCAGATGAAGAAAGTGGGAGAGGAGATGGTAACTAATTAACTGAGTCCCTGTAGCCACTTTTCCACATGATCATTTAGACCTTGAAGCTGTCCTGGAGATTTTATGATTTAAGAAACTGGCTCTGCCATCGTAGCCAAATGGTTAAGATCAGTAGCTTGGGTTGAAATACCTGCCTTCCTACTGCATACTAGTAGCTGTATGACCTAAGGCAGGTCCCTTCACCTCTCTGCATCTGTTTTCTCATCAGACACAGAGATAACTCAGATTCTGCTTCATACAATGTTTGTGAGGATTAAATGAAACAAGTGACCAGATGCAGTAACATGTGCCTATTGTCCCAGCTACTTGGGAGGCTGGGGTGGGAGGATCGCTTTAGCCCAGGAGTTAGGGCTGTAGTACGCTATGCCAGTCGGGTGTCCACACTGAGTTTGGCATCAATATGGTGACCTCCTGGGAGCAGGGAACCCCCAGGTTGCCTAAGGAGGAGTGAACCTGTCTAGGTCAGAAACAAAGAAGGTCAAAACTCTCATGCAGATCAGTAGTGGGATTGTGCCTGTGAATAGCCACTGTACTCCAGCCTGAGCAACAGAGTGAGACCCTGTCTCTAAGAGAAATAAAATCTATTCTGTTGTACTGGCAAAATAAATAAATAAATAGTAAGAAATGTGTGAGGTTTCAAGCATAGTACCTGGCACATAATCAGCATTCAATAACACAAACTGTTACTCATCTTTTACTTCTCTTTAGAGCTAGTCTTTTTAAAGGAAGACTGTGGAGTTCTAGTGACTTTTAATAAAATTCATAGTAGTGACTACAGACTAAGCAGATTTTCTAACAACCATAATGGAACTTTGTCAAACATGAATGCTTTCCTTTCAAATTGGTTATCTTGAAAGCCTCTTATTTTAATGTTGCCCCAATGTTTGGCGTTATTATTAGTTTTTAGTTTCTAGGTTTCTTTTTGTTGAAACTACAACTAGGATAGAAGTGCATACTTACATAATTCAAATTAGTTATTTCCATGTTTTCAGCAATCTTTTATTGACCACCTACTATTTGTCAGGCTTCCGCTAGGCACTTGGAATATGGCCATGAACCAAGTAAGACAGGATCATTTCTCGGTGGCATTTGTAATCTAGGGGCCAGAGAGCTTTCATTGGCACCTTGGATTATGTTAAAAAAAAAAAAGTGACAGTCTTAAATAACATTGTTAAAGCTGCTGAAAGGAAATGGACAAATTTTCAAATGTTTGGTAGACATAGCCAAACGTTTTATTAGTACAATAAGATTGCATCCTTGGCATGTTACCTAAAAGGAAGACAGATGCCTTCGTTATGAATAAAATGAGATGTACTGAGGGAGACACTACTCTGTAACCAGTGCAATAATGTAACTAGCACTTTAAATTCAAATTTGGAGTAAAACAAGGAGCACCGTTATTTTTCTCTGTTTGACTGTGACTTTGGAACCACTCATTCATGAACTAGAAATGGGAGGCATAGTTACATTAAACAACACACCTGACAAAGTTATTTACCAATGACCTGGTAATTATTGAAAATGGTTATATATTCAAGAATATTTGTGCTGAGTGCTGTGGCTCATGCCTGTAATCCCAGCACTTTGGGAGGCTGAGGCAGGGGGATTGCTTGAGCCCAGGAGTTGAGACCAGCCTGGGCAACAAAGTGAGACCCTGTCTCCCTGTCTCTACAAAAAAATAAAAAAAAATTAACTGGACATGACATGAATGCCTATAGTCCCAGCTATTTGAGAGGCTGAGGTGGGAGTATCACTTGGGCCCAAGAGGTTGAGGTTGCCGTGGAAGCCATGATTGCGCCACTGCATTCCGGACTGAGTGACAGTGAGACCCTGTCTCAAAAAAAGAAAAAACTATTTGTTAGATTCCATTAATTAGCATGTCTAAAACTGGCTGATTCTTCTAAAAAGTTTCTAAATATATGTCTATTCAATGTAACATCTAAGTATTAAATAATTGCAAAACACATACAATTAAATGAATGAAATTATAGAGTCCTGAAATTCAAAGTCACTTTAGAGATAATTTAGGATACCCACCCTTATAGTATGAAAATGCCTGCAGCTATTTTCCAACACCTCTAGTGATGGAGAATGACTAACTATAGACCAGGGGTCATAGACATATAATATAAAGGTAGGAATTTGTTAGTTATAAGACAAGAGTGGTAGTTACATATATGGCAAACTTTTGGGCCCTATTTGTCATAAAATTTTTTTCAAAATATCATTCTGGCTAGCTAAGATTTGTCTTCTGCAGGCTGGTTTCTGCCTGTGCACCACCAGTGTGTTGCCCTTCAAGTAAATTTTGGCATTGCCTAGGGAAACATCTCAAGATCTTTTCATTTTCTAAATTTGTAATAAACATTATAGAATATAATTTTTAACCATGTATTCATTTAGCAGATATTTATTAAGTGACTACTGTGTGCCTGTAACTTTTCTAGGCAAAAGGGATGGTAGTATTCAGCAAAAAGTCACTACCACCATGGAGATTTCAAATTCATGAATGAGTGGCTCTAAAGTCAAAGGCTGGGAACGGTGGCTCACACCTGTAATTCCACCACTTTGGGATGCCAAGGTGGGTGGATTGCTTGAGGCCATGAGTTCAAGACCAGCCTGGGCAACATGGCAAAACCCTATCTGTGCAAAAAATACAAAAATTAGCCAGGTGTGGTGGCATGTGCCTATAGTCCTGGAAGGCTAAAGTGGGGAGGATCGCTTGAGCCCAGAAGGTGGAGGTTGCAGTGAGCTGAGATTGTGCTACTACACTTCAGCCTGGGCAGTAGGGTGAGACCCTGTCTCAAAAATAAATAAATAATAAAATGAAGTCCTTGCTTTACTCCAAATTTGATTTTAAAGGGCTGGTTATATCATCACAGTGCATATAGAGTGGTGTCTTTCTTAATACATCCCATGATATTTTATATTTTACACATGAGAGTATATTATCTATTGCTACATAATAAATGACTCAAAGTAGCATCTTAAAACAACAAATACCTGTTATGTAACAGAAATGGGTTGAGAATCTGAGCAGGGCTTAATGGGTACCTCTGGCTCACAGTCTCTCATGAGATTGCAGTCATGCTGTAGGTTGGAGTTGCAGTCTCATCTAAAGGATTGATTCAGGACAGGGATGGCCCCACTACCAAGCTTACTCACATGGTTGTTGCTAGGCCTCAGTCTCTCACCATAAGTACCCATCTATAGGGATGCCTCATGACTTGGTGTATTGGCTTCCCCTCGGGGCATGATCCAAGAGAAAGTAAGAAACAGAACCCAGGATGGAAGTCATGGTCTTTATATGACTTAATCTTGGAAGTGACATTTCATCATATCTGCTGTATTTGTTAGAAATGAGTCAGTAAGTCTGGCCTACACTCAAGGAGATGAGGTTTCACAAAAGCATGAATACCAGGACGCAGAGATCATTAGGGGCCATCTTAGAGCCTGCCTAACACAGAAGGTAAGACATATTATAAATAAATATAATGTGTCAAATGGTAATACATGCTGTAAAGAAAAAATAGAGCAGAATAAGGGAATAGAGAATGATAGAATGGGAGTCTGACTGCTACTTGGGGTGGTGTAGTCAGGGGAGGCCTCTCTAAACAGTAATATTTAAGCAGAGTTCTGAGGAAGATAAAGGGAACAGGTGTGGATTCCTGGGATAAATGATTGATTCCTGTTATTCAAATCAGAATGAATAGTAAGTCAAAGGCCTCAAGTCAGCAGCATGTTTGAGGAATAGCACAGAGTTCACGTGTATTAGTCTATTCTTATACTGCTATAAAGATACTACCTGAGACTGGGTAATTTATTAACAAAAGCAGTTTAATTCACAGTTCCACATGACTGATGAGGCCTCAACTTACAGTCATGGTGGAAGGGGAAGCCAGGCACTATCTTCACAAGGTGGCAGGAGAGAGAGAGAGCTCAGGGGAAACTGCCACTTTTAAATAATCAGGTATCGTGAGAGAACTCCCTCACTATCATGAGAACAGCATGGAGAAACCACCCCCATATCCAATCACCTCCCACCAGGTCCCTCCTTTGACATGTGGGAATTACAATTTGAGAGGAGATTTGGGTGGGGACACAGAGCAAAACTCTGTGATTACCAGAGATGTGGAGTAATCAAGGGGAGAAGAGAAGAGATGAGGTTATAGAGTAATGGGAGTGGGGAAGATAGATCATGCAGGGCTTTTAGCCCATGGAAAGGATTTTTGTTTGTACTCTGAAATGGGAAGCCATTGGAGGGTTTTGAGCAGAGATAAGAAAAGAATAGAGAGAAGGAAAGAGTAGCAACATTCCAAGAGTTCTCATATAAGAATTACAAGGAATCTTGACTATAATAAGTATGACTTACAGAAGACTTTTCGACAGCAGCAATCAAGGCTGAAAGACGATGGAACAAAGTGCTTTGAGGAAAAAACTGTCAACTGAGAATAAACTGCCATGCAAGAGTGTGATATCAAGTTAAACTATCAGTAGATCTCAAGTTAACTATAATTCAAGAGTGTGAGTGAAATGGCTTTTTTCAAAGACTGAAGTTTATCATTCACTGACCATTGCTAAAAAACCCCTTAGGAAGTACAAAAAATGAATGCAGAAGGAAGGATTAGGAGTCAGGCAGCAATGATACAATTCATAAACTTGACAGTAGCCATCTTTCTGAAAGTATTTTTAATGTTTTCAATAATAAGTGGCTAATTTTGGGTAATGGGAATGAGTAAGCGTGCTTTCTATTTGTCTTTATAATTTTTTGCATTTTTAATTGAAAAGAGACTTTACAAGTATTCAAGAAAGTGCATTCTCAACAGTGACTACTACTCTGATGCTATTATAATGTTTCTCATCCTTGTCAATATAAGAACTCTTCGCTGATAGTTTAAAATGATAATAGCATTTATTGATCATTTACTCTGTACTAGGCATACTATGCTAAACCTTTTGTATGTATCATCTCATTTAATCCTTAATAGTTCTGTGTGAAAGGCACTATTGCTATTTCTCTTTTACAAATGAAGAAACTGATGCTATGAAAGTTGAGTAACTCTGTGATAACACTAGTTATTAAGTAGCACAGCCAAGATAACACCAGCTAGTGAACAGCACGGCTAAAACAAGAACCTGGGAAGTTTTGACCCTATAATTCATGCTTCTAACTGCTACACTGTTTTCTCCCTTCTTCTACCCAGTTTTGATTACTTTATTTTGATAAATGGTATCAGTTTATTGATACAGTAAATTAAACTGGACTTCTCTTGAAAATAATTTGACAATGATGCCTTGCTGCATTTACTATTACAGAATTTTATAAACAAAAGAGATTTTAATGAACTAGTTCAGCTCCCTCATTTTATAAACAGGGAAACAGAGGCTCAAACAAGTTAACTGACATGTCGAAGGCCACACAGGTGATAGCAGCAACATTTAGAAGATGGGCTTCCTAACACCAACATTAGTATTATTTCCTCTGGAATCTGAATATTTAGCCTTAAAAAAGTTCAGGGTTCTATTGAAATGGCTTCAGTAAGTAAATGATTTGTCCAGAGATGCTTATTCTGTAAGTTGGCATTCATATACCAATATTGATGTAAATGCCTTCCATGGAGAAGAGTGGCAGACAGAACCCTTCACCTCAAGTAATTTACAGTTTAGTGAGGATATAGAGGAATAAAAAGAAATTATAGTTTAGCATGTTAGGTTCCATGAGAGGGATAAAACAGAATGGCAAGCAGAAGGATCATCGACCCAGTATTTGCAGTGGGGAGATGCAAGGGTAGTTAGAGAAAGCTTCTTAGAGAAAGAAGTGTTTACGCTGAAACCTGAAGGACCAGTAAGAGTGTACGAAGTCAAGGGATGGGAGAGGAAGTATATGGAGGAAGAAAGGTGTACCAGATAGTAAGGGGAAAAACTATGAGGCAAGTGAATGCTTGTATCTAGGACCCTAAAGTAATGAAGCATAGCTAGTGAGAGCATGCTGTGTAGGGGGTAGGATGGAGCTTAGGAGAGAGGGGTGGTTAGTTTGGTGGAGGATGAGGCTGGAGAGGTGATAAAGGCTTAGATCCAGATCATAACATCCCTAGATTTGATGCTGAGGGTTTGATGAAGGGCTCCCGAAAACTTTCCAGGATGAGAGCAATCAATCAGATTTTTAGTGAGAAAGATTAAACCTGGAACAGTAAGGAAAATGATTGCAGAGAGCTTCAAGGCTGGGGTCTTGATGAGAAAGGCTAGTCCTTTGAGAAAATATGTAACTGTAGGGACCAACAGACAGATTGAAGATTTAGGAAGTGGAGAACTGGCCATTGTTGGATACTGGTGAAAGGTGAGGGGTTGGGCACTTGGGTATACACTGAGATGGGCAACATAGGGAGTGGGTCAGGCCTAAGGGAGATGATGATTCTGGTTTGGGACATGTTGAACCTAGGAGGTAGTGGGCCATCCAAGAGGAGATACCTAATGGGCAGCTTGCTCTGTGGTGAGAGAAAGCTGGCTTTGGGGATAGTTGGCATGTAAGATGGGACTTGAAGCAATTGGAGAATAGAAGATCAGCAAGGAAAGTGAGTGGCCTGAGAAGAGGAGAGAGTCTAGGATAGCATGCTGCTTGGCACCTTGTAAGTACCCAAATGTTTATAAATGCATTTATTTGGTAAACAGCTGTATTCCTTCTTAAGTAATTAGGTAATAGGCGTTCCTTATTTGGTAATTGAAACATTATGAAGCAAGTGCAATTTTCTCATTACTCTGGGGACGCTAACTCATTCTATCACAAAGGTTTGAGAAAAAGACATTTTTGTTTAATAGCCTTTCCTTTTTTCTTTTTTAAAATTACATAAATAATACACAATGCATATATATTAATACTTGTACCCTCCAAAAGATACAGAAGTACAGAGAGTAAAAAGGTTTTCTCTTCTCTCCTCATCTTCTCTCCACTCAAGACCTTTTGAAAGTAATTATCCATTACTGTTCCTAAGAGGAGCTGGGTTCTGGACAGTCTAGGTTGGAGACTGGAGAGTGTGATCCTCATGTTTGTCTTTGACTCACAGTGACCATAGATAAAAGTGATTTTTTTTTTTTTTAGATGGAGACTCGTTCTGTCGCCCAGGCTGGAGTGCAGTGGTGCGATCTCGGCTCACTGCAAGCTCCGCCTCCCAGGTTCACATCATTCTACTGCCTCAGCCTCCTGAGTAGCTGGGATACAGGCGCATGCCACCATGCCTGGCTAATTTTTTGTATTTTTAGTAGAGACAGGGTTTCACTGTGTTAGCCAGGATGGTCTCGATCTCCTGACCTCGTGATCTGCCCGCCTCAGCCTTCTAAAGTGCTGGGATTACAGGCGTGAGCTACCACACCTGGCCCGATAAAAGTGATGTTAATGTTCAGTGACTGTCTCCCCAGGAGATGCATTTGCTTTTGCCCTTAGTGGTGTGTGACCTTGTTTTTATAGGAAGTCATTCAACTGCATAGTTAGTGGAGAGCTGAAACCCTGCATTATGGACTTTGGGAAGCTCTACCACAGCTGGACAGATGTGGAGGAGAGGGCTCTCATTTCCAGGGTATAGAAAATCACTGGCATGTGAATGCACACACACATGCACCCTGATGGCGATGTCTAAAGAGTTTTGAGGCCGGGCATGGTGGCTCACACCTGTAATACTAGTACTTTGGAAGGCCAAGGCGAGTGTATCACCTGAGCTCAGGAGTTCAAGACCAGCCTGGGCAACATAACAAAAACCCTGTTTCTACTAAAAATACAAAATTAGCTGGGCATGGTGGGGTATGCCTGTAATGTCAGCTACTTGGGAGGCTGAGGCATAAGAATGGCTTGAACCCAGGAGACGGAGGTTGCAGTGAGCCAAGATCATGCCACTGCACTCCAGCCTGGGCGACAGAGCAAGACCCTGTCTCCAAAAAATGAATAAATAAATAAAACAATAAAGAGTTGTGAAAGCCTTTGGTTATGCAGTGAATTTTTAGTGTTATTACGTGTACCAGTCTCTAGCTGATCAAAATAATTATCTTTAGGAAATGTTAGAAACAGACATGAGATGTCATGTATTTTATTAGATTCCTTGTTTGCCCAGTTCAATTTCATGCAACGTACCTGGGTTTTAGACTTGATATTTGGCCACCATTTAAAGGTGGACTTCATTAGAGGCATCGAAAGATGAATCGTGGGCTGGGTGCGGTGGCTTACGCCTGTAATCCCAGCACTTTGGGAGGCCGAGATGGATAGATCACAAGGTCAGGAGTTCGAGAACAGCCCGCCCAACATGGTGAAACCCTGTCTCTACTAAAATTACAAAAAATTAGCCAGGTGTAATGGGGCATGCCTGTAATCCCAACTACTCAGGAGGCTGAGGCAGGAGAGTCGCTTGAACCCTGGAGGCGAATGTTGCAGTGAGCCAAGATAGCGCCGCTGTTCTCCAGCCTGGTGACAAAGCTAGACTTCGCAAAAAAAAAAAAAAAAAAAGATGAATTGTGTCTAATGGACCTCTAAGACATTACTTCTCCAGTGTTAAATACGCATAAAAATATGTGGTTGAGGAAGATTGTTACTTGGTAGAGAAGATGAGAAGTTAAGTGATTGCCTTTGGCATTTGCAGCATACCACAGGATCTAGAATTTAAATGAAAAATTAGTCTCGAGCTCAAGCACTGAAAGGGTACTTAATATTTTTTTGACAGCTTGCTGATATATTTATTTTCTGGTCTTCTTCATCTTGGGGTAAATGACATCTTCATGGACTTAGTTGTTAAAGTCAGGAACCTGGGAGTCATCCTAACAACTCTGTCCCTCATGCCCAATCCACAAGAAGGACTACCGATTCTACCTGTAACACATAGGGAATCCATCTTCCCTGCCAGCACCCTAATGTGGGCCACTGTCATCATAGCCCAGGACTTCTGCAATAGCCTTCTGCCTTCTCTCTCAGCTGCTACTCACTCCCATCCACTCTACATTTCAGCCAAAGTGATCTTTTTGGAAACATAAGTCAATTATGTTACTCCCCTGCTTAAAACTTTTAAATGGCTTCCCATTGCACTTAGGATAAAATGTTTAAACACCCATCACTGTTTGCAAGGTGATATGTGACATGGCTGTGGACTAATTAACCTCATGTTGTGCTCGCCTCCATTCACCACCATCCTTCCAGTTCCTGGAGGAAGTCATCCTTTTATTTGAACCTAACTTTCTCTGTAAGCATCAAAATTTAATTACCATCTATGGTTCTTCCGCAAGTAAGAAAGATTTTATGTCTGCTACTCTTTCCTACTCCCAGCTATTTTTCAAAGTTTTTCATTAATTTTCTACATTATATCTTTTTTCTTTCAATAATTCTTATTAGCAATTGCACTTCACCTAATGTGTATTTTATCGATAATTGTGGAGTAGAGCTTTAAACCTATTTCTTTGTTCAGCACTGCTTCTTGTATCCCAAGTCATCTTTTATTTCTTGGATTCAAATTTAATTTGCTACAGTACACCTTTGAGTCTCTTCCTACTTACCCCCAGAGTACACAGTGGTGAACTTCATGGAGCAGTTGTATATACCCAAATAACTTTATTTTGCCTTCATACTTAAGTAACAGTTTTAGGGATATATGAGAGTCTATGCTTAAAATTATTTTTCCTTTTAAACTTTGTAGAAATTGCTTCATTTGTGTTTTAGCATCCGAAATTGCAGATGAGAAGTCTGGTGCAAATACAATTTTCCTTTTGTTACAGTTAGCATGCTTCCTAACTGTAGCATGTTCCTAGATTTCAACTTTATTTTGTAATTTAAAAATTTCACCAAGTTACATTTACTTTTTTTCAATATTGTTATACATCATGTAAACTTGGCAGACCCTTTCAACCTAATGCTCAGATCTCTTTAACTCAGATCTGTTTGGTCCTATTATTTCTTTGGTAATTTCTTTTCCTCTGTCCTCTCCTTTAAAAAAAAAAAGGGTTAGACATATTGGATCATCTAGATTTATCCTCCTTTCCCCTCTCATTTCCCATTTCTTGGTTTGGGAGAATTCATCAGTTTGATCTTCTAAATCACTACTTTTGTCTTTGGTTATGCCCCTTTTGCTATTCAGACCTCTGTTGAAGGATTAAGAAATTTTTTTGGCCTGGTGCAGTGGCTCACGCCTATAATCCCAGCGCTTTGGGAGGCCGAGGTGGTTGGATCACTTGAGGTCAGGAGTTTGAGACCAGCCTGGCCAACATGGTGAAACCCCGTCTCTACTAAAAAAAACAAAAAACAAAAAAACAGAAAAACATAGCTTTGTTTTTTTATTCCCCACTAATAACTTTTTAGTATTGTTCCTCTCCCTTAGTATCTCCATAGATCTTTGAAATGGTATCTTAATAGATCTTTCAGAGAATACTACAATTATTTTCTGCTTCCTTTGCTGTTTTTATTTGTTATTACTTAAGGGCACATTAAATTATCTGGAGAATATTTAAATACAAATGCCTAGATCCCTCTTCCCTCTATAAATACTGATTCAGTTGCATTGCGGTGGGGCCCAGGCAATTGGTATTTCTAAAAAGCTCAGCAGATGATTCTGATGTGCATCCAGGATTGAGAACTCTTTGTGTGATCCGAGTGGTAACTGTAGTGGGTTCTCTCAGCACAAGTGGGAATTATTCTTCCAGAAGTAAATTCAGAGTACAGGAGTGCTGGTCCTGCTAAGTACCAGGGATATACGTCCAGGGATTCAGTCAGCTGCCTTCTGGGTGGGTGTGTGCATTGTCATTTGTGGTGCTGTTTCTTCATTCTGTAGTCCCAGCGCCTGTGTGGGTGGTTCCCCCACAGCTGATCCTCCACTTTATTACAGAGAGCTGTTCTCACACCTTAGCCTTTCTGAGAACACTGGAGGATGCAGCTGTTCCATAGGCCTCTAATTATTCTCCTGACAGTCCTGGGCTCACTTCTACTTCTACATCCAGCTTCACTTATCTCTGAATTTGAGTTTGTTCCCCCCTAGGGTTCTATGGTTATATTCACAGTTTTAGAGTTTCCTTCTTTTGCTTGGTTCAAATTGAAATTTCCTTTACGTCTTAGTATTGCTGTCATTCAGTCAGTCCTGATGGCATTTCCCCTCCCTTTGGCCCAGAAGTCCTCATGCTATTCTGATGGTGTCTTTCCTGTTTATCCTGTGCTGCTGTGAACTTATTACTCTTGTATTTTTATAATATATATTCTTTTAATAAGTAGTCTTTTATATTGGTCATTTTAAGAGAGGGGAGAAGTACATTCTAAGTTAATCATTATTTATGATGAACAAGAAGTCCTCAAATACTTTTTGGTTACTTCTGAAAAGTATCAGACATTCAAGGAATTTAGCTGTCTATTTACAGAAGAGGAACTTGAGGTGGTTTAACCAGATGAAAAACTACTTCATTCTGTTAGTTAAAAAAAAAATGCATTTAAAGTTGTAAGATACTGTTTTTCATGTATCAAATTAGTGAAGTGTGTTTTTGTGTGTATGTGTGGAGCGGGGGTTGTGGTGGGGAGTATATAAGGGGTGAGGATTATATATGAGAAAGAGAATTTAATGCTAACAAGGATGTAAAAGTATAGACATTCTTATATACTTCTTGTGGAATGCAAAGTTGTACAATACTCAGTGCAGTTTGGCAATATGGGCCTTTAAAACTTTCATACTCGTTGACCCAGGATTCAAATTCTGGCAGTCCATCCCAAGGAAGTAATCATGGGTGAAGACAATAGTTTATTTACAAAGATGTTATAAAATAAACAGTCTGGGTGCAGTGGCTCACGTCTGGAATCCCAGAACTTTGAGAGGCCGAGGTGGGCAAATCACGAGGTCAGGAGATTGAGGCCATCCTGGCTAGCACGGTGAAACCCTGTCTGTCTCTACTAGAAATACAAAAAAATTAGCCGGGCGTGGTGGCGGGCACCTGTAGTCCCAGCTACTCAGGAGGCTGAGGCAGGAGAATGGCATGAACCCGGGAGGCAGAGCTTGCAGTGAGCCCAGATCATGCCACTGCACTCCAGCCTGGGTGACAGAGGGAGACTCCGTCTCAAAACAAAAACAAAAAAAAACTGTGCAGAGAAAAGTAAAAATTAGCAGCAGTGATTGTTTCTATGATTTGAATTATGTGAATTTTTTCCTCTATAGTCTTATACTCTTCTGTATTTTCCATATATCTACAATAAGTATATTCAGGAAAATATTGGCATTATTTTCTAAATTGCCAAGCTGTTCCACAAAGAAATATGAATGGCCGCTAATCACATGAAAAGATTTAACCTCAGTAGTAATAAAAGATGCAAAGAATGCTCAATAACATGAGAGATGTTTATCAGACCTATATTTAAGTGAGAAAAAATACCAATATGTGCAGTATGATCCCAGTATGGTTAAAATTGTGCATGTGCATCAGAATGTTGACAGTGCTTATCTTTTGGTAGTGGATAGTTTTGGCTTACATGAGCTTTCCCCCAACTATAATCTTTTTTTTTTTCCTTCAAGACAGGGTCTCTCTCTGTCACCCAGGCTGGAGTTACAGTGGCACAATCTCTGCTCACTGCAACCTCTGCCTCCCTAGTTCAAGCAGTTCTCCTGCCCCAGCTTCCCGAGTAGCTGGGACTACAAGTGTTACCCCCAACACCCAGCTAATTTTTGTATTTTTAGTAGAGATGTAGTTTCACCATGTTGGCCAGGCTAGTCTCGAATTCCTGGCCTCAAGTGATCTGCCCACCTCGACCTCCCAAAGTGTACAATCCCAGGCGTGAGCCACCACACCCAGCCTCCCCTAGCTATAATCTTCTCTACTTCTTTGTATTTTACAGTTTGCTTTTATTGAAAGTGTATTGCTCTTGTAATCAGGGGAGTTTTTTTTCCACACTTAAATTAATCTTTCCATCCCCTACACTATACTTTCTGCATTTAAAACATGCTTAAAATATTTGACATGGAGGGGGCCGGGCGTGGTGGCTCACGCCTGTAATCTCAGCACTTTGGGAGGCCGAGGCGGGCAGATCACGAGGTCAGGAGATCGAGACCATCCTGGCTAACATGGTGAAACCCCGTCTCTACTAAAAATACAAAAAATTAGCCAGGCATGGTAGCGGGCGCCTGTAGTCCCAGCTACTCAGGAGGCTGAGGCAGGAGAATGGCATGAACCCGGGAGGCGGAGCTTGCAGTGAGCGGAGATCACACCACTGCACTCCAACCTGGGCGACAGAGCGAGACTCTGTCTCAAAAAAAAAGAAAAAAAAAATTAACATGGAGGGTAGGGCAAGAGAAATTTGAGAGAATTCTCTGTGTAATTCAGTCTTAAGAATTAATTGAACTCAATATAAATTTATATACTACTTTGAAGAGATTTATGTTTGTTTAAAGAGGTATATTTGAGTGTATCAAATACTTTAAAAATATACCTTTTTCTCAAAATATTAGCCACGTAGATGCAACATGATGGAAAACTGACTTCGTGCCATTAAAAAATGTTACAAAAATGTTTGTGTCATTTTAAAAAAGTATATAGTTGAATAAGTTTGTTTCTTTTGTAAGAGATAGGGTCTTGCTATGTTGTCCAGGCTGACCTTGAACTCCTGGGCTCTAGCAGTCGTCCTGCTTCAGCCTCCCAAGCAACTGGGACTACAAGTACACCCCACCTTGCCTGGTAAACTTTTTGTCAAATGTTTATACTCATGTAAACACCACTCCCAATCAGTATACAGAACATTTTTGCCACTCTAGAAAAGTTCCTTCCTCATGCTGTCTTGTCTGTCTTCACCATTCAAAGGTAATTTCTATTGTGATTTTTACCACCAGAAATTTTGTCTTTTCTAGAACTCCACATTTTATTTTATATCTAACTTATCTTGCTCACCATGCTTTTGAGATTTATCCATGATGTGTGTTAGAAACATACTCCTTTTTCTTGCTGAGTAGTATTCTATTGTGTGAATATCACAATTTTTAAAATCTATTCTTATGCTGACAGGTATGTAGGATGTGTCCAGGTTTTGGCTATTTAAAAATTGAGGATAGTTTGTAGCTATGTCATAAACCCCAGTGTGCTTTCTTCCTCCTTTTTCCTGTCTAGCAGGGCTTGTGAAGCAAGCACTTGCCCTGCAGTTAAGGGCATGTTTCCAGGCGCTTATAACTAAGACCACCACAAAGAGAACAGAAAACAAAACTAAAGTGAGCCCGCCAAGTCCCAGGCGGACGCCTCAAGAGTTCAGCTCTTGGGCACAGAACGGCAGGCCTGCAAATTAACTGAAAACTCCCTTTACAGAAAGAAAAAAAGAGCTAAGCATTGAGAGAGCTCGGGGAACCCAATTAGAGACCCAGAGAGCTACTACCACATTGGATCAAATCACAGCAGTTGTTTTGAGACCGAGAGGTTATTCAAAACGCTGAGCCTTGACTATACTGAGAGTGAGGCAGGGCGCTTCCTCTCCCCAGCAGCCTTGCAGCAAATTTCCCAAAGTGCCTTATCTGGGCTCCCTTTTACAGAGGCTTCAGGCTAAGGAGTACTAGGATATACTCTTAAAGTACTTCCCTGACTGCTTTTCCAACATGAGCTACATTTAAAAAAAAGAAAAAGAAAAACAGACTTTTAAGGGTGGGGTTGGGGGACATACTTGATAACTGGAAAACAAAAAAAATCCCACAGACTCAAGTGGCTATCATACATTCAGGTATTGAGCATACTCCCTAAGAACAGGAATTCTCAGCTCTGGGTTTGAGGGGCCCAGGATGCCTCTTTCTGTGACAGACAGGGCACAGCATCTCCTCTCCTATCTCATTCCTTGTAGAGTTCATTTTCCTCTATGCCACCACCAACCAAAGAGAATGTGGCCTTTATCCTGTTTCTTCGGACACTGCCTCTGTATCCAACCCATCCTCTGAATCTTTGTTTGTTTAGTGTTTTTATAAATTTATTTTTATTTTTTGTATTTCTTCTGTCCTCTGAATCTTCACACAGAGTTCAGGTTAACTGAGTGCAACTAGAGCTGAAGAAATGGAGAGGGAGAAGTACAGTCATTCAGTTAGCGTGTTGAAGACACTTTTAGAAGATGGGAAATTGTGTGAGCCCTAAAGATAGGACCCTCATCAGGCAGTGGTAAGACCAAAGAATAGGAAGTCCTCTCCATCTGCCATGTTAGAAGGGCTTTCCAGTTCTGGAAGAATTTGTGGCAAAACTCATGCCATGAGAGTGAGTCTCCTACGGATGTTATGCTGACCAGCCTTGCTCACTGTGCTGATTGCTTGGCATCAGACTCAGCCAGCAGGAGTCCACCCTATGTCTATCCTAACCCAGTTCTCGTCATCACTGGACTGTTGTCTATCTTTTGCGTCACTGCATCAGGTTTTTACCTGGTTACCTTCTGGGCCCCATTTCTTGCCTGGGCCTATTTTTTTTTCCCTTGCCCTCTTCAACTTAAACTTCCTGGTGAAAACAAAAAATAAACATTGACTCAGAAATTCAAATTTTACGTTAGCTAACATGCTCTGCCAAAGCACTGACCCTGAGCACCTGCCAGATGATATTTTTATTGCTTTTAGTTTCATTATAGATCGCAAAATATATGGAATTGGATTTCTTTTTCCTGCGATTTGGTGCTGGTTTATTTCAACAGATGGTATTTTCTGACTGAAGGTATTTATAAACAGTTTGATTATTTCTTTTCTTTTTTTTTGAGACGGAGTTTCACTCTTGTCACCCAGGCTGGAGTGCAATGGCACAATCTGAGCTCACTGCAACCTCCGCCTCCTGGGTTCAAGTGATTCTCCTGCCTCAGCCTCCCAAGTAGCTGGAATTAACAGGTGCCCGCCTCCACGCCCAGCTAATTTTTGTATTTTTAGTAGAGACAGGGTTTCACCATGCTAGCCAGGCTGGTCTCAAACTTCTGACCCCAGTTGATCCACCTGCCTTGGCCTCCCAAAGTGCTGGGATTACAGGCATTAAGCCACCGCACCTGGCCCAGTTTGATTCTTAAGATCCTTTCTGATGTTGCTGGATCACCTTGGACTATGAGTTTCATGTAGCTTATACATTGACAGGAGGTGCAAACTGAAACTTTGAAAAGTTGACACCAAACATCACTACTGAGGCAATCACTGCCCCTCACTCAGACTCATAATCTACTGGTTTCAAATGAACCAGTATTTATTTTAGGGGAATATATACTTTCCTTGCAATTGCGAGTCTTAGAAAACTCCACAGTGATTTTTCCTGGGTTATTGTGTTATCTTCAGTTCTAATTTTGATGTGTGAGCAAAAAACAGATTGTATCCAGCTCAAGTTACCTTTATAATATCAAGTGATTGTTCTCTCACAGACTTTAGCCAAAAATTTTTAAAGACTTGTAAAACCCTTCCTCTCCAACCGACACCCTGTCCAACTACAGTTGATACTTTAAGCTCTGACTCTCAAGCTTCTGTGAGCAAAATCTTTGGCGAAGTAGCTAATGTGACATAATCAATTTGGGGGGATTTGAACTACATGAAAAAGAGTTCCTGATACTGTTCTGCGAAGTCTGTTAAACAACTTAACTCTTATCAGTGAACAAATAAGCTTCGTGCATCTCTGTTCCTCTACTGGGAACTGAAGATAATGAAACTTAATTATAAATCAGGAAAATGAAAATCCTTAAGTTCTGACCTTTTCCATAGCCCAAAGCAAACAAAACAGACGTTACATAATTTACCTTCATTCTCTGGAGTATGAATTTTGGATTACCAATGGCAAGTATAAACTTCATATTTGTGACATACTCCAGGATATTAGTAAATTACCATAGCGATACAGACAGCTAAAGAAGTTAGTGTATCACCTTATCAAGGACATTTTAAAATAACCTTAAAATTACATCATAGAATGGAAAGACATCCATGGATTAGAATACTTAAAGATGGCAATACTACTCAAAGTGATGTAAAGATTCAGTGCAATCTTGACCAAAATTCCAGTACCTATTTTTGCAGAAATAGGAAAGCTGATCCTAAAATTCATATAGAATTGCAAGGGACCCTGAATAGTCAAAACAATCTTGAAAAAGAAAAACAAAGTTGGAGTATTCATGCTTCCCAATTTCAAAAGATACTACAAAGCTACAATAATCAAAATAGGTATAAGCATAAGAATAGACATATAGATCAGTGGAATAAAACTGAGAGTCCAGAAATAAACCTGTACATCTGTGACCTTTGAGAACAGTGCCAAGATGATTCACTGGGGAAAGGACAATCTCTTTAACAAATGGTGCAGGTACAACTGGTTATCTACATGCAAAAGAATGAAGTTGGACCCCACACATATTAAAATTAACTCAAAATGGACCAAATAACTAATTATAAGAGTTAAGACTATAAACTCTTAGAAGAAAACATAAGGGTAAATCTTCATGACCTTGGATTTGGTAATGGATTCTTAGAAACACACCAAAAGCACAAGCAACGAAAGAAAAAATAGACAAATTGGATGGCATCAAATGTTAAAATTTTGCAGCAAAGGATGCTATCAAGTAAGTGGAAAGGCAACCTGCAGAATGGGAGGAGATATCTGCAAATCTGTTAAAAAACAAACAAAACAAAACGAAAAACTCTTAACAACTGAACAACAGAAAAGATAACCCAATTAAAATATGGGCAAGGGACTTGAATAGACATTTTGTAAAGATATGCAAATGGCCAAGAAACATATGAAAAGATTTCCTGGGTCATTGGTCATTAAGGAAATGCAAATCAAAGCCACAATGATATACCATTTCACACCTACTAAGATGTCTATACTTTAAAAACAAAACAAAAACAAAATTACAAGCATTGATGAGAATGTGGAGAAATTAGAACCTTGTACTTTGCTGGTGGGAATGTAAAATGTTGAAGCCACTGTGGGAAACAGTGTAGTAGTTCCTCAAAAAGTTCCGTATAGAATTACCATATGACCCAGCAATTCCACTCCTGTTTATATGTCCAGTAATTGAAAACAAGTATCAGACAAATACTTGTACACTCATGTTCATGGCAACACTATTCACAATAGCCAAAAGATGGAAACAACCCAAATGTCTATCAATGAATGAATGGATGAGCAAGATGTGCATCTATATACAGTGGAATATTTTTCAGCCATAAATTGGAATGAAGTACTGATGCATGCTGCAATGTAGATGAACTTTGAAACATTATGCAGAGTGAAAGAAAGCCAACCGAAAAGGTCACATATTGTTTGATTGCATTTTTAGGGAATATCCACAAGAGGTAATTTTATGGAGACATAAAGCATATTAGTGGTTGTCAGGAGTTGGAGGAGGAGGAGGAGGAGGAATAGAAGTGACTGCTTAATGAGTACAAGGTTCATTTTGGGGTGATGAAAATATTTCATCAGTAATGTAAGGTAATGGTAAATGTGATGGTTGCATGATACTGTGAATGTGCTAAATGCCACTGAATTGTACATTTAAAAATGGTTAATGTTATATGAATTTTCAATTTTTAAAATTACATCATATAATTTCTGTGATCTCACAGATAACTGTGGCTTTGCTGTCATAGTTACCTTGTGACTGTTGGAACCCATGTGCTTTGTACATTGGGAAGTTCTTTCCAGCTCTGGACAGGAAAACATGAAAACAGATGATCCCAAGGAGGTTTCTCCCTAAACTAACAATTAAAGAATATAGTTTTACTTTTTCATTTTTATTTGTTGAAACTGGTAAAGCTTCTACCTTGAGTGGGTCTGGGTTGTTTTAAAATTTATCAGACCACATTGGTCTGATATTGTTTCCTTCATTTAATTTGAAAAAGCTTGTTTAAAATAACTATTTGGAGATGGAATAATTTTTTGGTTTTATGAAAATTTAAAGGAATTGTAAAAGAATCTAAGACATACTTATGGAATTGCAGTCAAGTTTTTCTGGTGATTTTGTAAGCTACACTCCTAGAGATTTTTGTAATACTTTCTAAAATCATTTCAATTTTTTTTTTATTGTCAGTGACCTTGGTGTCAGGAATAAGAAAATTGTATTCAGATCAGTCAAGCAGAGCCTGTGCAAAAACGAAAAACATTAATTTTTTATTTGTATCTCATCTGTTTTGTTTTTCGAAGGAGGAGCTTGAGGCTATATTCTGGCAAATGATCTGAGAAGAGCGTCTTACTCAGAAAGCTAGAAGTGTTTTGCCAATTATTATGAAGCTTTTTTTTTATGAATGAGGCTGTTGCTTCTGGCCCACAGTCAGTGCTGTTTTTGGAGACTTTTTTCTCCAGCAAATGTTGTCTTCCACACTCCTACCTGCTTCCTCTTATGATCCAAAATATGCCATCCAGACTAAAAATCTGTAGATGTGAAGCAAACAAAGCTAACTGGTTTATAGTGGATTGAACCCATAGCTTTTGGCATCATCTGAATCAACCAATCAACTGAACTCTAATGCCTTGGTTGAGTAAGGGTGTTGCAATTTTAAAGTTAGAAGGGATCTGGCAAGCATAGGAAAATATCTATCATGCTGGCTATTTTTCTAAAAAAAACTTTTGTAGGCTGGGCATGGTGGCTCACGCCTGTAATCCCAGCACTTTGGGAGGCTGAGGTGGGTGGATCACGAGGTCAAGAGATCGAGACCATCTGGCCAACATGGTGAAACCCCGTCTCTACTAAAAATACAAAAATTAGCTGGGTGTGGTGGCGCGTGCCTGTAGTCCCAGCTACTCAGGAGGCTGAGGCAGGAGAAATGCTTGGACTTGGGAGGCGGAGGTTGCAGTGAGCCGAGATAGTGCCGCTGCACTCCAGCCTGGGGACAGAGTGAGACTCTCTCTCAAAAACAAAAAACAAAAATACTTTTGTAGAGACTGTGGTCTCACCCTGGTGCCCAGGTTGGTCTTGAACTCCTGGCCTCAAGCAATCCTTTTTCTCAGCCTCCCAAAGGATAATTTTCAAAAAATAAGCAAAGATGAGGTTTAAGGTAGGGAGAATTAGAAGTTGTTTCTCAGTAAATTATTAATAAGGAGAAATTTTCAAGAGCTAATTCAGTAGACATTGAGCTACTTTAGGCATACCAGGACAGAAGCAGAAAAAGTGAAATAGATGGATGAGACTGTAGCTTACTGCACAGTTATATTTGCCCAGGTACCCCTGACTATGAACAGCAGCATAGTGCATAATACTTTTTTTTTTTTTTTCTGAGACGGAGTCTCACTCTGTCAACCAGGCTGGAGTACAGTGGTGTGATCTTGGCTCACTGTAAGCTCCACCTCCCGGGTTCACGCTATTCTCCTGCCTCAGCCTCCCGAGTAGCTGGGACTACAGGTGCCTGCCACCACACACAGCTAATTTTTTTGTATTTTTAGTAGAGACAGGGTTTCACCGTGTTAGCCAGGATGGTCTCGCTCTCCTGACCTCGTGATTTGCCCACCTCGGCCTCCCAAAGTGCTGGGATTACAGGTGTGAGCCACCGTGCCCGGCCTTTTTTTTTTTTTTTTTTTGGACGGAGTTTCGCTCTGTTGCCCAGGCTGGAGTGCAGTGGTGCGATCTCGGCTCACTGCAACTGCTGCTTCCTGGGTTCAAGTCTTCTGCCTCAGCCCCCTGAGTAGCTGGGATTACAGGCGCACACCACCATGCCCGGCCATTTTTAGTAGAGACGGGGTTTCACCATGTTGGTCAGGCTGTATCAAACTCTTGACTTCGTGATCCGCCCGTCTCGGCCTCCCAAAGTGCTGGGATTACAGGCGTGAGCCACCGTACCCGGCCTTAACATAATGCTTTTCTTTAGGTAATTTACCTAACAAGTTTCCTTATCTGGGTGATTAGAATATAGAATCAACCTCATAGCATCATTGTAAGGATTGGATTAATGTATTTAAAGATCTTAGAACAATCCCTGATGCAGTGTAAAGCTAGATATGTGTATGTTAAAGACATAAGATGCTGGTGTTAAGAAGTTAAGCCACTTGGGTGAGGGATTTTTTTTTTTTTGAGGGGCAAAAAAAATGTGTACATTCATGGATGCTCGTAGTCATGATGCTCTAGTCATGATACACTAGAGTCTAGTGTACAATGCCTACACGTCTGTTGGAAGTTCTGAGACCTTCTGGTATACTCGCTTTGGGACCATTTTACTGCTAATGGGCATCTCAATCAAAGATAATTCTTCAAGAAAGAAATAAGAACTCAAAAGTAGTGGTTTTACAGCTGTTTCCCAAGTAATTTTAAGATCCCATGAAGCATCTCTGGTTGTCTGTTGAAAACATAGTTACTGTCTCATTCATTTACCGAAAGTGCCATGATGAAATAGGGGTAATAATGGTCAGAGACAGAGATGAAAACAGTTCCTTGGCCTGGAACTCACAGTCTGAGCCATTTTTGTGCCTCTAGAATCCACACCAGGAAAACCCGAATGGAAGAACATCAGAAAATAGCACATCCTTGAAGTTACAAAGCAACACATCTGTTAGTATTATTTCTGCCAAGCTGTCTCAAACTTAGCTGGGAGAGAGACATGGAAACTCATTGGTGGAAAGAGCGTTAAAATTACAGATTTTGTTCTGATCTGTTATCAGAGACCATTGAGTTTGCTTTATTTCTACTAGGAATTTTAATAGTTTCAAATTGCTAGTTTGTATTTTGATAACCTCTTTTTCACCTTTGTCTCACTGGTTTTTCTGTTTATGTATAGTTCTAGTGCGAATGAATTAGGAAGGGAGACTGATGAGATTGGATAACTCAGCCTCCTAAAATGTTTTCTCATAAAGTGATGATGTGCTGCTTCTTTTATAGGACTGAAATGCAACTGCAGAAGCAACATGTGACCTTTTAGAGATGCTTGTGGGACTGCATAAAGTGAAGAGGGAAACTGGAAAAAAACAATGAAGTAAGGAAAAAGTATGTTTCTTGGGTAAATAGCATGCTTCTGAGTTTTCACAAGTTTCTTGCTACATTAATTACCACAACTTTGTAATGCAGAAGTCTTTATATTTAGTCTTCGCATTGCTATTAAACATTATTTTCTCCTCCCTTGTTTTTTATTGCTGAAGTCTTTGATCAAATGATTCTTTTTTGGATTAATCTAAAAATCTGCATTGAATCTACAACTTCGATGATTTCTTTGATCATCTGATAGGAATCTGTTATAGGTTGACCATTGAGATCATAAGAGTATCCTGTGTTGTGTCTCTCTATGATGTGCAGGGTGAGTCAAAGTGTCAGCTTTTAGTTTGAGTGCAGAACATACACTTGATTGACTTGAAAAACTAGAAAACTAATTTGAATACCAATTATTCAAGCCATATTCTCAGGTTACAATATATGTGACACTACACTTATCTCTGGGATCTGTGGAATAGGAAACCTTTTAAAAAATGATCTAGTGTATTTAATGATGGACATATATTCACAGTAGACTATTAAAAAGCAGTTACAAAACATATTAAAATTTAAATTGGGAAAACTTTTTTTAATGCTAAACTTAATACGGAAAGCAAAGCACACTAGCAAACAATCATTGTAAATAGAGCCTTCATTTGATGAAATAGATATGCCTTAGTAAGCTGTTTAAATAAAGCATGTCTTTTACATTATTTTCCATTATTAAGAAACTTTGTCCAGTAAGCTGAATAGAAATTTTTAGAAGGAGAGAAAGAAATGGAGGCAGAGTCATTGATGATGTGTGATGCTGGAAGTTCTGTACAACTTCTTTAGGCAACTCCATGGCAACATCTCTCTCTCCTCCTTCACAAGCCTGGGGACCACCAGCCCGTGGGAATTTTCCCACAAATGTAACTTCTGGAACTTTCTGTCTTGTGGTGGGCACCTTCCCTATGCTTCAGTAATGGATTGCTGCAGGCGTAATCTTGGGTAGTCTACCTTGATCATTATTTAACTTTGAGTCTTAAAATTGAGTAAAACTGTTTAGTGGCTTTATATATCAATCCTCTAAACCAAAAATGTCATAAGACAAGTTTCTTACGTACACATCTCCTAGTGCTCACTCTCATACTGACTGCTTCATCACACTGGTCTGCTGGCCATGCTTCAGTCTGCCCAGAAATATTCCTGCTTTGGAGCCATTGTTCTTGTTCCCTCTGCCTGGAATCATCTTCTCCCAGATAGCCAAATGGCTACTGCCCTCCTTCTTCAGGTTTCTGCTCCAAAGTTAAACTTTCAAAGATGCCTTGTATGGTACCCTCAATTGAAAATGATACCTTACCATACCCTGGAATCACTCTATCCTTCTCTATTTTTTCTATAGCATTTATCACCATCCAGCCACTGTAGATAAATTTGATTGGCTGTCTCCCTGCCTTCCCTTCACACCCAGTACCTTCCCTGCCTGAAATCCTCATTGAGGGCAAGAACTTTATCCCCAGGATCTAAACCAGTGCTGGACAATAGATGCTCAGTAAGTATTTGTTGGGTGAATGAATGAAGAATGCTTACGTTAGGAGGATTAAGTAGATTTGGAGATCATGTGATTGGATTGAAAATGATTAACAGGGAAAATGTTGTGGAGGAAGTATCTTAAACTGTATGTTAAAAGCCTGCTAAACAGCGGGGCTTAAAAATCATTGTCAAACATAGCTCTTTGATCTAGAAGGTAATTTATAGCCACTTTAGGAATATAAATGGCAGATTAGATATTTACACTAAAAAAAAGACATAAAATATTAAACTAATGTCTAGGAAAGCTTTGGATGGTAATAAATTGGGAGGGTTAGGCCAGGTGCCGGTGGCTCACGCCTGTAATCCCAGCACTCTGGGAGGCCAAGGCAGGTGGATCTCTTGAGGTCAGGAGTTCAAGACCAGCCTGGCCAATATGGTGAAACCCCATCTGTACTAAAAATCCAAAAAAAATTATCAGGCATGGTGGCAGGCGCCTGTAATCCCAGCTACTTGGGAGGCTGAGGTGCGAGAATTACTTGAACCCGGGAGGCGGAGGTTGCAGTGAGCCGAGACGGCACTCCAGTCTGGACAACAGAGTGAGATTCCATCTTAAAAAAAAAAAAAAAAAAAAAAAAAAGGCCGGGCACGGTGGCTCACGCCTGTAATCCTAGCACTTTGGGAGGCCGAGGCAGGCAGATCACGACGTCAGGAGATCGAGACCATCCTGGCTAACACGGTGAAACCCTGTCTCTACTAAAAATACAAAAAATTAGCTGGGCGCAGTGGCGCGCGCCTGTAGTCCCAACTACTCGGGAGGCTGAGGCAGGAGAATGGCGTGAACCTGGGGGGCGGAGCTTGCAGTGAGCCGAGATCGCACCACTGCACTCCAGCCTGGGCGACAGAACAAGACTCCATCTAAAAAAAAAAAAAAAAAGAAAGATTGGGAGATTAACAAAAAGAGTTACAGTGGTTCAGGTGAGAGGTGACCTGAAAGAAGAATATTATGGTCAGGATAGAGGGAACAGGTGGGCCCTAGCAATGCCTGTGGAGTTAGATAACTGGTAGGATGGGGACATTGCATATGACTGGAGGTTGCAGTGGGGGAAGGTTAATGGGAAGGTCAAAGGCGAACTGGAATCACTGAGAGTTTTCTTATATGTCAGTCTCTGTACCTACTACCTGGTGACACTGAGCCATCTTGACTAACTCCAGCTTACCTCATTTCTGCCACTCTGCTTCTACCTATGAAGTATGATGTTTATTCTACACGTCATGCTTTTTCTCTTTCACCTTTAAAGTCTTTTAAAATTAATCTTTCACTTTTAGAGGCACATACCATCTGACTCAGCAATTAATACAGCATTTCTAGAAATTTATCTTACATATGACCTCATACAGGTATGCAGGTAATCCTAGAGTACCTCGGCCTCTATGAAATCCTCACACATGCCTCCTACCTCAGTAACACTTGGAAAGAGAATAATTATCTATTGCTACCATTGTTCTGTTGTGGCCATGGGTCTTGTCCCCCTCCACTGGTTCTGGTATTAACTGCCCACCTTTTTGCCTAAACTGCAGTGGACTAGAGACATTTGTACAGGAGCTATGTCTTTTCTCAGGTTTCTTCTTTTGAACATTTGTTCCTTATGGCAGTCTTTCTCTACCCATTTGTGAATATTATGAACGGTTAATAGTAATACTTTTTTACTTTGTATTTTTAAAGATATTTAGGTAATTAAGTATATAGTAGTGGGCATCTCTACTTGGCTACACATTAAAATCACCTCAGAAGCTTTATAAAATTCTAATCCCTGGTCTCACCCTCAGAGACTCTGAGACAATTTGTCTTGGGGGAGGTGTGGACATCAACATTTAAAAAGCTGCACAATGAATTTCATGTGCACTCAAGCTTGAGGACCAGGAATACTATAAGTTTTTCTGTACTGATCATGACTGTGGTCACTTTAAATTTATCGTAACGGCCGGGCGCGGTGGCTCACGCCTGTCATCCCAGCACTTTGGGAGGCCGAGGTAGGAGGATTATCTGAGGTCGGGAGTTTGAGACCAGCCTGACCAACATGGAGAAACCCTATCTCTACTAAAAATACAAAATTAGCTGGGCGTGGTGGTGGGTGCCTGTAATCCCAGCTGTTCGGGAGGCTGAGGCAGGAGAATTGCTTGAACCCGGGTGGCGGGGGTTGCGGTGAGCCAAGATTGTATCATTGCACTCCAGCCTGGCCAACAAAAGCGAAACTCCGTTTCAAAAAAAAAAAAAAAAAATTTATCGTAATGACTTCAGTGATTCCTTTGGGTTTTATAAGTTTACAATGGTGTTATATTTTTTAAAAAGTATATATAACATCTGCCTTTATTGTATTTGTGTCTCTCCTTCATTTTTATGTTGCTTTTTGTTGGAAGGAACTTCTGATACTGTGTTAATAGTGATGATAAAATGCTTATTTTGCGCTTATTTTTAATGACTGCATAGTTTGTTTTTTCCCTTGAAGTATAATTGACATTTGGTTCAATAAATAGGTACTCAATCAGGGTAAGAAAATATACCTTTATTATTAGTTTTAGAATTTTAAAATTAAGAATAGGTGTTAGATTTTAACAAATGAATGTTTTTATTTCTGTTGACACAAATAAAAATTTTAAAAATCTGTTTCTAGGTTCTATTTACTATTCTTTTAAATTTTTGAGCGTAAGTTCGGAGTGAGCTTTGTGTGCTTTGTGTATAGTTTTCTCTCTTTCCGTTTCTTTTAGCCAGTTTTAGGGTCAGATTAGTAGAATAATTAGATAACCTATATCTTGATCCATTTTTGGCATGATTTCTATAACATGAATCATTTGTTCCTGGAGACTGAAAGAATTGACTACTTTTTAGGGGTATAATTATTTGATTTTTTTTTTTTTTTTTTTGAGATGGAGTTTCACTCTTGTTGCCCAGGCTGGAGTGCAGTGGCGTGATCTTGGCTCACTGCAGCCACTGCCTCCTGGGTTCAAGTGATTCTCCCATCTCAGCCTCCCAAGTAGCTGAGATTACAGGCATGTGCCACCATGCCCGGCTAACTTTTTTTTTTTTTTTTTTTTTTTGTATTTTTGGTAGAGACGGGGTTTCTCCATGTTGGTCAGGCTGGTCTTGAACTCCTGACCTCGTGATCCACCCGCCTCGGCCTCCCACAGTGCTGGGATTTCTGCCCCAAAATGCCTCATAATTTTTTTTTTGTATTTTAGTGGAGATGGGGTTTCACCATGTTGCCGAGGCTGGTCACGAACTCCTGAGCTCAGGCAATCTGCCCGTCTCGGCCTCCCAAAGTGCTAGGATTACTGGTGTGAGCCACCGCGCCTGGCCTAGTTATTTGATTTTTAAAAGATGTTGGTCTGGTTAGGTATTTTATTTTTGCCAGTGTTAGAATTTTACATTTTTGATTAAAAACTCATCTATTTAGTTTTATCCAAATTTATTAACACACATATTCTCTTACAATTTTATTGCTTCTTTTTGTGTCCTGTTTTTCCAATTTTATGTTTCCTTTTTTTGCACTTGCCAGTAGTATCAATTTTAGTCTATTCACAGCAACTTTTAGTTGAAATATAAAACTTTAAAAAATACAAAAGGATGTAGTGAAAAGTCAGTTTCCCATTCATTGTTATTCCTTGGCCAAATAGCTCCCCTCTCTTAGGCAGCAGCTCCTGTCAGTTTCTTATGAATCCTTCAAAAGTTTTTTGGTTTTCAATTTCAAAATATCTAATTTATTTCTTTTTTAAAAAAAAATCCTCAGCCGGGAGTGGTGGCTCATGCCTGTAATCCTAGAACTTTGGGAGGCTGAGACAGGCAGATTGCCTGAGCTCAGGAGTTCGTGACCAGCCTCAGCAACATGGTGAAACCCCGTCTCTAGTAAAATACAAAACAAAAATTAGCCGGGCATGGTGGCATACACGTGTAGTCCCAGCTACTCTGGAGGCTGAGGCAGGAGAATTGCTTGAACCCGGGAGGCAGAGGTTGCAGTGAGCCGAGATCACGCCACTGCACTGCAGCCTGGGCAACAGAGCGAGACTCCATCTCAAAAAAAAAAAAAAAAATTCCTCTAATGCTTCTGTTTGTTTCTCAAGATTATTAGTTGTGTATTTAGTTTTTATTTTTATTTTTCGGTAGCACAGAAAGCAATACTGCTCTCTATTCTTTTTTCGTGGTCTATAATTTCTTATGTAATGATTTTGTTACATTTTCCAACTTCATTATCATTATTTCATAGCCTATCTTGCAAACAGAATGTTGTCGGATTTTGTCTGTTTAACTTATCTTTGAAGGTTCTATATCTTATATGGGAATTTATACTCTTTAATTTATTATTGCTATTGTATTATGTTTTCTGTATATTGTATGTTTCTTTGTTTTTGTATTTGTTGTTTCTTCTCCATTATGTCTTCTGTATTACAGAACATTCTTTGCTTTCTTTAGCTTTTAAACAAATTTTAAAGGTGAACAATCTTTCAAATCTCTTAGTGCTAAACATATTTTTCTGAATTTATTTACTAAAATCAAAGCAAAAGCAAGAACTTGCCTTTTCTTCCATATAAGGAAATTTAATTTGCCCCTTTTTTGGCATCTTCTCTTCCTATTCCTTATCTACCCTATCTCTCCAATTTTTTTTTCACCCCTTAATGTTTGTTCTGTGAAGTGTCTTAATTCTTCTGAGCCTCAGCCTGGTACTCATAAGTATTTTGCTATTTTTTGATTCAGTTAGTTAACAACCACTGAGGTCTCACTCTGAGCCAACAGATCCTGAGCTGGGTGCAGGAGATACAAAAGTAAAGGCAATTCTGTCCCTGCCTTCAAGGTTGATGAGGTGGCATGATGTGCAAATCAGCCAACAATGGCAAAAGATGTGATGTGTCAGGTGTACTGGATACAGAGAGAGAGAGAAAGAGAGAGGGAGTGGTGTTTGGTGAGTCAGTGCAGGCACCCTGGGAGCTAAATGTTACTGTATGTACCAGCAGGGCTTTGTGAGAAAGAGGATAAAGTGAGAGGGCAAAAGTCTGAAGGTGCACAGGTACATCACCCTGTTCTTGGGATAGTGGCTGGAGATGATGGAGATGAGGCTGGACAAGGGATGTTGGGGCCAGATTCTGAAGCACCTTGAATGTTGGGCGACAAGTTTCAGTTTGTATCCTGTGGTCTGTACCAGAGGGTTTAAAGCAAGGGAGTGCCATGTTCTAGTTCATTTTTTAGGAAGATAATTCTTGCTGTCATGTGAAGCACAGCCTGCAGGGAGGGAAATCAGTTAAGCAGCTGTGGCAGTTGTCCAGATAAGAGGTGAGAACAACTTGAGCAAGGAGATAGCAGTGATGATGGAGAAGAGGAGATATGAGGAATTTCGGGGCAGAATCTAAAATTACCAATGCCTGCCATGGTGGAGATTGGGAATTAGGGCATGCCTCAGAGGAGTTTTTGTTTGTTAGTTTTAGGGAAGGTGGTGATAGATGGTGGAACTACTGACCAACTTGGGGAGTGGCATAAAGGGTGTGGATTGGGTGCAGAGACTAATTTGCAGAGAAGCAGGGGAAAGTTTATTTTAGGACTTGTTGAATGTCTAGGAAAACATATCTAGGAGCAGTTGGAAATATTGATCAGAAACTCAGATGAGATGTTGGGGCTGGAGATAAAGGTGTGAGACTCACTTGTACCAAGGAGGATATCAAAGCCATAAGAAGAGAGATAAAATCCCTCAAGTACAGCATGTACAGAAATTAAAAGGCCTTAGGATTGGCTGTTGGCAAAGATCAGTCTTTATGTTCAGGAAATTGAACATATTGAGCACTGTAATACATGTCCAGCATGGGGTGGCTAGAGCTTTTTCAGATGGCTGGCTTAGTCTTCACAACAGGCCCAAATGCCACATCCATGCTAGAGAAAGAAGTAGAGGAGATACAGAAAAGTGGTGTGGAAGAGGTGTTTTCCTTCAGGGGCAGTGGCCAGCAATGCCAGCATGCTCAGTTCCCACACAACCTAAGTCAGCTCCCTCTGGAGTCAGGAGGCAAGGAAATGCAGTTTGACTACCACTCTAGGAAACAGTTTGGTAGATGAATGATGAGGCCACTTGGTCTGGGGGTGGCATCATTTTTGTTTGTTTACAGATGACAGCTTGAGGTATTCTGATTTGCTGAGCTTCTTTGAGGTTTTATATCTTAGATTGTCTCATTTCTAGACTTCTGTTATTTAAAAAAATAAAAAATAACTCTACTAGATTCCCCTTCATGTAATCTATTTGTTAACTTGTTTACTTGGAGTTTTTTTTCTCTCTTCCTTCTCACATTGTTTTCAGATGTTTCCAGGTCATGTCCCAGGGATCCTCTTTGCTAATGATGTGTGAGACCCTGGGAGTGCCTTCTTGTTTCTTCTTTCAGGTCTTTCCATGCTGAAAGTAGTTTCCTTCTGTCATTTGAATCTTTTGTTCAATTCAGTTTCCTCCAGAACTCTAATTCATAGATTGTATCTTTCCTGTAGATGACAATTTGCCTGTGCATTCTTAGGCAACAGGATTGTGTAGTGCTAAGAGCATGGGCCCGGAACCAGACTGCCTGAGTTTAACTCCTGGCTCTACCAGCTACTAGCTGAGTAACCTTGGGCAAGTTATTAGCTTCTTTTGTGCCTCAATTTTCTCATCTGTAAACTGGAGGCAAAATTAGAATCTACTACCAAGGGTTGTTGTGAAGGTTAAATGAACTACCACTTGTAGTGCTTAGAAAGAAAGGTGTCCAGTGTGTGTTCCACCATTGTTAGTTGCTTGTGTTGCCATTGTTGTTACTGTTCTAGGGAAAAATGGTGCGAGAGATAACCTCTTCCTCATTGTCATTTGGACCACACAAATAGTGATAGATTTCAGGCTGTTGGAGCCTTACTTGATGAACTAGAAGTAGGCAAATCTTGGGAATTGGGTTGTATTCCCTCAAGTTTTTAAGGAGTTCAACAAAGAACAATTTTAACCTTGGTCCAGAAGTGACATCTGGAGTTCAAGTGTCCACTATGTGACCTCATCTACCCCATGGCATTGTTCAAGTGATGTCTCTTAAAAACAGTTTGTAAAAGTTTTATTTCTACCTTACAAAAAGCTCTTCCAAAAATTTCTATTTTTGCTCTTGTAGTTGTCCAATCATCTCATCTGTAGATAACATATTTAACTTCCTATGCAATATATATGCCTACCTTATTTCAGCTGTCTTGCTGCATTGGCCAGAACTTCAAAACTATTTAAGATGGTAAAAGTGGCCTGTCTTTTATTGCCTTTTTTTTTTTTCACATTTGGCTTAGAGAGATGTTTTATATCATCTTTCTTTACCTATATGCCTTTTGTTCTTAGTATTTTTATTAGAAATGAGTATTAGCAAATTACATTATTGTATCCATGGAGAGTTTCATTAGGTTTTTCTCATTTAACTCTTTGATTTTGTGTCATGTGTATCTTGAACTATCATTCCATTCTGGGCAAAATTCTTATCAGTTTGGTTATTCTTTTATCATTAAATTATTTCTGCCAGTCATTAAACATTTTAAAATCTATATTCATTCAGAGTTGTTGCCTATGAAGAGGGTTTTAAAAATCTTATTGGGGTTTTTAAAGTTGTACTCTTTGTAAAAAGTTCAAATAATATAATAGTTACAGACTAAATAAATAATAAAATTCACCCGATAATCCTATTCTCCCAGAGTCATTGATGTTGGGTTTATTGTGAAACTTTCCAGATTTTTTTCTATGCATTTACATATATATAGGTTTCATGCCCTCCCTAATTCTTTTCTTTTTCTCTTCTTTCTCCCTCCCTCTCCATCCCTCTCTCCCTTCATCTTACCAAAAATGGAGTCATGCAAAGTCCTGAAATGTTTTCATTTAATAGTATATCATGGGAGTCTTTCTATGTCCATTCACATGTATCTACTTCATTCTTTGTAGGGTATTCCATAGTGTGGAGTCATCATAATTTAGCCAGTTCCCTGTTGGTGGATGTTTAAATTATTCCCAATTTTTTACTAGCACTACATGAAATGTTTTTGGTACATGTTTGTATGTGCAAGTATTTTATAGGCTAGATTACCAGAAACAGAATTGTGGATCAAAGGTGATAAATAGAATAGGGGTTCTTAACCTAGTCTGTGAGTCCCTATAGTTGTATGCAAAATGTCGTGTGTACAATATATTGTGCATTTTCTGAGAATGAGAGTCTATAGATCAGATTTACAAAGAAGTCTTTGGCCTCCCAAAAAGAAAGAATTACCTGCACACAAAATTAGGCAACTTGCCCAAAGTCCATGGTGGAACTGTGATTTAAGCTCATGGTATCTGACTCCATTGGTATTAAAAGAGGAAAAAAGGTTCATATGGAATATACATCAAATTATCTATAGTGCTAATCTCTGAAGGTGGGGTTATGAGAGCTCCACAATTATATTTTTTTAAACAATGAAAATGTGGTTTTTTTTTAATAAGCAGAAGAAAAGTAAAATTCACTGAACAAACAAAAGTAATCAGAGTTGCTTGTGTGGCAGAAATAGTTAGGGGAAATCATATCAACTAATCTCTTGGAAATTTTAAGCAGAGTGAGCAGGTTTGTGAATGAGGGAGCCAGTAGTCCTTCAGGAAAGCTTTGAAAGAATTTGCATCATCTCAAACTACCTCAACGTGTTAATTAACTATAAAGAAAGAGGTCATAAATTGGTAGTGGAAAAACCCAGCAGAAACCACCTTAACCAAGAGGTCAAGACCAACACCACCAGCAATAAGACATATCAACATCATGAGCCCCATGATATGATGTATTAAGAACACAACATCATTTCTGTGGTATTTTTGCCAAGAATGCATAACCTCAGAGTAATCATGAGAAAACATCAGGCAAACCCGAATCAAGGGACAGTCAACAAAATAACTGTTTAATACTCTTAAAAGTTGTCAAGAACGTGAATGATAAGGAAAGAACAAGGAACTGTCACAGGCTGCAGGAGACTAAGGATAAATAACAACTAAATACAGCGGGGATTCTGAATAGGATTCTGGAACAGTAAAGGGACATCGGTAGAAAAAACCGGTACGACTTGAATAAGGTCTTTGGTTTAGTTAATAGTATTAATATTAAAGTTCTGGTTCTGGTAAATATACAATGGTTATGTAAGATGCTAACACTGGGGAAGCTGGGGCCAGGATATATGGAAACTCTGTACGATTTTTGCAACTTTTCTGTAACTCTAAAATTAGCTCAAAATGATTTTTTAAAAGAAATCTTGGCTAGGTGCAGTGGCTCACTCCTGTAATCCCAGCACTTTGGGAGGCCGAGGCGGGTGGATCACCTGAGGTCAGGAGTTTGAGACCAGCCTGGCCAACTTGGTGAAACCTCATCTCTACTAAAAATACAAAAATTATCTGGGCATGGTGGCGGGTGCCTGTAAACCCAGCTACTCAGGTGGCTGAGACAGGAGAATCACTTGAACCTGGGAGGTGGAGGTTGCAGTGAGCTGTGCCACTGTACCCCAGCCTGGCTGACAAGAGCAAAACTCCGTCTCAAAAAAAAAAAGGGTTGGGCGTGGTGGCTAACACCTGTAATCCCAGCACTTTGGGAGGCCAAGGTGGGCAGATCACAAGGTCAGGAGTTCGAGACCAGCCTGGCTAGCATGGTGAAACCCCGTCTCTACTAAAAATACGAAAACTTAGCCAGGCATGGTGGCGTGTGCCTGTAGTCCCAGCTACTAAGGAGGCTGAGGCAGGAGAATTGCTTGAAGCTGGCAGGCGGAGGTTGCAGTGAGCTGAGATCACGCCACTGCACTGCAGCCTGGGCAACAGAGTGAGACTCTGTCTCAAAAAAAAAAAAAAAAAGAAAGAAAAGAAAACAAATCCTGACAAGATCTTATTTTCTATCTCACTTTTAAGAGTCATTGTGGAGTTAGAGAATGAATTTGGACCTGAGTAGAAACTGGATTAAGAATATGAAAGAAAGCTTAGGGTTAAATCCCCTTCTATAAGTGGGTAAAATATGAATGATGACTGTCCACAGTGCTGCCTATAGGCTCATTTTCCAATATGTTTAATTTCCTAGACCTTTTTAAAGGGTACAGTAGTGGAAAGCTACGATGAGAGATTTTCATGAACATTTTATGAGGCTATGATAGCAGAAAATTAGTCAATGCAAGATACTGCACTTACTGGAAAAAAGAAATTCCAAACCAGCTTTATAGAGAATCACAGGTCCCAAGATACCACTTAGTAGCCTTAAGTTCTCTGAAGATGTTGCCTCAGTGTTTGCTGCTGAGGCCAAGATGGCCTGAAAATTGGTGCACATCCATGTGAAGGTGACCACACAATCTTCTGGAGGCATTTGTAGTTGAAGGTCCTTCCTTTGTCATTAGGAAGCAGCCAACCTGAAGCACTATACACAGAAAAATCTTAAAAGCTAGAGGTTTATGCATGTTCTCACTTATAAGTGGGAGCTAAACAATGGGTACAGATGGACATATAGAGTGGAGTAATAGGCATTGGAGGCTCCAAAAGGTGGGAGGGGGCTGAGGGATGAAATACTACCTATTGGGTACAATGTACACTATTTAGATGATGTGGACGCTAAAAGTCCAGATTCACCACTACCTAAATCTATTTTAAAAATGGCAAAAGCTAAGGGTTTTATAACATGTTTAGATGAAGAATGGTGCAAAGGGACAGCAGACGGGAAGTCTGCATGGAGTCTAGGAGGAGTTGGAGTGTGGGACTCTGAGTACACCTGGCTCTGTCCGTGAAGGGAAATGCCATATTGGCCTGGGGCAGACATTCTGATTGCTGCAAGGCTGGGCATGCTAGATACACAGGTTGAAAACCTCCGAAGGGGCTCTAAATTTGTTCCTTATGCAGCAACCTGATTAGTGATTCTGTTTCCTAGATGCTTTGATATTAAGATAGGACAGCTCTGGGTAAATTACGGGAATAGTGAGGCTCCTAGAAAGCTATACCCCTTCTAAAAATGAGGGGAAAAAATCTAATTTGTCTCCATCGAGTTTAGTTGGTATTAAGTCAGTTCTACCCTCACCTAATTAAGAACTGAATAGTCTCTTAATGAATATAAAAAAATTCTCAATTTACAAAGCTGGAGACTAGTCTTATTCTGTCAGTGGGTATTTCTCAGCAACAGTTATATGCCAGGCACTGTATTACACCCTAAAAACATAGCAGTAAGCAAGACAGTCATGGTCCCTGTCCTCATGGAGCTCACAGACAAGGAGATTGTTCCTCCGAGCCTAAATCAGCCAGCACACCTACCTCACTCAAAGGTGCCTCTGCTAAAAAGGCTTGGTTTACACCAAAATAAGTTTGCTTTTTATTTTTCCCTTGAAGTTAAATGTAAAAATAAATTGTTACTATTTTAATTTCCAACAGTGTTGAAAAATGTTTTCATTAATACTTTATATATTTAATTTACATAATTTTGAAGTAGCATTTGGTGCCTTTAATCACAAAACCTGCCCCTGTCCTAGCCACTTCTTTCAGGCTGTGATGTTGAAAACACTTTGGTAAGGCTTAGTGAGTTTGCTCAGTGCCTACAGAAATCAGAAATGTGTTTACCAAGGCATAGTAATCTCTGAGGCCCAGCATGGCCAGCTGGCAGTGGCCAAAGGGAGCCAACTCTTCTCTGCTGCATGGACACCTCTCCCTTCCTGAATTTAAATTCTTGAGTCAGATTCCAAGTTGTAACCTCAAAGTAGTGAAACAACTAGAGTGGCACTAACTCACTCGATTCTACCACAGTGTTAGTAGCCTCTTCCCTGGCCCTTCCTCTAGAGGCTCTGGGACGTATTATTTAGTAGATATGTCCTTGTTGGTAAAATGGTTATGGTTATGAATTCTTTGTTTCTCTATATAAAGAGTGCAGTGGATAAATGATGAGTAGTATTTATTTCTTAGAAAAATCAAGGAAAAGTTACTGGTTGATATAATTAATTTGTAAGACTTAGCTCTACGAACCTGGTGGAGTGTAAGAATAGTTGATCCTTTGCCGGGCGTGGTAGCTCACGCCTGTAATCCCAGCACTTTGGGAGGCTGAGGCAGGTGGATCACGAGGTCAGGAGATCGAGACCATTCTGGTTAACATGGTGAAACCCTGTCTCTGCTAAAAATACAAAAAATTAGCTGGGCATGGTGGCGGGCGCCTGTAGTCCCAGCTACTCAGGAGGCTGAGGCAAGAGAATGGCGTGAACCCAGGAGGCGGAGCTTGCAGTGAGCCGAGATGGCGCCACTGCACTCCAGCCTGGGCGACAGTGCGAGACTCCATGTCAAAAAAAATATATATATATCATTTTTTCAAAATCCTTTTGACCTTTCCAGGCATGAATCTTCCAAACCACCCTGACCTACCTTTTATTAAACTCTAGTAGGGTGGCTATACCATGTCCTTTAACACGCTTTTTCTTCCCCTTTTCTGACTTCAAGTCCCAGTTCATCAATGCCACTCTCCCCTTGAAGTCTTCTTTGGTCTTCCTCACTATTATCAGTCTCCCTCGGGTATCGCCTGCCCATTGTAGTACCTTTCCTGTAGCACACATTCATTATAGGCTGCTTTGTGATCCCTCTGTTGACGTTGCTTTCTTGTCTCCTGCGTTATCAACTCCTTGAGGGGTCAGGGACTTAGGCATTCATCATTATGTCCTCTGAGTATCCAGCATAGTGAATTCGCTAACATCAATTGAGTGTTTACACTGTTTCAGCTACTGGCTAAGCCATATATGCATATATAGCAAAATAATATAAGCAATATAATTGCATTTGTCATAACCCTATGAGAGTGACATGTATTATTCCTATTTTACAGATGAGGAAACTGAGACACAGCTTAAGAATTTTGCCCAAAGCTACAAAGGTAATAAGTGGTAGAGTTGGCATTTGAAGCCAAGCAGTCAGGAGTCAGGGCTTCTAGTCATTACTTGATACTGGAATAATCTGCTGTGATGCCCATGCTCCTTATTGTATGCTATAATGACATAATAACAGCTAGCACTTCTCAAACACCAACTGTGTGGCAGGCACTGAGCTAAGTGCTACATGTTTATTATCTCACTGAATCCTCACAAAAATCCTGTGAGGCACTTGTAATTATTATTCCATAGATGAGGAAACTGAGATGCAGAGGAGCTGGGGTTAAGCAACTTGTACCAGGCAATGCTAGAGTGTGTGCCTAGTACGTGTTGATGGGTGAATAAGCAAATAGATGAATAACAATAGGGATAGGATTTGAGAAGGGAACTAACAAGTATTTTTATTTTTATTTTTGCAGTGTCCCCCTCATGGCATTAAAGTTTTCTTCCTCTCTTCCTTCCCTCCTTCCAGTAGAGACAGGGTCTTGCGATGTTGCCCAGGCTGGTCTCACATTCCTGGGCTCAAGCAATCCTTCTGCCTTAGCCTCCCAAAGTGCTGGGATTACAGGCATGAGCCATTGCGCCTGGCTGAGAACTAACAAGTATTGAGTACCTTCCATTTTTTTTGGTAGGAATTTTTTTCCAACATTTTATTATGAAAAATTTCAAACATACTGCAAAATTGAAAGATTATTACCATGAACAACCATATACCCACTACCAGTTTTCAGCCATCAGTATTTTACTGATTTTGCTTTCCCTCTATCTAGTCATCTGTCATAGTATTTTCGATGCATTCCCCCCTCACTATTTCAGCATGTTTTATCGCTAAGTAGAGGTAATTATTTGTTTATAGGTTTTTTCTTTGGAAGTAAGATGTGTGCATTTTATTGTAGTTAAATCTTAACTGTATATGGACCTGGTTTTGACAAATGGATACACCTATAAAACCCAGACACCTAGAAGGATATTATCATTACCCAGAAAGTTTCCTCATGTCCCTTCCCAGTCAGTGCCCACCCCTACTCCCCAGAGGAATATCTACTATTTTTATATTGTATATTCATATGGCATCCTGTTCTACCAGAATTTAAAGTGACTCACTCTGGTCCATAAAATACAAGAAGAAAACATAAATGAGAAGTAGATGGAAAAAAGAAACCAAGGTAGGAATATTAAATGGAACCAGGAGACCACCTGGAACTTTTATAAGTGATACATTATTCAGTCCTCACAAAAGATATACATAATTATTTCCATTTTATAGACAAAGAGGCTACAAAGCTATGCAGCTAATAAGTAATAGGGACACTTTTACTCCAAGTCCATACTTTTTTTTTTTTTTTTACTGTAGTCCCAAAAACCAAGACAACAGGTAAAATAAAAGCTTATTTTAACTGTGAATGTGGTCTCAAATAATATACGCTAAAGTATTTGCAAAATTGTGTTTCCTCTTCTTGTTGGTACTTTGACCATGAGAGATGGCAAGGGTGGGGGCACTAAAATAGTCCTGCAGTCCTTACAAATTTCCTTAAGGTCAAGGTTGGCTTTGGTTTATCCTGTGTGGCCCTAGAGATGGGATTCCATGTCCTCAGTTATAGAAAAAGACAACTTTTCCAGGACTGGTGATAAGAGTGAGAAGTCTTGAAATGTCCTGTCGACTGTTAATTAGGACTATAGCAACATCAACAAGGAGGCATCTTACATATAACAGACTCCTGGCCAGAGTTTTCAGTTTTGACTTTAATGGGGTTCGTTTGTTGTGTTGAGGAAGAGAAAAGATAACATTTTATAAAAGAATTATAAACCTCTAATAGGGGACCTTAGAAATCTGCCTTCTATATTCTGTGTTGTCTCCTTTATAATAATATATTGTATATATAAGTAATGGGTGAGGAAGAACTGAAGATTACTTTAGAATTTCTTACTTAAAATGCCAGAAAAGGGATTGGGCATGTTATATGGTAGGAAGGCTGTCACAAGACTCCTGGATAAAGTTAGAGAGAAACTGAAAAATAAGATGGGCATGTTACAGTTAGACTTACTTGGCAGTATAAAATGAAGACTTTCCTCTTCTGGGCTGTGGCCACCAGCATCGCGGGATGACACCTGGGTTTGGCTCTGTTGGGCCATAGGGGACTAAGACGTACTCACATGGTCTCAGGTGATGGATTAAGAAAACACAGGAACTAGCTCAGTGGCGAGGCCTAAGAAGACCTAGAGCAATGACTCTGGAAACCACTAGAAGTGAGGCAGGCATCCAGTAGTCCTGCTCTACTGTCTGTACTGTCTTCTCTCTAGCCCCTGTCCCCTATCCCTCTGCTCCCTAACTTCTCATTTCCCACTCCCAGCCCCTCCTCCCTGGATCCCATACCCAAAGTCTGAAAAGAGGACATTTCCTGGTCTTTCAGGCCTTCTGCCCTGTGCCTCTGGTCTTTTGGAGGGTAAGGCAGGTATAGACAGCCAACTCACCAGTAGAAAGATCCACATTAATGGTGGCTAGCAATGATAAAGACTATTTCCTCCTCCCTAGGCAGCAATACAGTTATCTTGAATAGACTGCTTTATTTGGAAAAAACAACATTTTTTAAGTTATAAAAGCCATTCTTTCTTATTGTAGATAATCTGAAAAACATAGGAAAGAATAATGAAGATAATTGAGATTCCCTTAGTGATATCTTGATATCATTCCTTTTAGGTATTAATTTAGAAATTGCTTACATACAGTGTAAAGCCATGTTATATATATATATATATTTTGTATCTCACTTTTAGGATATTTATGTATTTATTTATCATGTCTTATCCAAATATTTTTCTGTATCAAAAATGATAAGCATAATGTAAAATAAGCATTGCTATTCTATCTATTCTATAGACAGTACTCTACTTTTAGCTTAACTATTTTGTTGAATTTGAAGTGAGTTTTTGTGAACAGCATATAGTTGGGTTGTATTTTTATTCTACTCTGCCAGTCTTTGCCTTTTAGTTGGTGTATTTAGATCATTTATCTTTAAGCTAATTATTGACATATTAGAGCTTTAATCTGCCATTTATTATTTACTGTTTCTTTTCTTGTCTTTCTCTGGGTTACTTGAACATTTTGAGAGGTTTTTATCTTGACTTTCTAATAGTTTTTTTAGTGTATTTCTTTGTATTATTTTCTTAGCAGTTGCTCTGAGTATTACAGTATACCTATGTGACTTACTGTAGTCTACTATGATCAGTATTTTACCACTTTGAGTGAAATGTGGAAACCTGATTTCCATTCAGGTCCCTTTACCTTCCCCCTTTTAATTTTTAATTTTTTTAAGACACAGAGTCTTGCTATGTTGCCCAGGGTAGAAGTGAACTTCTAGACTCAAGCAATATTCCTGCTTTAGCCTCCCAAATAGCTGGGACTACAGGAGGATAATCTATATATATATATATCTCCCCATATTTCTGCCTTTTCTGTTGTTTTCTGTTCCCTTTTGATGCTTCAGAATTCTTTTAATCATTTCCTTTCTGTTTGAAAAACTTCCTTTAACCATAAAAATGTTGTGCCACTTCCTTCTGGCCTCCATGGTTTTATTTTTTAATTTTATTTGTTATTATTTTTTATTTTTAGTAGAGACGGGGTTTCACCATGTTGGCCAAGCTGGTCTCAAACTCCTAACCTCAAATGATCTGCCTGCCTTGGCCTCCCAAAGTCATAGGATTACAGGCGTGAGCCAGTGTGCCCGGCCAGGCCTCCATGGTTTTAGATAAGAAACCTGTTGTCGCTTGATATTCCCTTATAGGTAGTATGTTGTTTTTCTCTGCTTTCAAGAGTTATTCTTTGTCTTTAATTTACAGAAATATAATTAAGATGTGTCTTAGTGTGGATTTCTTTGAGTTTATCCTATTTGGGATATGTTCACCTTCTGAATCTAGGTTTATGTCCTTCAGCAAATTTGGGGAATTTTCAGTCATTATCTTTTTGAATACTCTTTCAGCCCTTCTTTTTATTCTCTCCTGTGACTCTGATAATATGAATATTGGATCTTTTGCTATTGTTTCATAAGTGTTGGAGGTTCTGTCTGTTTTCAGTCCATCTTCATGGTTTTGCCATGTTGCCCAGGTTGGTCTCGAACTCCTGGCCTCAAATGATTAAACCATCTCAGCCTCCCAAAGTACTGGGATTACAGACATGAGCTACCACGCCTGGCCAACAGGTGATTTTTTAAAATCTACTTCGGACATTTTGTCTATTAAGAGAGTCTGGGTCCTATTTAAATCTTCCATTTTAGCAGGCGGTCACAGTGTTTAGATGCAGCATGTGAGCTGGGATTTACTCTTGTGGTTCCAACGATGATTTACTTTTCAGAGCCTTTGCAGTACTCTTTTGGTCCACTTGGTTTATCTGGTGCTGCCACGGCTCCCACTAGTCCCTGTTGGTGCTGTCTGATGGGGGTAAGGAGTTTCCCCAGGCCATGCTGCCTGATATCTAGGTAGAGGAGGGAGTCTCCATCCTGCTGGGATGCAGCTTGCTTCCTGGGGGCCCTGTAGTTGGGGGGAAAAGTGTTTCCCCAGACTGCTTTATTGTTAGTGGGGTCCTGAGCTATCCCCCTTGTTGGTGCTTCCAGCTGGCTTGGTATTGTCGGCAGAACTCCCATTCAATCCTCTGCTGCCCTCTGTTGCTAGGTTGGGGGTTGGGAAACACCCTCGGCCACCTTCTTCTATTGAATGGGGGTGTGGTCATAAGATGTGCTGCTATGTTGTTCCTCCAATCCTGGGTCCCTAAGTAATTCACCTTCCTTTTTCTTTCAGACTTCTCCTTTGGTTGCCTTTTGTGTTATTTTCAGGATTTACAGTTGTGCTTACAAGGAGGTGGGGAGAGAAATGGGTTTAGACCATCTTGTCTGAACGGTGACAGGGTTCTATTTAACCATTCATCTTTTGGATGCTAAGATTGTTTTAAATGGTGAGTAGATTAGACTTTGTATTGGAGAACTGGGGGAAGGAGGCCTCCCAACGACCTTGATATCTGAAAGGCTTTCTTACTCCACAGACTGATGGGCCTGGGCCTGGTTGGCCGCCCAGTGCAGGCTATTACTCATCTGCCTTCCGCTTGCTTGGCTGGTGATGTCAGTTCTTCGTGTCTGCTTTAAAGGCAGGCTTTTCTTGTTCTTATGCTCACTGAATAATGCAGTAGTTTGTTATACTTTTAGCATGATTAAAACAGAGGAACTGTCACTTTTGTAGGGTCTTTTCTTGACCTATCCTTTTGGTCAATGTTGTTTCCCTTTTGGCAAGGGAATTTTGCAATTTATTTTAAATTCAGTCATGCAAATTGTATTTAATTGTGACTTAACTATGAGATTTTTTTTTTTATGTGAACAATTCTGTTTCAGGGCTGCAAAACAATGACCAAGTTTTTCTTATATTAGTGTGAAGAAAGTTTTTAACATTTTCCATTTGTGAATGAGGAATTTGAGGTCATCTCAGTTCTTCCAAAGTAAATGTACCTTTAAAAAAATCAGAGTGAGAAATCCTATATAGTGGAAGTCATGGGTAATTTTGTATAGTTTACAAGAATAGTTTTGCACAAATAATTTCAGGTTAAAATTGCATACTATTTATCCCCACCCATTTCCTTTATTGGCTGTGACACACAGGAATTACGCCCATTGCTTGACTAACCTTTCTGACCTTTTGTTACTTGGCTATAAATTGACTTGGGTCTTTTGCAAAAACACTGTCAGGGGGGAAAAATCTTTTTGTTAGAACCCAGCCAATTCCTGCTTCAGTGGAGAACAGTTTGTTCTCCTGAAGAAATGAGCCAGTTCAGTGAACAGAAAAACATAGCCATAAACTGGCATCGTCAAACACTGCAAAAGCGATTGCCCACATTCATTCCACAGAGGAGGGAGCTTTATAAAAGAATGAGGTTTTGGAGAGAGAAATACAGTTTTGAGCACCATGGGCTTTAGGTCAATGTAATTGACTCGTTAGAGTGAGCTGTAACCACATAAAAAAATTTTCTTTTCCTGAGCTCTGGCAGCCACCAACATTTTAACATTTTAAACAGGAATATTGTGGAATTCTCCTGCTGCCTGCTTTCAGTCCTCTTGACTGTGTTGTATAGCATGTATCCTCTGCATTTCATTTGATGTTCCCATGAGATTGGAAGCTGCCTGTGTTCAGCAATGCAAACATTTCCCAAGTAACTGCTCTGTGCAAAGCTGAGTGTTGTTATACTTTTAGCAGAGAAGACATTAATAATGGTCAGTGAATTACAAAAAAAAAACCGGAGAAACTGGAGAAATCGTTGTATGACAGGCACAGGTGCAAAGTAGTAGAAAAATGTACAAGACACAGTTCTGGACAGACTGTACCACAGAAGTAGAGGCATTTGAGAGAGGTTTGAAGTCTGTTGAAGAATTTGCCAAATGGATGAGAAGAGTATTCTCGTCAAAGAGAGGAGTATATGTAAAGCTGAAGAGTGATGACCCAGCATGGGGTTTCAGGTACTATAAGTAGATTTACGCTTGGGTGTAAAGTATAAGGAGGGAAACGAGTAGCAGACAGTGAAACTGGAGAGGCGCAGGGACCTGATACCATCGGTCTCAAATGCCACCTGAAACAGTTAGGAATTTATACTGTAGGCCATGGGAGGCTCTGTAAGAGCTTGAAGCAGGGGAATGGCCTAGGCAGAGTTGAGGTAGGAAGATGTGGGTTTGTAAGGAACTGTTCAGAAAGGGTGGGTTGGACCAGACTAAGACAGGATCATGATACCAGGCTGAAGTGGGCAGACTTTGTCCTGCAGGGAATCACTGAAGACAATGATATGTGCTCTAGAAAGGCAAATATGGTTGTGATTCAGGGGAGCATACAGGGAGGGCAGGGTGCAGGCAGTGTAGATTGCTGAAGTTACTGCAGAGGTTTACAAGCCACAGGAGAAGGATGGTGCTGCAAAACCTTACTCAGGGTGCAAGTTGGTCACTGGGGAGTGGAGGGGAAGAGGAAGGAGGCAAAAAGCCTGAACATGCTACTTAATTCTCCTGTTAAAGACACTTAACAGGCACTTAATGCCTGTTAAAGATACTTCCACACAGACTATCTTGTTTAATTTTTATAGTGGGCCCTATCTTGTCTATATTCAGATGATTTCCATTGTGCAAAAGAGAACTGAGGTTTGGGAGGTTCAATACTTTGCCCAAGACCCAAATGACCTACACTAGGAAGTAGCTGAGTCCAGATTAGAACCCAGGTTCATCCAACTCTGAACACAGTGACATGCCACCCTTGACTAGTACTTGCTATAACTGAGCTGCCCAGTATTAAGCAAGTCTTTCTTTTTTGAAACAGGTTCTCCCTCTGTCACCCAGGCTGGAGTGCGGTGGCATGATCTTGGCTCACTGCAGCCTCGACCTCCTGGGTTCAGGCAATCCTCCTGTCTCAGCCCCGCCAAGTAGCTGGAACTGCAGGCATGAGGCGCACGCCACAATGCCCATCTAATTTTTGTATTTTTGTAGAGACAAGGTTTTGCCATGTTGTCCAGGCTGGTCTCAAACTCCTAGGCTCAAGCGATCTGCCAGCCTTAGCCTCCCATAGTGCCAGGATTACAGGCATGAGCCACCATGCCCAGCCATATACATACTCTTTATAAGAGTTCATGTCTATAAATCATAGTACTGCTAATATTTAGATATTAGTTTTTTTTGTTTGTTTGTTTGTTTGTTTGGTTTTTTTTTTTCAGATGGAGTCTTGCTCTGTCCCTCAGGCTGTAGTGCAGTGGCACAGTCTCGGCTCACTGCAACCTCCACCTCCTGGGTTCGAGTGATTCTCCTGCTTTGGCCTTCCGAGTAGCTGGGATTACAGGCATGTGCCACGACGCCTGGCTAATTTTTGTATTTTTAGTAGAGATGGGGTTTCCTCATGTTGGCCAGGCTGGTCTTAAACTCCTGACCTCAAGTGTTCCACCTGCCTCAGCCTCCCAAAGTGCTGGGATTACAGGTGTGAGCCACTGCGCCTGGCCTAGGTATTAGTATTAATGCTAATACAATTAGTATTTCAAAAGCCTGGATTTTTTTCTTCTTAACCTATTACCCTATGAAAATATCAGCTATATCATTTTATTTGTTAAAGTCTCACCATTTTAGAAGAATTGGTTTAGGGGAAAGCCCAACCAAATTGGCAAAAAGTATGAGTGAGTGAGTATGCTTAAATAAATGTAATTTTAAAATGTTCAAGGTGTGTCTGTATGTGTGTGTAACAATTCACATTAGAATAACAGACTATGGCTTTCAGAAATTAGAGAACCTTTTAGGACTGACATGAACTTAATGTAAATTTTAGTAAATGTGTGCTTTAATAGGTCTCAGAAAACATACCTTTTAGTATTATATCTGAAGAAGAGGCTTACTAAGCAAAAATCATCTTCAGTGAAGTCCCAGGACGAATGAATGATTCTCTTTATGCAGCATTCATTCTACTGTCATGAGGTCATGGAGTCTGTGTTTAGGGCCTAGGAAAGGAGATGCAAAAGAACCAGAAACAAAACTGGCCTACTCTATATCAAAAATATATTCCTGGTTAATGGATCAGCTCCTAGTTAGATACCAAGGGGAAGTACTGTTCCATTTGATATTGGAGACTTGAGGTTCCAGCATTGAAGGCTGTAATTATGGAATGTTGCAAGCTGTCTCTTCAGCATCTCACATTTTCACCCTTTCCTTGCTTGCTGCTTCTCAAAGTGGAACCAGAAATAATGAGTGTTTTCAAGGTAGAAAAGTGCAGGAAATGTGGGTAAAGTATCTCAATCTTAAGATTACTGTATTATTATCTTTGTGGCATCACTGTTAGAAATTGCTAGGTTTTTAAGAAAAAATTAAGATCTAATGTAACTGAGCTGTGGAGCTGTAGCACATTTCCCTGCCCAAACAGTTGGAATTATATATAGCACAGGAAAAGAAAGACAGCCCTGCTTTCCTCTAGTGGCTGCTGAGCATAGGAGCAGAGCAGGAGAGGCAGTTATGTAACTGGGTGTGCTCATTAGTTGTGCTGTAAATTCACACAGCTGGGCTTCCATGGGTCCTTTGTTCACCTCAGCGTTAACTCTTGCTCCCTTCTTTGTATCACTGGGGCCTGTGCCTGGCACATAAGGAAATACTAGAGTCACAGAACTCAAAGCACAGCACCTGACACAGATTAGAGCCCCTCTGCTCTAATGTTGCAGAGCAAACAGACAAGCAGGCAGCTACAGCTTGCATGAGGCAAGAGGCTGTGGGTGCTGAAGTGTGAGGAGGCACAGCATGGAGGAGTCTGCCAAACAAGCCCCTGGCCACGCTGGGAGTCCCCTCAGTCTGTGAAGATGCCTCTGAACCTCACTTTCCTTCTCTATAGAAAGGAGCTTGTTATAACCACTTCATATATAGGTATTACATGATGCTGTGAAAATTGAAGGTGGTGACTCATGCAATGTGCCTTGCCCAGAATTGACACTCAGTGGGCATTTTGTAAACATTTACTTGTAGGCCCCTTCCCTTTCCTCAACCCCCATCCCCAGCCTCAGCTTTACCTTGTTTTCTTTTTACTGGGAAACATGGTCCTTTTTGTGAACACTGTCAATAGATATCTTTTGAACCTCAGAATTCTCTCATCTCTACTCCCTTCTTTTCTTTCCTTCCTCCCTCCCTGAAGTAAGTATCCCAACTCCTTTTGCTTTTCCTGGGCCAAAACCCTTCCAAGGGTGAGAGGTGAGGGAATAGGAGATGGCCGAGAAGGTAAGGATGGCACTGCAGTCACAGACACAACACACATCAGTATTTCTCCTTATCCAGTTCCTCTCCAATCCTCCCAAATGGGCGTGGGAATTCCAGGTTCATTATGACTATTCTATTAGCATTCCCCCTGGTTGTCTTCTCTTTCTTTGATTTACTGAAAGGAGAAAGAGAGTAAGGGTTTTTCTGTTCCAAGCTGCGTGGGTCTAGAATCCATCCTCTCCACTTATAAATGTCCTACTCCCAATCAGGGTCCTACTGGACATTCATCAAAGGGCCCTCATCATGGGATCTTATTTGCCTCCATTTGTCTTTTTTTAAATATGTGTTTTTTAAAAAACAGATACAGGGCCTTACTCTATTGCCTAGGCTAGACTTGAACTCCTGGGCTCAAGTGATCCTGCTGGCTCAGCCTCCCAAAGTGGTAGGATTACAGGCGTGAGCTACTGTGCCTGACCCTCCGTTTGCTTTAAGGTAGTCAGAGTCCATACCTGAGGGAGTTGCTGAGAGGACTTGAGTCACACATCTGTCCCTCTTTCCTATCTGGTTCATGGCTTCCTGTTCTTGCTCTGCACCTCCCCAGCCTCCGCATTTAGCCAATCCCCAGTTTCTGGCACATCTTCACCAAAGGCACTGGTTCTCAACTAGGGATAACTGTGTCCCCTAGGGGATATTTGGCAGTGTCTGGAGACTTTTTGGTTGTCATGACCTGGGGACAGTGTGCTCTACTGGGATCTAGTGGGCATCTAGTCAGGGATGTTACTAAATATCCTGCAATTTACAGGACAGCCCCCCAGCACATAGGATTATCTAGCCCTAAATGTCAATAAAAAGATTGAGAAACCCTGATGTAAGAGGTGGTCCACGAATCCCTTAGTGTTTGCCTGCTTCCAACTCTGTGTTTAAGAGCTTCTGTTAACCTCAAAAGCATCTCCTCCCCAGTGGATGGCTTCACATCTCTTAAGTTTTCCTTCATCCTCACTCCAGTCAGAGTTGATCCTCGTCATAGGGTTTCTAAACTGCTTGTGTCCATTCATTGCAGCACTTACCACATTTGCCTTCTAATAGCCCCCTTCAACATGATATGTTCTTTCTCCTTTGAGAGTAGAGTAAGAGCTTGATTATGAGGATGACCATTGAAATCCCATGTATTGTTATTATAATAATAATATTATAAGGCCCCAAACCTCAGCACTACGGGAGTCAGTGGCACATAGTGGAGTCAGCCCAGAACATAGTGTCAGGAGATTCAGTCTGGTATCCAACTATAATTGTCCAGCTCTGTGACAAAAGATATAACTTTCCTGAGCTTTATTTAGCTTCCACATAGGTAAGACAGAAATAATATCCATTTCCTAAGACTGTTTGAGTCAGTGAGATGTTAGCATAGAACCTGGTCCATAGTGGTCATTCAAATATGGATTGAATCGGGAAAATGAAGCCAAGGTTCCAGATGTGACCCTGATAATAATTGGCTCATGGGGAAGAATGGAACTGTTTCTTATTACCTTGATAGCGGCAATCTTAATTCCAGGCAGCCACGTCAGGTAATTACACTTCTTGAGAATGAAGAGAAGCCCTACTGATGCTGGGCTGGTAGCACATCCTATTCACTGTGGAATTACTAGAAAGTGTTGGTGCTTTCTCCTAATTTCATGGAAGCAAAGGGAAATCCCATATGCCTCTGACTCCCCATTATTTTATAGAGGAAGTATTTCTCCCTCTCTTGGAGCACTGGGAACCTAGAAGCATACCCTGAAGGTTGGGAGGTCTGCCCCGACCTGGGTACCCAGAAGTCTGCTGCTTTGTAAAGGGACTGCTGAGGCATGAGAGGGACACCACATCCACTTAGACCCACGACTTCCTGGTACATGGAGACAAGCACAGAGGAAGTGGTATTACATTTTTTTAGACATTATAAGACATTTAGCTTTTTCCACCAAGCTAAAAGGTTAGTGACAGTTGATCCTGTGGGCAAAGACAATTGCCATATGCTCTTAGGGATAGGGTTATAAAAATCACTTAATTATTAAACAATGGAAGTACTATCTAGTATTTGGCCAGAGGATTTCAAACTTCCTCCATATATGGCCTTATGTCTAGAACAGAATAGAAGTCTGTCCACATCAGGGAAAGAGCTGATTCCATCCTTGGAGATAACTTTGAAAGGTCTTAAGGCCTGTCAAAACGTCATTGGTTTTCCATTCTGTCAGTGGCTAAAGACATAGTACACTAGTAGATCATGGGTCAGAGGCCAGCAGACAGATTGTGTTTGATCAGTTAGGCATCAGTGTTCACAGGGTTCACAAAGCTAACAGCTGTGTATGTGGCTCCTCCTCACCCTATTTGCATTCTTTGATTTCTCCTAAGCCACTTTACTCCATATCTCAGGACTTAGCTCTTCACTGTAAATATACTCTTTCTACTCCTCACCCTTAATGGATGTTTGTGTTTTCTTGTCAGCCAGATGTGCTGTGGTTAAGAATCTAGGCTTTGGAATTGGGAGTACCTGGCTTTGAATCCTTGCTGTTGCCTGTTGCTTGTGTGACTGAGTCAAATGACTTAGCCATTCAAGCCTTGGTTTCCCAATTTGGAAAATCAAGTTGATATTTAGCTCATAGGGTTATTGTGAGGATCAAATTAAATGAGAAAATAAATGTAAAGCACAGTGCCTGACATCCTATAATTTTATCCAGTTGATGGTAGTAGTAGTTGTTACACTTCTTGAGGGCAGAGACAACTATAGTTTTGAACTCTTCCTCCTTGTACCCTGTCTCTTAGAGCTGAGCATCTAGTAGCACTCAAATATTTTAAAATTTGAAATAATGACAGGTGCACACATGTACACACACACACATGCACACTCAGAGGATAATCTGATAATGACAGTAATTTAAAACACTCTAGAGGTCATGATTTTAAAGTGCTTGAGCTTACTTTTATAAATATGATACATAAGGGGTCTAATTCATGGATTGGAAGAATAAATATTGTTAAAATGTTCATACTACCCAAAGCAATCTACAGAGTCAATGCAATCTCTATCAAAATATGAATGACATTCTTCACAGAAATAGAGAAAACAATTCAAAAATTTTTATTGGAACCACAAACAACCCAGAATAACCAAAGCTATCCAGAGCAAAAAGAACAAAACTGGAAGAATCACATTACCTAACTTCAAATTATACACAGAGTTATAGTAACCAAAACAGCATGATATTGGCATAAAAACAGACACATAGACCCATGAAACAGAAGTGGGCAAAGATTTCTTGAGTAATACCTGGACAAGCACAGGCAACCAAAGCAAAAATGAACAAATGGAATCACATCAAGTTAAAAAGCTTCTGCACAGCAAGGGGAACAATTAACAAAGTGAAGGGACAACCCACAATATGGGAGAAAATATTTGCAAACTACCTTTCTGACAAAGGATTAATAATCAGAATATATAAAGAGCTCAAACAACTCGATAGGAAAAAAATCTAATAATCCCATTAAAAATGGGCAAGGGATTTGAATAGACATTTCTCAGAAGACATACAAATGGCAAACGGGCATAGGAAAAAGTGCTCAGCATCATTTATCAGAGAAATGCAAATCAAAACTACAAGGACATATCACCTCACCCCAGTTAAAATGACCTTTATCCAAAAGGCAGGCAATAAGTAACAAATGCTGGTGAGGATATGGAGAAAAGGGACACCTTGTACACTGTTGCTGGGAATGTAATTTCCCACTGTGGAGAACAGTTTGGAGGTTCCTCTAAAAACTAAAAATAGAGCTATCATACAATCCAGCCATCCCACTGCTGGGTATATACCCCCAAAAAGGAAATTAGTATATCGAAGAGATATCTGCATACTTATGTTTATTGTAGCACTATTCACAATAGCCAAGATTTGGAAGGCAACCTATGTGCCCATCAACAGATGAATGGATAAAGAAAACTGTAGTACATATACACAATGAAGTACTATTCAACGATACAAAAGAATGAGATCTTGTCATTTGCAACAACATGGATAGAACTGGAGGTCATTATGTTAAGTGAAATAAGCCAGGAGCAGAAAGACAAACTTTGCATGTTCTCAGTTATTTGTTGGAGCTAAAAATTAAAAGAATTGAACTTATCGAGATACAGAGTAGAAGGATGGTTACCAGAGGCTGGGAAGGGTAGTAGGGTGAGTGACGGGGGGGAAATAGGGATGGTTCGTGGGTACAAAAAAATTGAATAAGACCTAGTATTTGCCAGCACAACAGGGTGACTATTGTAGAAAATAATCGTACATTTACAAATAACAGTATAATTCAAAGGATAAATACTTGAGGCGATGAATTCCTCATTTACCCTGATGTGATTATTATGCGTCACATGCCTGTACCAAAATATCTCATGTAACCCATAAATATATATACCTACCATGTACCTACAAAAATAAACATTAAAAAAGGGGTTCTAAGATATGTGAGTTACTACTCTTTGCAGTAAGTTCGATGATTTGAAGGGAAAGCATCTGAGCTATATCATCTCAGCCCTCTGCCAAAGTAACTTCACTGGATTATGATATGATTTACTGTCCCATGCTCTGCCTTCTGGAGGATCCATGTAGGAATGGCCTGTTGACCAGCCTGGCCAACATGGCAAAACCCCCCATCTCTACTAAAAAAATACAAAAATTAGCCTGGCATGGTGGCATGCACATGCAGTCCCAGCTACTTGGAAGGCTGAGGCAGGAGAATCGCTTAAACCTGGGAGGCAGAGGTTGCAGTGAGCCAAGATGGCGCCACTGCCCTCCAGCCTGGGCAACAGAGCAAGAGACTGTCTCAAAAAAAAAAAAGGAATGGCCTATTGAGTGTGACTGCATCTTTCCAAACTAAGCCTCCTGCTTTACCTATTTTCTCTTAAACACAGTTCCAAGACATTCTTCTCCTTGGGTTTCCCTTCAAAAGAATTTATCTCTGTATAAGAATAAACATTTGTCTTTGTTAAACGATAAAAATAGTGTCACTTAAAATACATTTCCATATTTTCCCTTGATACTGGGAATCACAGGGTCAAATTCAGTGCCAGGTGAAGGGTGGAGGGCATTCTAATTGTTCCCCTTCTCACAATGTCTCTTCTCCCTCCCTCCCCAGTCCCTTCCATAGGAAACAGGGAATGTTTGTTTCTGTCTTCTGGTAGGAGAAGGATTGGTCCCACCCCCAGCTCCAGGGATGGATCTTGATTGTTTAAGCCCAGTCAGGTAAACCCCACACCTGTTGCACAGTGATTAACCCAGTGGCAGTCATGCCAAGAGGTTTGTTCATGGCTGGGCATGTGACCTGTGCAGGCCACCAGCATGCTTGCTGAGGACTTTGGGAAGAAGGCTCTTCAGTCTTCTGATAGACCTCCCCAAGACGGCCCTCTCTCTGTGTCCTTCTGGATGTTTGGGACATGAAGCTTGGGGCTGCTGGAGTTACCTTGCTGTCACGAGGGAAGCTACCCCTAGGATGTGGTTGACGAAGTAGAAAGAAAGAAAATAGGCCCTTATTGGCCAGGCACGGTGGCTCACGCCTGTAATCCCAGCACTTTGGGAGGCCGAGGCGGGCGGATCACGAGGTCAGGAGACCGAGAGCATCCTGGCTAACATGGTGAAACCCCGTTTCTACTAAAAAATACAAAAAAAAAAAATTAGCGGGGCATGGTGGTGGGCGCCTATAGCCCCAGCTACTCGGGAGGCTGAGGCAGGAGAATGGCGTGAACCCAGGAGGCGGAGCTTGCAGTGAGCCGAGATCATGCCACTGCACTCCAGCCTGGGCGACAGAGCAAGACTCCGTCTCCCAAAAAAAAAAAAAAAAAAAAAAAAAAGAGAGAGAAAATAGGCCCTTGTTTTCATCATAGAGCAACTGACTCAAACTCAACCTGAAGCCGCTGAACTTTCCATTTGCATGTGCCAGCAAACCACCTTTATTATGTAAGCCCTTTCAAATTAGGTTTCTTACTTGCATCTTAGAATCCAAATGGTGCTTAATAGATACATTTCCTTGTATTTTGTGTGTTTTAGTGATTCTAACCCATGGACCAAGACCCTGCCTTGGAGATTGGGGAACAGGTGTTGGAAGGGCTCTATTTTGGCAAAGAATGGATTATTTATGTGAGCATATTTCCGCAAAGTAAGGAAATGTCTTGCCTATATATGTATTAATATTTTTCAAATTTATCTTGTTTTGATGAAATATAAATTTAGATAAAAATACTAAAAATACTGAATTTGTAGGTTTTTATCCTGCATTTTTCACAATGAGCAGATGTTAGAAGCATCATGTAAATTTGTCCAAAAAGATGTTGTTTTTTGCAGAAATTTTTGACTTGAGGAAGAAGCTCTTGCTTAGATAGATGTTTCCACCCTCTGTCCCTCCTTCTTTTCCTTCCTTCTTCTCTTCTCCAGCCTTCACTCCCTGCTGCCTTCCTTTTTTTCCCTCTTAGTCTCTGTTATTACCCTGTTTTCCTTCTGTTGAGTCTTGTTACTCAAACTCTGTTAGAAATAGTTGAGATATAAATTCTAATTAATTTTATTTGGATGCCTATGTTAAGCTTCATTTAACTTTTCAGATCCTGCATCTATGAGTTCGACATAAATGCAAACAAATAATGGGTATTGAGTGCTTTAATAGCAAGGGACCCAAACTGAAGTTCATTCCCCATGCAACAAATTGGGTGTTGGATGGGAATGCTTATAATGATTGACCCCGGTTTTTGGTAGTAAGCAAGCAACTGCAAGTGAACTGTAACTGATGTATTTAATGAGTGCTCACTGTGTGCACATTGCCATTAGTGTAGCTGAGTGGTGCAGCACTGAACCCTTACCTCAAAGATCTTATAGTTCATTGGAGAGAAGAGACATGTACACCAGATACTGTGTAAGCCAGGGCTGTGTTTTATAAGGGAATATGTAAGTTGACATCTGGAACCTCTTTCTTAGAATTATCCTACCAGAAGAGCCCTCTAGAACCTTGTGTTTAATAAATATTGATCACCGCCATTATAAAATATGCTGTTTGTTAATAAAACATATTTTCTTTATTTTATTTTATTTTTTTAATTATACTTTAAGTTTTAGGGTACATGTGCACAACGTGCAGGTTTGTTACATATACATGTGCCATGTTGGTGTGCTGCACCCATTAGCTCTTCATTTAACATTAAGTATATCTCCTAATGCTATCCCTCCCCACTCCTCCTACCCCACAACAGGCCCTGGTGAGTGATGTTCCCCTTCCTGTGTCTGTGTGTTCTCATTGTTCAATTCCCACCTATGAGTGAGAACATGCGGTGTTTGGTTTTTTGTCCTTGCGATAGTTTGCTGAGAATGATGGTTTCCAGCTTCATCTATGTCCTTACAAAGGACATGAACTCATCATTTTTTATGGCTGCATAGTATTCCATGGTGTATATGTGCCACATTTTCTTAATCCAGTCTATCTTTGTTGGACATTTGGGTTGGTTCCAAGTCTTTGTTATTGTGAATAGTGCCGCAATAAACATACATGTGCATGTGTCTTTATAGCAGCATGTTTTATAATCCTTTGGGTATATACCCAGTAATGGGATGGCTGGGTCAAATGGCATTTCTAGTTCTAGATCCCTGAGGAATCGCCACACTGACTTCCACAATGGTTGAACTAGTTTACAGTCCCCCCAACAGTGTAAAAGTGTTCCTATTTTTCCAGATCCTCTCTAGCACCTGTTGTTTCCTGACTTTTTAATGATTGCCATTCTAACTGGTGTGAGATGGTATCTCATTGTGGTTTTGATTTGCATTGCTCTGATAGCCAGTGATGATGAGCATTTTTTCATGTGTCTTTTGGCTGCATAAATGTCTTCTTTTGAGAAGTGTCTGTTCATATCCTTTGCCCACTTGTTGATGGGGTTGTTTTTTTCTTGTAAATTTGTTTGAGTTCTTTGTGGATTCTGGATATTAGCCCTTTGTCAGATGGGTAGATTGCAAAAATTTTCTCCCATTCTGTAGGTTGCCTGTTCACTCTGATGGTAGTTTCTTTTGCTTTGTAGAAGCTCTTCAATTAGATCCCATTTGTCAATTTTGGCTTTTGTTGCCATTGCTTTTGGTGTTTTAGACATGAAGTCCTTGCCCATGCCTATGTCCTGAATGGTATTGCCTAGGTTTTCTTCTAGGGTTTTTATGGTTTTACGTCTAACATTTAAGTCTTTAATCCATCTTGAATTAATTTTTGTATAAGGTGTAAGGAAGGGATCCAGTTTCAGCTTTCTACATATGGCTAGCCCGTTTTCCCAGCACCGTTTATTAAATAGGGAATCCTTCCCCCATTTCTTGTTTTTGTCAGGTTTGTCAAAGATCAGATGGTTGTAGATATGTGGCATTATTTCTGAGGGCTCTGTTCTGTTCCATTGGTCTACATCTCTGTTTTGGTACCAGTACCATGCTGTTTTGGTTACTGTAGCCTTGTAGTATAGTTTGAAGTCAGGTAGCATGATGCCTCCAGCTTTGTTCTTTTGGCTTAGATTGACTTGGCAATGCGGGCTCTTTTTTGGTTCCATATGACCTTTAAAGTAGTTTTTTCCAATTCTGTGAAGAAAGTCATTGGTAGCTTGATGGGGTTGGCATTGAATCTGTAAATTACCTTGGACAGTATGGCCATTATCACGATATTGATTCTTCCTACCCATGAGCATGGAATGTTCTTCCATTTGTTTGTATCCTCTTTTATTTCATTGAGCAGTGGTCTGTAGTTCTCCTTGAAGAGGTCCTTCACATCCCTTGTTAGTTGGATTCCTAGGTATTTTATTCTCTTTGAAGCAATTGTGAATGGGAGTTCACTCATGATTTGGCTCTCTGTTTGTCTGTTATTGGTGTATCGGAATGCTTGTGATTTTTGCACATTGATTTTGTATGCTGAGACTTTGCTGAAGTTGCTTATCAGCTTAAGGAGATTTTGGGCTGAGATGATGGGGTTTTCTAGATATACAATCATGTCATCTGCAAACAGGGACAATTTGACTTCCTCTTTTCCTAATTGAATACCCTTTATTTCCTTCTCCTGCCTGATTGCCCTGGCCAGAACTTCCAACACTATGTTGAATAGGAGTGGTGAGAGAGGGCATTCCTGTCTTGTGCCAGTTTTCAAAGGGAATGCTTCCAGTTTTTGCCATTCAGTATGATATTGGCTGTGGGTTTGTCATAGATAGCTCTTACTATTTTGAGATACGTCCCATCAATACCTAATTTATTGAGAGTTTTTAGCATTAAGGGCTGTTGAATTTTGTCAAAGGCCTTTTCTGCATCTATTGAGATAATCATGTGGTTTTTGTCTTTGGTTCTGTTTATATGATGGATTACATTTATTGATTTGCATATGTTGAACCAGCCTTGCATCCTAGGTATGAAGCCAACTTGGTCATGGTAGATAAGCTTTTTGATGTGCTGCTGGATTCGGTTTGCCAGTATTTTATTGAGGATTTTTGCATCGATGTTCATCAGGGATATTGGTCTAAAATTCTCTTTTTTTATTGTGTCTCTGCCAGGCTTTAGTATCAGGATAATAAAACATGTTTTCTATTCTACCTTTTTCTTGGCCATGTTTTTTAGCTATACACAGCCGGTTTTTTTGTTTGTTTGTTTTGTTGTTGTTGTTTGCCATAGAACCAACATTTTGGCACTACCCCCCACTCCCAGCCATGTGTGCACATACACACACACACACCGAGTTTGCTGCAAGTACAGCATTACAATAATTCAAAATTATAACTGTCTCTCATGGAAAAGAGGCTGCCTGCTGGTTTGGCATGGGGATAAGTGAACTAGCTGAACTATACTCATTTCCTACTAAACAATGTATAGCTGAATGCAAGTGAGAGAGACTTACAAGGACAACCTTGAACTATCTGCCAGTTTGTTCAAAACAAAACCAAAGAAACTTACCAACTCTTGTATTTCATGTCAGCAGTGACAAAGGCTTACTGAGCTCCCCAGTAGGTGCCTGGCCCTGCATGCTGCTTCTAGAATGCCAGCAGGAAGGCCTGGCCGAGCAGCCAGCTGGCTGTGGAGCCCTTATTCTAAGACTATGCTGCCACTTTCTTGTGACACTGGAGTCAAAAGCAAAAAGGGGCTTGCAGCCAGTAACCAAAGGGCTGTATTCAAGCAGTGACCTATTTTTACACTGTAATCGGGTTGGGTTTCCCTTTTTCCCTCGCGAGGCAGTAATCTCAAATTCTTCTGAGTGCTCAAGAAGCCAGTTCCCTGTTACCTTTTTGGCTTAGTTGTTTTTCACTTTGACATAGGTCACTCTTAACTTGAGGACAGGAATATCTGTCCCTTTTCCCTGATTTGAGGGTAGGAGTTGGTTTATGTGTATAAAATGGAGAGATAGGAAAACATGAACCAAGGTAAGGAGGATAGATGGCTTCTGAGGAGGAACAAAACCAGGTGAACTAGATAGACAAAGGTATTTGGGATCATAGGTCCAAGGTTCTGCCCTTTCAAACCCTAATCACACATATGAACTAATTACTTAGCTTAGTCATCAAATTTTGCTTGTGCTTCATATGTGCTGAGTGTCAGAGGCGTAGTAATAAAAAGGTAGAACTCTTGCCTCAGCCCACAGTTTTGTGGGGGAGGAATCTTGTACCCACAATTGCAATGCAGTGCCACCAGTGCAACAGGGAAGTTGGGCCCGAGTGAGGCTGTTAGATGTTGCTGGGGAGGGGGCACCAAGAAGGGTATCAGAGGAATTCCTCCTAAGCTTCTTAGTCAGACCCTTTGCTACTCCAGCCTGTCTCGCTTCCATCAGATCAGTGCCTAGTCTGTACTGCGTTTTTTGTTTGCTTGTTTGTTGCCATTTAGGTCTGTGCTATGTACAATCTGCAAGGGTGAGTTCTTCAGGTGGGATTTTCATGTCTCTTCAAGGAGACCTTTGGGACTGGAGGACAGTGTGCCACATGGCTCCATTCTTCAAAAGGTGACATGTCTTGGGACTTTATGCCTAGGATGATACATATTCCTGTCTTGTCTGCCTGGACAACTTCTTTTCATCCTTTAAGACTTGTTTTTAGCATAAGTCCTGCTCTCACAGGATGTAAGTTCTGTTCTGATGTCCTGATAGTTCTTGTCCGGTCTCTCCATTGCCTTTTTCCTCTGTTCTTGGCATGTAGAGCCTTGAGCTTCAACTCATGCTTCAGCTGATCTATTTACACCCGTATCTATCCATGTTCCCCTACTGCACTGTGAATCTCAGACACAGGGCATATGTTTTATTCACCTAGGACATACCAGTTGCTTAGCAATGGTGAGTCACATGAAGGAAGTATGTGTGTCATGTGAATGAAGTTCCCATCTGGCAACAAGATGGCTAAAGATACTGAGAGGGCTGCAAAAGATTCTTGATTGGGTCTCAAACTTTTTGAGCTCATTGAATGTCTTTTGTACTTAAAAGGATATTAGGAAGGTTTTGCAGCATAAAGCCTAGGAGGATGTAAAAAGTGGCCGGCTGGGATTTGGCAGACAGAGATCAGTAAAGAAGGGTGTATACACCACAACATAGCAGGGAGAATGTCTAAGGGAACACCCCCATTTAGGTGTTGCTTAACTTTTATATGTAATGTACTCCTGAACACAGGGCAAAATTCACATTATCTGGCAGATGTTATCATGTCTCAGCATTGCATGGTCATGTGCCAGCTAGTTGTATCAGAGTCTGAATTCAGCATTCAAAAGGTGATTGGGAAGAATCCAAGTTTGCTATAGGCAGAAGTTGAGGTTGCTTGTGTAACAGGCTTCCTGGTACCTCCTGGTAACAGGGAGAAATGCATCGCAGGTGCTTGATAAAGATGGATGTAGCGATTAAACGAACCCTAAGACCAGCCTTGTGTAAGTTTCTCCTGACTCTGTCATGGTTTGGAGCTTACATTTTGAAAAATACTGATACATATCAAGAATTTTCCAGCCGGGCGTGGTGGCTCATGCCTGTAATCCCAGCACTTTGGGAGGCCGAGGCGGGGGGATCACGAGGTCAGGAGATCGAGACTATCCTGGCTAACACGGTGAAACCCCGTCTCTACTAAAAATACAAAAAATTAGCCGGGCGAGGTGGTGGGCGCCTGTAGTCCCCCGCGGGAGGCTGAGGCAGGAGAATGGCGTGAACCCGGGAGGCGGAGCTTGCAATGAGCCGAGATTGCGCCACTGCACTCCAGCCTGGGCGACAGCGAGACTCCGTCTCAAAAAAAAAAGAAGAATTTTCCTAGATTAGAAGACAGCTATGTACACCAGAGGGTGCTGTGTTTCAATTTTCATATCTCTTTCTTTTCCACTCCTGTGGTTGTATGCTACGTGATTCATTTGAGGACTAGCCAGTTGAGAATTTGCCCTCAACAAAGGACTGTTGAAGACCTGAACACACCCTACCCACTTGCTGCTTTCCCAGCATAACAGATGAGTTCAGACATGGCTACACCACACACTCCCCAGGTCTGCTTTGCTGTATACTAGTTCTTAACCATTGAGTTCTTTGTTTAAAACTAGACCTTTTTTTTTTTTTTATGCTGCAGCGTAAGTCCATTTTCAATATTCTTTCTCTGGTGAAAATGGAGACCATCTGGTCATCATTCTCTGTGTAATAACAATGATTGAAGATGGTTATTAAGTCACCCTTCGGCCTTTTCTCTTGCCTAGGCAAAATTGTCTTCGTTTCTGTGGCCATTACCCATAAATCTCATTTTCCAACCCTTTAATCATCTTGGTGGCTTCCTTTGAAAACAACTTCAAAGGCTGTTTCACTGCCTCTATTTTGGTGGGGTCTGGGCTGTCAGCGTCTAATGGTACGGAATGTGGTTGTTTTAACCATCTAGTTTCCATAGCTAGTTTCCACATCTCCAGGCCAATCACTATCATTAACCATTAGGAGGTGCTTTACCATCTTTTCACTGTGATATACTTTATAAATATTATTGATTAATGTGTTGCTTTGACTGAATACAAATTTTAGCTTGTGAATAATTTTAGCTGTTGGCTGATAGAATTTTACACCCTTGTTTATGGCATTTGAGGTTCTTTTCTAAGCTATTTGATTCTAAGTGAATATGTTATCTCTTATTAGAGGATATGTTAATTTTCCTGCATTTTATTCATTTATTAACTTAACATCTCTGATTGCCTACCATGTGTCAGGCTCTGTACTAAGGATTGAGGACCCAAAGATGAACAAAACATGGGGCCTAATTCAAAGATTTCACAATCTGGAGAGAAAGTCAGCCACATACAAAAAAATTATAAGGTAGAATGTGCTATAAAAAATGATTTAGGTACAGTGGAAGTTTAGAAAGGCTTCACTAAAGATGTCGTATTTGAATTGGGTCTGAGCATGAATTAGTCTTCAGGTGAGGGAGGGGGTTAAAGAAAACTCTAATGAAGGAACTCTAGTATGTGTGAAGGCAAGGAGGCTGGTGTGTTTAGGTTGCAGCAAACCAAGTACAACCAGGCTTGGACTTGAGTGACTGGAAAGACAGGAAGATGCCATGCTGAGAAAAACTGCCCATGCCAAGCTGAGAAATGTTCAGCAGAAACATAAGGTGAGCTGCATATGTCATTTAAAATGTTCTAGGAGCCACATTTTTAAAAAATCAAAATTAACAAGTCAAAAAATAAAAAGCAATGGGGGGAGATTAAATGCATATTACTAAGTGAAAGAAGCCAATCCAAAAAGGCTACATACCTGTATGATTCCAACTATATGACATTCTGAAAAAGGCAAAACTATAGAGACAGTAAATGATCAGTGGTTGCCAGGAGTTAGGGAGGAGGGAGGGATGAACAGGCAGAGCACAGAAGATTTTTAGAGCAGTAGAACTATTTTGTATGATATTATAATATTGTAGATACATATCATTATAAATTTGTCCAAACCCATAGAATGTACACCAAGAGTGAACTCTAATGTAAACTGTGGACTTTGGGTGATAATGATGTGTCAGTGTAGATTGATCAGTTGTAACAAATGTACCATTCTGGTGGGGAATGTTGATAATGGAGTAGGCTATGCATGTGTGGGGCAGTGGGTATATGGGAAATATCTATACCTTCTGGTCAGTTTTGCTGTGAACTTGATCTAAAAAATAGCCTACTAAGAAACACAAGTCAAATTAATTTTAATAATACATTTTATTTAACCCAATTTATCAGAAATACTAATATTTTAACATGTAATTGATATAAAAGTTATTAACTAGATATTTTACTTTTTTTGGTACTGAGTCTTTGAAATCTGGTCTGTATTTTACATTTACAGTACATCTCAATTCACATTAGCCACATTTCAGATACTCAGTACATACATGAGTACCTATGGCTAGTGGCTGCTGTGTTGGACAGGGCAGGTCTTGAAACCTGGACTTGCCTGACTCAGAAGCCTCAATTCTCAGCCACAGTGATATCCTGCTCCCTAAGTACTATAATGATAAACACAAGAGGAGAGGAGCTTTCAGATGATCATCTAATCCCATGACGTTAGCTGTTGCTCTCCACACTGCCCGGTGGCTCCAGTCTGAAGCATCTAGGCAGTGCTGTCCAACAGAAATACAATGAGAGCCAATACGTGATAAGTGTCCTATGGGCCACATTGAAACAGTAAAAAAAAAAAATCTAAGAATATATTTAACCCAATATATGCAAAATATTATTTCAACATCTATTTAATATTAAAAATTGTTAATGAAGGCATATAGACCAATGGAGTAGAATGGAGAGACCAGAAACAAATCCTCACACATAAGGTCAAATGATTTTTTACAAGGATGCCAAGACCTTTCAATGGGAATAGGACAGTCTTTTCAACAAATGGTGCTGAGAAAACTGGCTATCTAATGGAAAATAATAGAGTTGGATCCTTACCTTACACCATATATATAAAAGTTAACTCAAAATGAATCGAAGACCTAAACAAAAGATCTAAAACTATAAAATGCTTAGAAGAAGACAGAGGAGAAAAGCTTCATGACACTTGCAAACCATATATCTAATAAAGGGGTAATATCTAGAACATATAGAGAATTTCTACAACCCAACAAAAACAGCAAAAAACCCCAGACAACCTGATTAAAATGGTCAAAGGACTTGAATAGACATTTATTCAAAGAAGATACACAAATGAATAAGCACATTAAAAATACTCAACGTTAATATAATTAGGCAATACAAATCAAAACCACAGTGAGATACAGCCTCACACCCATTAGGATGGCAACTCTGAAGAAAAAAAAAGAAAATAACAGATATTGCCATGAATGTGGAGAACTCTTGGGAACTCAGTGCACTGTTGGTGGGAATGTAAAATGGTGCAGCTGTTATGGAAAACAGTATGGCAATTCCTCAAGAAATTAAAAATAGAATCACCATGTGATTAAGCAATTCCACTTCTGGGTAGTTACCCAGAAGAGTTGATAGTAGGGACTCAAAGAGATTGTATGTCCATGTTCATAGCAACATTATTCATAATAGGCAAAAGGTAGAAGCAACCCAAGTGTTCATTGATAGATGGATAAAATGTTGTATATACATACAGGGGGATATTATTCAGCCTTTAAAAGGAAGTAAATCCTGACATATAATATGGATGAAACTTGAGGATATTATGCTAAGTTAAATTGATCAGTTATAAAAAGGCAAATACTATATGAGTCCACTTATGTAAAATACCTAGAGTAGCCAAATCTACAGAGACAGAAAGCAGAATGGTAGTTGTCAGGAGTCAGGGGTGGGCAGGAAATGGGAGTTATTGTTTAATGGGTGTAAGGTTTCAGTTTTATAAGGCAAAGAGTTCTGGAGGCAGATGGTGATGATGGTTGTACAACAATGTGACTGTGTTAATACTTAATGCTACTGAACTCTCCACCTAAAAATGATTAAGATGGTAAATTTTATGTTATGTGTATTTTACCACAATTTCTAAAAGTCCCTCTACCAAGAAAAGATGTTAAGTGCTTCCGAGACCATTAACATTTCATGTGGGAAAAGAGAAAAGAGAGATGTGAATAAAGGAAACTAGGAAAAAAATAAGTATGCTTGGAAATCTGGATGTATGGTGCAGTGGACTGAATGTATCTCCTAAAATTCACGTGTTGAAATTTTAATCCCTAATGTGATTGTCTTAGGAGGTGAGGCATTTGGAGGGTAATTAGGTCACTGGGATAGAGCTCTCATGAATGGAACTAGTGGCCTTATAAAAGAGACCCCAGACACTCCCTGGTCCCTTCTGCCATGTGAGGACAGTGGGAAGTTGTCTGTCTATGAGGAAGTAGGCCCTCACCAGACACTGAATATGCCAGCACCTTCATCTTGGACTTCCTGGCCTCAAGAACTGTGAGAAATACATTTCTGTTGTTTATAAGCCATCCAGTCTATGATGTTTTTGTTATAGCACCCCGAACGGACTAAGACAAATGGTGAGAGGTGAAATGAAGATTTAGGAAGTAGACCTAGGCTATATTTTTTATTTGCTTGTTTCGTTTTTTGGAAGGGTGAGTGCCAGGGTCAACGGAGCCAGAAATTTATGCATGTAGTTTTTTAAAACCTGCAGGGATCAATGGCAGTTGGAAGTAATGGATTTGGAACTTGGTAGATAGGTCAGGGCTGGCAAGGGTGATTTGGAAATCTCTTGGGTAGAGGAGATTGCAAAGTCCTGGGCATGAGTTTGCTCCCTTTGGAGAGGTTATAGAGGTGTGGGTCTTAACTTCCTTTGGGTCCTGAGTGGTTTGAGACTTGAAGGAGTAGGAAAGAGCCACTTGACTGATGACCTTGGTGCAAGTGGTTTGGGCAGAAGGAGAGGAAGGAATGGGGCCTGCAATGCACCAAAGATTGATGAGCAAGGAAGTTGAATAAGTGGGACAGAGGCAGTCTGGCATGGGGGAGGGGGAAGATGGGAGAGGCCAGTTAGGGGATCTTTTCTATTTTTATGAGATTTAAGTGGTGTCTCAAGTAATACCACTATGATATACTTGGACTAGAAATTTTCTTGTCCAAGTGTGTCATAGAAACAACCAATAACAAATAACCAGCCAATATGTAATAACAAACCAATATGTAACATTAAAGCAGTCCTTTTGTTTAAAAACAGATAAATAGAACTTTTACCAAATTCATAATGGCAGACACATTACATCAGTTCTTAGATGTATCCATTCTCAGAATATATGACATCAAGAGAAGCTCTTAGAAACTTCTGATTTAGGCTCCTGAAGTCTCATGGAAAGGAAATAAATATGCTAACTATCTTGCAGCGGAAGTTAACTCTTCCCCAGTACTCTCCTGAGTGTATCACTGGTGAGTGTGGGTTCATGCACACTCACTCACATATTGCAGGAGGAAGGCTGAGATGCGAATAGGGAGATATATGTACTTCATTCCTGATAAATAGTTGTTGGAGTTTTATATTTTGCACCATCACAGCCACTCTCATTTTCAGGATTTATGATTGACTTTATTGCGTTTTAGATTAGAGAAGGCTCAGGTACTGAGCACTATTCCTCTCCTTTCCTTTTGCTTCACCTTGATGCTCTAAGGTTTCTCAAAGACAGAACAAGTATCTTCAGAAGCCTCCCAATGCATCTTCCATTTGGCTGTCAACATCTCTGTTCTGCTGCCCCCCACCCCAGGACAATAATGTGAAAATGAAGAGCTCTGGGAAAATACAGAACTTTATTGAGCAAATCCAGTTGGTCCCATTAGTTGGGCAGCATAAGATTGGAAGGGGATTTGCAGAGAAATATCCTGGCTGTAATGATAAGGCTGATCAACCCAGTGAATAGGACTTAATCTTACCTGTCAAGGGAAACTGATACTTCCTGATGAAATATTAACAGCATTCAAAACAGTACTCATAAAGGAAACATTTTAGAAACTGTCCTGGGCCGACTAAGGTAGAGCCATAGCCCTCTATTGTTCCAGGGGGCTTAGACCCTGAGTACCTGCAGCTTCATTCTGCTCAGACCTGGGGCAGTACCCTTCTCTGGATGAGGAACCTAGAGTTCTTCCAACAGAAAGGGATAGGAAAGGTATAATAGCTTCCTTCCCTTTTGGACAAGTAAAATAAATTTTAAATTTGACCTGTTGAATTCACTTGAAAATAGAGGAACCAGGAGGTTATCAGAAAGGACTAGGGAGTGAGCTTGAGAGGAAGATAATTTGATGACAGGATCAAAAAAGGTAAAGACGAATTGATGACTCCTGTGATTTCTGCTGCTCTGCCAGCATCATAGGATTGTGGAGAGCTTAAACAAGAAAAAGTGTATACCCAAAAGAATAAAAAATAAGATCCCAAAGAGATATTTGCACACCCATATTCACTGCAGCATTATTCACAATAACCAAGAGGGGGAAGCAACCTAAATGTCCATCAGTGGATGAATGGATAAATAAAATATGATATATACATATCATGGAATATTACTTAGCCTTAAAATGAAAGGAAATTCTTTTGTTTTTGAAATAGAGTATTGCCCTGTCACCCAGGCTGGAGTTCAGTGGCGCGATCTCAGTTTACTGCAACCTCCACCTCCCGCGTTCATGCCATTCGCCAGCACGCCCGGCTAATTTTTTGTATTTTTAGTAGAGATGGGGTTTCACCATGTTAGCCAAAATGGTTTCGATCTCCTGACCTCATGATCCACCCGCCTCGGCCTCCCAAAGTGCTGGGATTACAGGTGTGAGCCACCGCGCCCAGCCCAAGATAAGTACTTTTTTTAGCTAGCTAGGTTTCTGGTAGTATTAGTAGTGGTAGTAGGATGATGAAAACAGCTTGCTTTTCATTCTCTTCTAGTTGGGCTACATCTTGAAATATAACTTCATTTATATGAGGTAACTAAAGTAGTCAAACTCTTAGAAAGTAGTATGGTAGTTGCCAGGGGCTGGGGGAAGAGAGTAAGGGGAATAGTTATTTGATGGGTATAGTATTTGCATCTTTTGCAAGATTAAAAAGTTCTGGGCATCTGTTGGTCAACAATGTGAATGTGCTTAACACTACCTTACTGTACACTTAAAAATGGTTAAGACAGTCTGGGTGCGGTGGTTCACGCCTGTAATCCCAGCACTTTGGGAGGCCAAGGCAGGCTGATCACCTGAGGTCAGGAGTTCGAGACCAGCCTGGCCAACATGGCGAAACCCTGTCTCTACTAAAAGTACAAAAATTAGCCCTGCGTGGTGGTAGGTGCCTATAATCCCAGCTACTCAGGAGGCTGAGGTAGGAGAATCGCTTGAACCTGGGAGGCGGAGATTGCAGTGAGTCAAGATCACGCCACTGTACTCCAACCTGAGCGACAAGAGTGAGACTCCATCTCAAAAGAAAAAAACAAATGGTTAAGACAATGAATTTTATGTTATGTGTTTTTTATCACAATTTTTTAAAAAGAAAGAAAGGTAGGCTGGGTAAAACAGCTGATGTACCTCTAGCTGTTACAGTTAATTGTCATCCTTCAGTGGCCAGCCTCTGAGTGGGATGTGGTGGTAATTAGAACAGTAGCAGTAGCTGCAGTAACTATGATTTATTGAGTGTTTCCTGTATATCAGACAGCATGCTAAATCATTTTGTGTACTTCCTATCAATTCACCGAATGTCATGTCAGGTCTATGAGGTAGGTATTAATAGCTCCTCATTTTACCAATGAGGAAATGGATTGTGAGGACTTAAGTCATTTGCCCAGGAATACACAGTCCACAGTGTTAGGGCTCTGTCTGATGTTAGAGTCTTAACTCCATTATCAGCTACCGTTTATTCACCCATTCACTCACTGAAAACGATTATTATGTGCCAGACATTGTGCTATATGCTACGGAAACAGTGGATATAGGCCCTGACCTTACTTACAGAGCTTACAGCCTAGCCAAAGTGAAAGACAATAAGCAGGAAAAGAATCAGATGAAGATCCAGACAAATTTTGATAAATGTTATGAAAGAAACAATTAGGATGCTGTGATAGAGAATAATTCAGCTTGGATTTGGGGGAGCCCCCAAAGACATTTAGATAGGATGTTCAGAGAAAGTCTAACATTCCTTTCTTAAGAAGGTAGATTTCAAAGAGGCAAAGGGGAAGATAGCTCAGAAGTCCTCTGTTGGAATTATAAATGAGTGTCTGAAAACGTGTATCCAAATGGCCTTGTGATGAAAGAATCCTAATCCTCCTTAATTCTAGCAGTGTTTCCTTGTCCCACTGGGTCACTTCACCTCAAAGTCCTCCTCTGTGAGGGGGAGAATAGAACTTGTATCTAGCTCAGTTTTTGGTTGTATTAGTCATGGTAATAGGATGATGAAAACACAGCTTCCATTTAATTCTCTTCTGGTTGGGCTACATCTTGAATGCTTTGTTCAGTTCTAATTGCCACATTTTGTGAGAAATGCAGACAAATTAGAATGTATAGAGAGAATGTGCAATGAATTCAGGACACTTAGCTGCAGAAGTAAATACTAAAAGAGGAAATGATCTTCAACTGTGTGAAAAGCTGATATATAGAAAAGAGAGTTGATGCGTCATGTAGTAAAAAGAGTTGATTTATGTCCAAAAGACAAATCTAAAAGCTGGGAACCAGGTCCAACTAAGAAAGGGGCTTTGTAATAAATTGTCATAAATGATAATTAGCTCCCACATTTGGGAGATACTCAGTTGGAGACTGGATAACAGATTGCTGCAGGATTTTTTAATTAGGAAAGAAGTTGGACTGCATATATTGTCCCACTCCTCCATTTTGGGTATTTTTTTTGTTTTGCTTGTTCTTTTATTTATTTATTTTTTGTTTTGTATATTGGATATCTCTAAGTTATTTTTGAACTATGGCTTTATGGCCAGAGGCAAATGCAATATATAATATATAGTTTTAAGTGAAGTGCTCACATGCACCCCTACAGAAGTTACACCAAAAGCTCATCTGTAGCTATTAGAAGTTTGAAATGTAAAGGAGCACTACTTGGTATTTGACCCAGTTACATACTCTGTAAGGACCTCTACTCTGACGCCATTAGCTTCTCACTTTCTCACTTGTTATTTGTAACAACCCATGTATTTTGGGAAATATGCTAACATTTTTTCCACTTATGTATTTATTCAATTTTTAACTTTTTGTTTTGAATACATAGCACATTAACATTGTTCAGAATTTAAAAGGGGCTACAGGGAAAAGCTTCCCTCAAACACATCTCCCTCTTCCCCTCGCCAGGGGCAAACACTATTATTAGTTTCTCACATATTTTTCTCGAGGTATTTCTAGCGTATAATTTTTATTCTGTGCTTTGCTTTTTAAAAAACTTAACATATATCAAGATAGCTTGAAGGTTAATCCATAGCAGCATAAAAAGCACCTCCCTTGTTCTTTTTCACAAGTGTGTTACTCCATTGTATAAGTGTGCCATAATTGATTTGATTATCTCCTGTTGATGAGTGATTAGGTTATTTCCAGTCCTTTGCCATTACCATGCTGATAGTAGATTACCTTATACATGTATGACTTACCATTGTGCAAAGTATATCAGCAGGCTGCCTTCCTAGAGGCAGAATCTGGTGAGTCAGGGAATGAGCTTTTATAATTTTGTTCTTGTTAAATACTTCTTAATAGAAGTCTTACCAATTTTCACTCCAGCAAGCAGTGTATGAGAGTGCCTATTTCTGCAAACCCTTGCCAACTCAGGATATTATTATCCAATGTTTCAAGCCTTTCCAAAGTAAGTGAAAGAAAAATAATCAGAGTAATTTTAATTTGTATTTCTCTTACTGTGAGTGAAATTGAGCATTTTTTCTTGTGTGTAAGATCTTGCTGGACTTTGTAGTGAGGCCATTGAAGAAAATCATCAATACAGACTAAGCCTGGAAGAGGTAAAAGGAACATCTTATCCACAGTGGTCAGCCAGAGAGAATTTTTCTTTCTTTCTTTCTTTTTTTTTTTTTTTTAACAAATGTTCTTGAGAAATTCAAGTGAGCTCACCAGCCTGCAAGCTATTCAGCCTGTAAACTATCTGGCCCACACTGGAAAATTTCAATTAAAACAAAACAAATGTAATCTCAGAAGTAAAACCACATCCAGAACAATTTCTTTTTTACTGTTTAGTTTTAAATTTAATAAAGTAATTTACTTAGTACTTGGAACAACATTTAGGATGCAAGTACATTTAAAGTAACATGTTTAACTTTGAAAGGCGCTGTCTCACACCTCAGAGAGTGCAATTTCTAACTACTTGGCTCTTATAATACCCTAGATTTGGTCCCAGCCTCCCCCCAACCCCCATTTCTGTAGTTTCTCTGTAGATTTGAGCAGCTTTTGGCAAAGACCAGAGTCTTTTCATTGGGAACATTGGCACTACACAGCCTCTTTGCTCATTAGCAGTCTGACCCATTAATTTCCTACAACACTTGTGACCAAACCAGTTCAATCCAGTTTTTCCCCTGGAAAAGGACCTTCTAGTTTTAGCAGCACAGATTTGCTTTGCTTTTTTCACAAAGCTTCCCAGGTTTAAACCTATCTTGGTTGATGGCAACACTATCCTTCTAGTTGCTTAGATCAAAAATCTTGGAGTCATCCTTGATTCCCGTGGCTACAATGTTCACATCCTCCTATCCATTCCTTTAGGAAGTCTTTTCGGCTTTACTTTCAAAACATATCCAGAATCCAGCCACTTCTTCTTACCTCCATCTCTACCATCCTGGTCCATGCTGCTGTCATCTCCTGCCTAGATTGATGTCTGACAAGTTTCCCTACTTCTCCACTGTGTTTTCCTACAGTCTGTTCTCAACATAGCCAGCAGAGCCATGCTGAAGGACACGTGTCGGATGACGCCAACCTTCTGCTCAAAGCCCTCTCTTGGCACTGCCCATTTCAGAGAGACTCAGATCATGGCAGTGGACCTGCATGGATCCCCTCCCTGCCCCCTACCACAGCCTCTTTGACCTTGTCTCATACTACTGTCTCTCTACTACCGCCGCCCAGCTCTGCTGGCCTCCTTGCTGTTCTTTGAACATGTCAGGCACATTCTCACCTCAAGGTCTTTGCACCAGCTGATGCCTGTGCCTGGAGTGTGCTTCCTCACTTACCCAGATGGCTCACTTCCACACCTCTGAGTATTGGCTCCAGTGTCACATTCTCAGTGAGTTCTCTTCTGACCACTGTATATCTAAATTGCAGTCTCACCCCTGCCATGCTCCACATTTCTTCAGCCTTTCACTGCTATGCTTTTCTTCCACTTTTTGCTCTGACACATAATTTCATTTTCTTATTTTATTTATTATCTCTCTCCCCCAAACTAGAATGTAAATTCCAGGAAGGCAGAGATTTCTATCTATTTTTTTTTGTCTTCCCCATATTCTGGCATGTCTGGCATAGAAAAGGCATTTAGTAAACATTTGTTAAATGAATTGACTATCTTTTCTCTGCAAACTTGTTCCTCAAATTCTGCCAAACCTAAATTGAAACAAGCAGGTATTGTATTTTGGTACAAGTCCTGGTGCTGTGGATTAAATCCAAGAGCATTGATCCATATTTTTCAGGGGAATCTCACATTATAAATAATGTGGCATCGTTTGGGTAAAAACTTTTGTGAAAGATTAAATATGACATGAGTAAGTTTAAGGAAGGTGATAAATACGCTCAGACTACATCTGGAGAATTAGATTTAGATTTAGATGCCACTGTTGAGAAGGCTATAGACAAATAAGAGCACATTCAGAGAAGAACAGTGGAGAGTGGTGTGGAGTCTCTGTCCCAGTCACACAAAGTACAGGAACTGAGGATTATTGGTTTAGGGGAAAAGAAGACTTTTAGGGAACATGATTCTTTTTTTCCAAAAAATCACGTTTTTCCAATTGAAAAATGTGTCGGCTGGGCACAGTGGCTATGCCTGTAATCCCAGCACTTTGGGAGGCTAAGGCGGGTGGGTCACTTGAGTCCAGGAGTTCAAGATCAGCCTGGGCAACATGGCGAAACCTCATCTCTACAAAAAAAAAATAGCTGGGCATGGTGGCACGCATCTGTAATACTGGCTACTTGGGAGGCTGAAGCGGGAGGATCACTTGAGTCTGGGAGGTCGAGGCTGCAGAGAGCCGTGATTGTACCACTGCACTCCAGCCTGGGTGATAGAGTAAGACTCTGCCTCAAAACAAAACAAAACAAAAACAAAACAAAACAAAAAAAACCAAAAAAAACTGTATCATATAGAAAGTCAAATATCTTGTTTGTATACCTAGAATCACCTCCTATTCCTGCAACCTGATCCATCACAAGCAGATCCAGCTTTTGTGGAACTTGAACATTAGTAAAGGGGACCCTCCTAAGAAAAAAATCTAAGAATAAAATTATAAAGATATAAAGTTAGATAGAGGCTTTGGAAGGTGCCTGTGCAAGTGAAGTGAGGGTCCCCAAAGCTTCGGCTGTAGTAGCTTCATAGGAAATCTACCACATTCAGATTTGTACAATAGCAAAACTGAATCCTTTCTAGCTCTCCAATCATGCCATGTTTTCTCCTCCCTCTACGGTTTTTGTATAAAGTGTTCCCTTTGTCTAGAACACTCTTTTCTCAACTTATCTACTTGGCAGTATTTATTCATCCTTCGAGCTCTAATCCAAAAGCAACCTCCTCTATGAGGCCTTACCCCAAGTTCCCCGGAAGACAGAGGTGGGTAGAAAGTCTTTTCCTATGCTCCACAGAACTTTGTGCATGCTTCCACTACAACACTCAGCTTATTGTCTGATTGGTGTTGATCATTTTGTTGATGACTTTGTTGATCATTTTGCTGATGATTTTGTTTGTCTGTCTTCAGACTCTGTATCAGTGAGGATGGGCTGCAGTAACAAGCTACTCCAAAAACCTCAGTAGCTTAAAGTGACAAAGGTTATTTCTTGTTCATACTGCATGTACATGGCAGGTCAGCTATTGTTCTTCTTTTAGGACTCAGGCTGATAGAGTAGCCGCCATCTGGAACATAACCAGTTGCAGGCCAGAGAATAAATAGTGAGGCAAAGCCTATACTTTCTCATAAAACTTTTCCCCTGGAGGTGACACATTTGTTCACGTTTCATTGGTTTCACCTAACTTCAGGTAGGCAGGGAAATTCAATGCATCCAGTGGAGGGCAAGGCCCAGAGCCCTGGTGGATAGCTTAATAACCACAACAGACTGTTAGCTTCTTGAGTTATAGGGCTAGCTAGCATCTTTTCAAAAATCCTTGTATACCCAGTGCCTAGCACATAGTAAGTCCTCAACTCTATTTGAGAGAAAAAACAAATTTAGCAAATAAAACTTATAGGAAGGTTTTGTTGTTTTTGGTGCTTACTACAAGGAACCATTTCAAACATCTTTCTAGTGTCAATAAGTGCCAAGCTCCCTATCTTTGGAGATCTTCAGGTATAGGCCATCCTAACCACCTGGTAGTGGTACTTAAGGTAAAATTCATGCAAAGGTGAGTGGTTAGAATATATGATCTCTAAAGTCTCTTTAATTCTGAGGCCTTTGTATTTATATCACAATCACCTTCTGAGCTTGAGAAAGAACAAATTAATGTTTACTTTAGAGGTGATAATATCTGACTAGAGTGGGCTATTTCTGTTGGTGATTAGACAAAAATAAGAGTTGAGGGGGAAGGCCAGGTGCGGTGGCTGACGCTTGTAATCCCAGCACTTTGGGAGGCGGAGGCGTGTGGATCACGAGGTCAGGAGATCGAGACCATGCTCGCTAACACGGTGAAAACCCGTCTCTAATAAAAATACAAAAAATTAGCTGGGCGTGGTGGCAGACACATGTAGTCCCAGCTACTTGGGAGGCTGAGGCAGGAGAGTGGCGTGAACCCGGGAGGTGGAGCTTGCAGTGAGCCGAGATCGCGCCACTGCACTCCAGCCTAGGCGACAGAGCGAGACTCCGTCTCAAAAAAAAAAAAAAAAAAAAAAAACAGCACTGTTTGAGGGGGAAAAACAAGTAGAGAGCTCTAGCCTTGAGCCCTTGGCTGATGGTGATTACTAAATGCAGAAATTATTGTGACCCTTAAGTAACCAGAGGGCAAATTGAGGCCAGCTCTGGGCTTGACATTGCTTTGACATTTGAGGATTTAGACTTGAGTTCTTTGTAACTTTTTTGTTTTCAGCAGAAATCTGACAATTGCAACCAGCACATCCACTTACTGGACTGCCAAGGTCCTGCCCACACACATTCCTGAGGAAGGACAGTTTTCCACATGTTCTTTTTGTTATAGAGTCCTACTGACTTACCGTGGTCTAATCACCAAGCCTCATGTTAAAAGAGTTCTCTATTAATACATAAGAGTAAGCAATACAGACCCTCTTCTGACGGTATAAAAGTGTTATAAATACTAAGGATCATAATAACTGTCAAGCCTTTTTACCATTTATTTATTTATTTATTTATTTATTTAGAGACAGGGTCTTGCTCTGTTGCCCAGGCTAAAGTGCAGTAGCATAATCCCAACTCACTGCAGCTACGACCTCCCAGGCTTAAGCAGTCATCCGCCTCAGCTTCCCAATTAGCTGTGACTACAAGCATGCGTGTCACCATGCCAGCTATTTTTTAAATTTTTTGTAGAGACGGAGTCTCCTTATGTTGCCCAGGCTGTTCTCAAACTCCTGGGCTCAGGCAATCCTGTCTCCTTGGCCTCCCAAAGTGCTGGGATTGCAGGTATGAGCCACTGGTCCAGCCTCTTTTTTCATTTTTAGGAGACAGGGTCTTGCTCTGTTGCCCACATTACTGGAATGCAATGACGGAACCATAGCTCTCACTTCAGCCTCAAACTCCTGGGCTCATGAGATCCTCCCATCTCAGCCTCCCAAGTAGCTAGGACTACATTGTCAAGCCTTTTTAAAGAACAAAACAAAACACTAGAATAGTTCAGGTTGTAAAATCTTCGAACCCTCTGTAAGAAAAAAATGTCAAAATAGTTACAGGTAGTGGATGTATTGTTTAGTTGGTATTCAGAATGAATATAGTCTAAAAGAGAACACTGAATTTAGAATCAGAATATCTGGCTCTGCCAAAAATATGTCGTGTGTGACTGGTCATATCACCTCCCCTTTCTTGCTCGATAGCTCCTCAATACTACAATGAGGGAAGGCCAATAATAACCAATTCAGGAGACTATGAGGATGGATTGAGAAGGATATGGAAGTGCTTTGCAAGCTTTCGTGGACTTTGATGATGAAATTGAAGTGAATTCTGTTTTCTTTTCGGTCATGGAAACTTCCCAGCAAGCCAACTGATTTACTTAGGATTGGCTTGGGCAGCAGTAGGGTGGGTGGCTGCATCTGATTTTTGTTTCCAAGGTCAGCATTTTCCAAAGGAAGGGAAGAGAGAAACATTTAAAACAGAATGTTTTTTAAAAATATAAATTTAAGCTTCATTTATGATACAAGATTTCTTTTTAAAATATGTCTCGAGCTTTTAATTTTTTTTTAATTATGAAAATGTCAAATGTACATAAGAGCATATATATGAGCCATATATATCCCAACCCAACTTGAACAATTATAAGTTCATGGTCAAATTTATTTCATGTATTTCTACCCATCCCTCATTTTTTTCTAGGGGGTTGGGTTTTTCCTCCCAGTAAATCCTATATAACAAATTATTTTACCCATAAATATTCGAGTGTGCATCACCAACTGATTAAGACTTTTGTTTGTAACATAACTGAAATACCATTATCATACATAGCAACATTAACAGTAATTCTTTAATGTCATTTACTGCCTCCTGTGGTAGATGGGCTCCAAAAAATGGAGATGAAACCCCAGTTTCATCTATGACAGGTAAAGAATAGCCCATTTTCTTAATATATGGAGAACACTTGACATCCCATAGGAAAATGGACAAAAGATAATTTTATACAAAATCGTCAATGACATGTGAAAAGATATTCAGCCTTGCTCATAAAGAAATGTAGATTCCAAATACTAGTAATTAGTGTTTTATATATCAAATTAACAAAGACTGAAAATAGCAAGAATATGCAGTGATAGTGAGTGCATCCTCAGTTCTTTGGTGGTAACAGCGAAAATCAGTACAGTTTACTTGAAAGACAATTTTGTATTTTGCTAACAATATTTTAAATGCTACTGCAATTTTACTTGTAAGAAATTCAGTATTTCAGAAATTCTCAAATGTATAAAAATATGTGCAGGGATGGTCACCGAGTCATTGTAATAGTTAAAAACCTGGAGAAATGCAAATGTCTCTTATCAGGAGAATGGTTAAATAAACTATGATGCATCCATAACCTAGAATGCTGAAGTTGTTTAAAAGACTGAGGTAAACTAGAGATGGTGACATGGAAAGATATTGAAATTAAATAATTGTGAGACGAAAACTCAGGGTCAAAATAGGATGTAAAAATACAATTCCATTTTTGGTTTTTTAAAAGAATTAATTATAGTAAGCTATGCCTAGGAAACATGCCTGAAATCATATATACTGCACTGTTAACAATGGTTTATCTCTGGGGGTGAATAGGAAGGATTTTCACTTTTCTTTCTTTCCGAGAGAGAAATTTCCACTTAGAGCATAATTTGAAACAAAGTAAAAAGGATAAATTTCAAAGTAAGTCTTTGTTGCTAGCACTAAATAGTGGAATGCTACCTATGAATTTTTATTTTGGAATGGGTTGAGGTTTATTTATGGTCTGTTATACATCACGAGTAACTTTTAAATGTGTTTCATGGTGTAGAATGTGAAGTCAATTACTATAGAATACTCAAGACTATATTCATGTCTGTCAGATCAACCTCATAGTAGTCACATTCTTTACATCTTTTTTCTTTGTCCACTTGATCTTTAGAATATTATCTTAAAATCTCCCACTATAGTTATGTTTCTGTAATTCTGTCAACTTCTACCATTATTTCCTTTTTTTTTTTTTTTGGACAGTCTCGCTCTGTCGCCCAGGCTGGAGTGCAGTGGCGCCATCTCTGCTCACTGCAAGCTCCGCCTCCTGGGTTCACTCCATTCTCCTGCCTCAGCCTCCTGAGTGGCTGGGACTACAGGCGCCCGCCATAATGCCCAGCTAATTTTTTTGTATTTTTTTTTTTTTTTTTTTTTTAGTAGAGACGTGGTTTCACCGTGTTAGCCAGGATGGTCTCGATCTCCTGACCTTGTGATCCACCCTCCTTGGCCTCCCAAAGTGCTGGGATTACAGGCGTGAGCCACCGCGCCTGGCCTATTTCCGTTTTTAATGATAAATACTGGGTGATATGTTCAAGAGGGCTGCAGGCTGACTATCATAACGCTTGGAAGAGTCTGTCAAGAGTTACTTTCTAAGTATTTGAATTCCTTCATTGAATTCTTACTGTTCTTCCAATTCATTCCTCAGAATTTTTTAAAGTTCCTAATTCAGTCTATAATTTAAAGATAAACACTTTAAGATTTTTATCTAAAAAACTCACATATGTATACTGCAGTGCTGAAATATAGTGGCTATTAACTATAGCTTTGCTAATTTAGTGAATTGAGCAATTACCAATTCCCAAAGACAGATTTTTAAAAAAAGTTATGCACTTTTGTTTTTATTTTTCCATTTATTTATTTTTATTTTTATTTGTATTTATTTATTTTTTGAGACGGAGCCTTACTCTGTGTCCCAGGCTGGAGTGCAGTGGTGCGATCTTGGCTCACTGCAATCTCTGCCTCCTGGGTTCAAGTGATTCTCCTGCCTCAGCTTCCCGATAGCTGGGATTATAGCCACACATCACCACACCTGGCTAATTTATTGTGTTTTTAGTAGAGACGGGGTTTCACCATGTTGTTGGCCAGGCTGGTCTCAAACTCCTGACCTCAAGTGATCCACTCGTTTCGGCCTTCCAAGTGCTGGGATTATAGGTGTGAGCCACTGCTCTGGCCCCATTTAAAGATCCATTTACAAGGCAGAAGGTTTCAAGATGGGGCATGTAAAGGATTGTACAAAAATGACAAAATGCAAACATCACCTGGCCTTTCCTTCTGAATCTCTTTTGGCCGCACCTTACATTTCTATCAGCTCACTTCACTAGGGCTTGACTTAGACAATAGCATGTTTCCACATGGTAGTGCCTCATTTATCAGACATGCTCCATGAGTGTCTTTTGGATGAATGATTTTCTAGATAATTAGAACTTTGCTGTTTAAGCACCATTTTTAACCCCTTTAAAAATACATAACAAATAAACCCAAGCTTACCTAAATGGGTAATGTTGCTAAAAACAGCCACCTTAGTAAGCATCCAGGTGGTGGGGATATGGGTGTTCACTGTCAATCTCTTTCAACTTTGCCATTTGTTTGAACTTTTTCTTAATAAATGCTGGAGGAAAATATTACTTCAAGAGGTCTGTAGCCCTTATTGCAACAATCTGGAGGTTTCTCAGAGAGCTCACTGTGTGGAGTGGTTGAAGTTGCAGGCTCTGGAGCGAGACTGCTTGGGTTCTTATTCAGCTTCTGTCGTCTCCCAGTTGTGTGCGCTCCAGGCAGTCACTGCACTTTTCTGAGCCTTGTCCTTCTTGTCTGTAAAATGAGAATAATTATAGTGCCTTTTCTTGGGTTTATTATGAGTGAAATGAGGGGATGTGTATAAAAGCACTTCCAACAATATGAAACACTCAGTAAACACTGGCTGTGGCTGCCACTGCTGCCACTACTGCTTTTTTGTAATTGCTTATAGTCAATGGTCCATCTACCCAGAACATGGTTAGCAGTGGTACCCTTCTTAGTCATTTATTCGAATGATAATTTAGGGCTAATTTGAGACTTAATTTTTCTTTTTTTAAGAGACAAGGTCATGCTCTGTCATCCTGGCTGGAGTGCAGTGGCATGATCCTTGCTTACTGTAACTCTGAACTCTTGGGCTCAGGTGATCCTCCCACCTCAGCCTCCTGAGTAGCTGAGACTACAGGCACACACCATTGTTCCTGACTAATTTTTTACAATTTCTATGTTGCCCAGGCTAATCCCGAACTCCTGGCCTCAAATGATCTTCCTACCTTGGCTTCCCAAAGTGCTGGGATTACAGACGTGAGCTGCTGTGCCTGGCCAAGACTTAATTTTGAATGACATTGGGACTATTGCCAAAAATCAAATCCATCTTCATGTTGTCCACTTCTCAGCCTTAGTAAGTAAAATACCAGGAACACTATATACCTTTTCCTCAGTGAATCCCAGTCCCCATTACAAATAGCAGTTCTGGCCCTGTGCCTGGAGTGCTTGTGTTGTGTTGCTAGGGCTCTGCAGTTAGCTTCTCCTGAGTTCTGCTGCCTGGCCTTCTGGTGTGCTCATGCTCTTTTTCCTTTGTGTTGTTGCTACTTCCAGGTAGTAGGTCTGCATCTCTCTTCCCTCTCCTCTGGCAAACCTGATGTTCACAGGCACTGCCATTCAGCTTCTCTAGGGCCACAGTAAATATTACCAAGGTGAGTCAGGAAGTAGCACAGAACTGTGTCACCTATATTGAAACCTTAGAAATGTAAATGCTGACCCTCTTCTATAGAACTGAGTGCTATAATTTACTGTCCTCTACCTTTCTTGGTTTCGATGTCCTTCCTGAGGTTTTTATCATATTCAGAGTTGTGCAGCCATCCCCACTATCTAATTTCAGAACAATTTTCATTGCCTGGTGACTCATTAGCAGCCACTCCCCCTTCTCCCCTACTCTCAGTCCCTGGCAACCACTAATCTACTATCTGCCTCTATGGATTTGCCTTTTCTGGATATTTCATATAAATGGGAATCATACAGTATGTGACATTTGTGTCTGACTTCTTTCACTTAGCATCAGGATCATCCATGTTGCAGCATGCATCAGAACTTCATTCCTTTTCATGGCTGAAGAATTCATCGTATGGATATATCATATTTTACTTACCCATTCACCAGCTGATAGATGTTTGGGTTGTTTCCACCTTTTGGCCATTATTTGAATAATGCTGCTGTGAACATTTGTGTACATATTTTGGGGTGGACATGTTTTTATTTATACTGTGTATATACTTAGGAATTAAATTGCTGGTGTTTTGTTTTTTTTGTTTTGTTTTGTTTTTGGTTTTTTTTTTTTGAGACACAGTTTAGCTCTTGTTGCCCAGGCTGGAGTACAATGGCATGATCTTGGCTCACTGCAACCTCCGCCTCCCAGGTTCAAGCAATTCTCCTGCCTCAGCCTCCTGAGTAGCTGGGATTACAGTCATGCACCAACATGCCTGGCTAATTTAGCATTTTTAGTAGAGATGGGGTTTCTCCATGTTGGTCAGGCTGATCTTGAACTCCTGACCTCTGGTGATCCGCCCGCCTTGGCCTCCCAAAGTGCTAGGATTACAGGTGTGAGCCACTGCGCCCGGCCAAATTGCTGGATCTTATGGCAACTCTATATTTAACATTTTGTTTGCCAAACAGTTTTCCAAAGTGGCTATACCATTTTACATTTTCATCAGCAATACGTGAGGGCTCCAGTTTCTCTGCATCCTCATCTATACTTGTTATCTGTCGCTGTAATTACAGCCATCTTGGTGGGTGTGAAGTGGTATCTCATTGTGGTTTTGATTTGTGTTTTCCTAATAACTAATGATGTTGAGCAGTTTTTTATGTGCTTTACTGGCCATTTGTATATCTTCTTTGGAGAAGTGTCTATTCAAATCCTTTACCCGTTTAAAAATTATCTTTCTATGGTTGAGTTGTAAGTTATTTATATAATCTGGATATACTTTACCAGATAGATGATTTGCAAACCTTTTCTTTCTGTGGATTGTCTATCTTTTCACTTTCTTGATGGTGACCTTTGAAGAATGCAAGTTTTTAATTTTGATGACATCCAATTTATCTGTTTTTTCTTTTGTCGTTTGTGCTTTCAGATATTCTACTTGATGTCTTCCATAACTTGTCTGAAAATCTGATTTGCTCACTGGGTCCATAACTGTATTATTTTTAGTTTCCCTGATTTGGGATCATAAAGCACTTGATTTAAAATGTTTGCCAATGATATATACAAAGGAGCTTAGAAATGTTGATGCTCTTTGAGATGGTAAGCCCATTCCTGTGCACTTAACCTCAGGAAATAATTTGATAGAAGAAAAACATCCTGTATGCCCAGAGATGTTTGTTTCACTGTCACCCATGAGATTGGCATGCTTTTCAACAGCAGGGGTGGATAAGTCAAATTCATTGTGGTACATTATTAGGTAGCTATTAAATGTTAAACTTATGAAGCTTGTGTAACAAAAAGGTTTATAACGTAATGTTTGGTGAAAAAAGCACAAATGTGTGCTCATTGTGATAAAAATATGAATAAAATATCTGGACTAAATGAGAAGGTATACCAAATTATAGACATTAAATTTATTTAAATTACATTTTATCTTTATAATTAAAAATTAAGTAAAAAAGTGTGCATGCCAGTTCAAATTGGTGGGGGAAGGGGTGAGAAGTTGTTAGAGTGGGTTTATGTTTACCCTCACCTTCAAAGTTTTAAAAATTATTTTCATCATAAAATAGCCGTGTTTATTTACTGAGAATTTGAATAGAGATATTTTAATTTTCTTTACATCTTTGTATCAAATCCAAATACTGATAACTTGATTTTAGTATTAGAATTACTATTGTTTTAGTCATTAGAGCATTATGATTTGCTAAAACGAAAAGTAATAATGATGATTATCATTCTATATTAGTAATAGGGCTCACAGAATCCCTTTTCTCATGGCATCCTGTGAAACAATTATTATTATTATTTCTTTTTGAGTTATCAACTGTTTAATTTCGGTCTTTTATATATAAAACCATTGGTTTTGTTTTCAGGTTAGTTTTCTGCCTTAGCTGTTTTCTTTCTTAGCATTTTAAAAGTGTGAAGTCAATCTATTTTATTAAAAGTTCAATACATCTAAATTCACAGGTAAGGGATGTTATGTAATGTCTGGATAGTGTAATGATTATTTGTTTCTGGTTTCCTCTTCTTTCTTCTTTCCTTTCTTTTAAAAAAATACTTAAAAGCATATGTGAAGATTACTTATAATTCTTTTTTAAATTATACTTTAAGTTTTAGGGTACATGTGCACAACATGCAGGTTTGTTACATAGGTATACATGTGCCATGTTGGTGTGCTGCACTCGTTAACTTGTCATTTACATTAGGTATATCTCCTAATGCTGTCCCTCTCCCCACCCCACGACAGGCCGTGGTGTGTGATGTTCCCCACCCTGTGTCCAAGTATTCTCATTGTTCAGTTCCCACCTATGAGTGAGAACATGTGGTGTTTGGTTTTCTGTCCTTGTGATAGTTTGCTCAGAATGATGGTTTCTAGCTTCATCCATGTCCCTACAAAGGACATGAACTCATCATTTTTTATGGCTGCATAGTATTCCATGGTGTATATGTGCCACATTTTCTTAATCCAGTCTATCATTGATGGACATTTGGGTTGGTTCCAAGTCTTTGCTATTGTGAATAGTGCCGCAATAAACATACGTGTGCATGTGTCTTTATAGCAGCATGATTTATAATCCTTTGGGTATATGCCCAGTAATGGGATGGCTGGGTCAAATGGTATTTCTAGTTCTAGATCCTTGACGAATGGCCACACTGTCTTCCACAATGGTTGAACTAGTTTACAGTCCCACCAACAGTGTAAAAGTGTTCCTATTTCTCCACATCCTCTCCAGCACCTGTTGTTTCCTGACATTTTAATGGTCGCCATTCTAACTGGTGTGAGATGGTATCTCATTGTGATTTTGATTTGCATTTCTCTGATGGCCAGTGATGATGAGCATTTTTTCATGTGTCTTTTGGCTGCATAAATGTCTTCTTTTGAGAAGTGTCTGTTCATATCCTTTGTGCACTTGTTGATGGGGTTCTTTGATGTTTTTCTTGTAAATTTGTTTAAGTGCTTTGTAGATTCTGGATATTAGCCCTTTGTCAGATGGGTAGATTGCAAAAATTTTCTCCCATTCTGTAGGTTGCCTGTTCACTCTGATGGTGGTTTCTTTCGCTTTGCAGAAGCTCTTTAGTTTAATTAGATCCCATTTGTCAATTTTGTCTTTTGTTGCCATTGCTTTTGGTGTTTTAGACATGAAGTCCTTGCCCATGCCTATGTCCTGAATGGTATTGCCTAGGTTTTCTCCTAGGGTTTTTATGGTTTTAGGTCTAACATTTAAGTCTTTAATCCATCTCGAATTAATTTTTGTATAAGGTGTAAGGAAGGGATCCAGTTTCAGCTTTCTGCATATGGCTAGCCAGTTTTCCCAGCACCATTTATTAAATAGGGAATCCTTTCCCCATTTCTTGTTTTTGTCAAGTTTGTCAAAGATCACATGGTTGTAGATGTGTGGTATTATTTCCGAGGGCTCTGTTCTGTTCCATTGGTCTACATCTCTGTTTTGGTACCAGTACCATGCTGTTTTGGTTACTGTAGCCTTGTAGTATAGTATAGTTTGAAGTCAAGTAGCATGATGCCTCCAAGTTTGTTCTTTTGACTTAGGATAGTCTTGGCAATGTGGGCTCTTTTTTTGTTCCATATGACCTTTAAAGTAGTTTTTTCCAATTCTGTGAAGAAAGTCATTGGTAGCTTGATGGGGATGGCATTGAATCTATAAATTACCTTGGGCAGTATGGCCATTTTCACAATATTGATTCTTCCTATCCATGAGCATGGAATGTTCTTCCATTTGTTTGTGTCCTCTTATTTCGTTGAGCACTGGTTTGTAGTTCTCCTTGAAGAGGTCCTTCACATCCCTTGTAAGTTGGATTCCTAGGTATTTTATTCTCTTTGAAGCAATCGTGAATGGGAGTTCACTCATGATTTGGCTCTCTGTTTGTCTGTTATTGGTGTATTGGAATGCTTGTGATTTTTGCACATTGATTTTGTATCCTGAGACTTTGCTGAAGTTGCTTATCAGCTTAAGGAGATTTTAGGCTGAGACGATGGGGTTTTCTAAATATACAATCATGTCATCTGCAAACAGGGACAATTTGACTTGCTCTTTTCCTAATCGAATAACCTTTATTTCTTTCTCCTGCCTGATTGCCCTGGCCAGAACTTCCAACACTATGTTAATAGGAGTGGTGAGAGAGGGCATCCCTGTCTTGTGCCAGTTTTCAAAGGGAATGCTTCCAGTTTTTGCCCATTCAGTATGATATTGGCTGTGGGTTTGTCATAAATAGCTCTTATTATTTTGAGATACGTCCCATCAATACCTAATTTATTGAGAGTTTTTAGCATGAAGGGCTGTTGAATTTTGTCAAAGGCCTTTTCTGCATCTATTGAGATAATCATGTGGTTTTTGTCTTTGGTTCTGTTTATATGATGGATTACATTTATTGATTTGCATATGTTGAACCAGCCTTGCATCCCAGGTATGAAGCCAACTTGGTCGTGGTAGATAAGCTTTTTGATGTGCTGCTGGATTCGATTTGCCAGTATTTTATTGAGGATTTTTGCATCGATGTTCATCAGGGATATTGGTCTAAAATTCTCTTTTTTTGTTGTGTCTCTGCCAGGCTTTGGTATCAGGACGATGTTGGCCTCATAAAATGAATTAGGGAGGATTCCCTCTTTTTCTGTGGATTGGAATAGTTTCAGAAGGAATAGTACCAGCTCCTCTTTGTACCTGTGGTAGATTCAGCTGTGGATCTGTCTGGTCCTGGACTTCTTTTGGTTGGTAGGCTATTGATTATTGCCTTAATTTCAGAACCTGTTATTGGTGTATTCAGGGATTCAACTTCTTCCTGGTTTAGTCTTGGGAGGGTGTATGTGTCCAGGAATTTATCCATTTCTTCTAGATTTTCTAGTTTATTTGCGTAGAGGTATTTATAGTATTCTCTAATGGTAGTTTGTATTTCTATGGGATCGGTGGTGATATCCCCTTTATTGTTTGTTATTGTGTCTATTTGATTCTTCTCTCTTTTCTTCTTTATTAGTCTTGCTAGCTGTCTATCAATTTTGATGTTTTCAAAAAACCAGCTCCTGGATTCATTGATTTTTTGAAGGGTTTTTTGTGTCTCTATCTCCTTCAGTTCTGCTCTGATCTTAGTTATTTCTTGCCTTCTGCTAGCTTTTGAATGTGTTTGTTCTTGCTTCTCTAGTTCTTTTAATTGTGATGTTAGGGTGTCAATTTTAGATATTTCCTGCTTTCTCTTGTGGGCATTTAGTGCTATAAATTTCCCTCTACACACTGCTTTAAATGTGTCCCAGAGATTCTGGTATGTTGTGTCTTTGTTCTCATTGGTTTCAAAGAACATCTTTCTTTGTGCCTTCATTTCGTTATGTACCCAGTAGTCATTCAGGAGCAGGATGTTCAGTTTCCATGTAGTTGAGCGGTTTTGAGTGAGTTTCTTAATCCTGAGTTCTAGTTTGATTGCACTGTGGTCTGAGAGACAGTTTATTATAATTTCTGTTCTTTTACATTTGCTGAGGAGTGCTTTACTTCCAACTATGTGGTCAATTTTGGAGTAAGTGTGCTGTGGTGCTGAGACAAATGTATATTCTGTTCATTTGGGGTGGAGAGTTCTGTAGATGTCAGTTAGGTCTGCTTGGTGCATTTAGCCCATTTACATTTAAGGTTAATATTGTTATGTGTGAATTTGATCCTGTCATTATGATGTTAGCTGGTTATTTTGCTCGTTAGTTGATGCAGTTTCTTTCTAGCATTGATGGTCTTTACAATTTGGCATGTTTTTTGCAGTGGCTGGTACCAGTTGTTCCTTTCCATGTTTAGTGCTTCCTTCAGGAGCTCTTGTAAGGCAGGCCTGGTGGTGACAAAATCTCTCAGCATTTGTTTGTCTGTAAAGGATTTTATTTCTCCTTCACTTATGAAGCTTAGTTTGGCTGGATATGAAATTCTGGATTGAAAGTTCTTTTCTTTAAGAATGTTGAATATCGGCCCCCACTTCTCTTCTGGCTTGTAGAGTTTCTGCCGAGAGATCCGCTGTTATTCTGATGGGCTTCCCTTTGTGGGTAACCCGACCTTTCTCTCTGGCTGCCCTTAACATTTTTTCCTTCATTTCAACTTTGGTGAATCTGACAATTAATGTGTTTTGGAGTTGCTCTTCTCGAGGAGTATCTTTATGTTGTTCTCTGTATTTCTGAATTTTAATGTTGGCCTGCCTTGCTAGGTTGGGGAAGTTCTCCTGGATAATATCCTGAAGAGTGTTTTCCAACTTGGTTCCATTCTCCCTGTCATTTTCAGGTACACCAATCAGACGTAGATTTGTTCTTTTCACATAGTCCCATATTTCTTGGAGGCTTTGTTCGTTTCTTTTTTCTCTTTTCTCTCTAAACTTCTCGCTTCATTTCATTAATTTGATCTTCAATCACTGATACTCTTTCTTCCACTTGATCAAATCGGCTACTGAAGCTTGTGCATGCGTCATGTAGTTCTCATGCCATGGTTTTCAGCTCTATCAGGTCATTTAAGGTCTTCTCTACACTGTTCATTCTAGTTAGCTATTCATCTAATCTTTTTTCAAGGTTTTTAGCTTCTTTGTGATGGCTTCGAGCATCCTCCTTTAGCTCAGAGAAGTTTGTTATTACTGATCGTCTGAAGCCCTCTTCTCTCAACTCATCAAAGCCATTCTCCATCCAGCTTTATTCCATTGCAGGTGAGGAGCTGCGTTCCTTTGGAGGAGAAGAGGCACTCTGATTTTTAGAATTTTCAGCTTTTCTGCTCTGGTTTCTCCCCATCTTTGTGGTTTTATCTACCTTTGGTCTTTGATGATGGTGGCGTCCAGATGGGGTTTTGGTGTGGATGTCCTTTCTGTTTGTTAGTTTTCCTTCTAACAGTCAGGACCCTCAGATGCAGGTCTGTTGGAGTTTTCTGGAGGTCCACTCCAGACCCTGTTTGCCTGGGTATCACCAATGGAGGCTGCAGAACAGCAAATACTGCAGAACGGCAGATGTTGCTGTCTGATCCTCCCTCTGGAAGCTTCATCTCAGAGGGGCACCCAGCTGTATGAGGTGTCAGTCGGCCCCTACTGGGAGGTGCCTCCCAGTTAGGCTACTCAGGGGTCAGGGACCCACTTGGGGAGGCAGTCCAACTGTTCTCAGATCTCAAGGTGAGACCACCCTTTGAGTGGTCGTACACAGAAAATGTATAGCTTGCTGGGCCACAAACTGGTTCTGTGGATTCCCTGACCCTCTGACCTTTGGTTTCATCTCAGTAACAGTGGTCCGGGATACATAACAGCCAGTAACTGTAAGGTGATCGCTTTTCTGTGGCCTGGAATAAGTGCGGCAGGCAAGGAAAGGCTACAGAGGCCTGGCTCTTACAGCAGCCGGTCTTCCTAGCCACCCCCGCCCACCCCACCCCTTCCGTTCACACACTGCAGCTAACTTGGTCCCTGGGCCTGGCTTGGGACAGACAGAGGCGTCATCTTGTTCTCATATGCGGGAAGGCTATGAAAAGAAAACCGCGTGTTGGTCCAAAATGTAAACAAGAATTACACTAGGATCTTTTGTTCTCACTCTGACATGGTCAGAATTAATTTGGAGGTCCAAAAAGAGGGCGTTTTGTTTTTTAATCTGAATTACTTAATGCAGGGATATGTAGGGGGTGGTGGGGAAGAAACAAAAATACGTTGCTTAAGTCTATCAGTTGGTATTGGACCATCCCCAGGTCATTCTTCAGGGTCCAGTTTTTGTCATTAGGGGGTTCCTAACTTAGACTTCATATCCAAGTTGCTGATTAAACTTACTGTGAAAAGACCTAGATGGTAGAAGGCAAGCAGTGGAATGTGTCTGGGTATCCGAGAAATATACAGAAAGCACTTAAGAGAACTTAATCATTTTTTTCTCCCTTTCCTTAGATTGAATAGGGAAAACCTGCTTTCTGCAAACAACTGAAAAAGCTGCATTTAGAAACTGTTTCTTTGGCCCTCATCGAGAAGCTGGAACTTGTATTGTTAGGCCCCTTATGGGACAAGCTCTCAACTGCTGATCACCCAGTGATTGTCACCATGGCCAGCAAGAGGAAATCCACCACACCATGCATGATCCCAGTGAAGACTGTGGTGTTGCAAGATGCCAGCATGGAGGCCCAGCCCGCTGAGACCTTGCCTGAAGGACCCCAGCAGGATCTGCCCCCAGAAGCATCTGCTGCCAGCAGTGAGGCAGCACAGAACCCCAGCAGTACTGATGGCTCTACACTGGCCAATGGGCATCGGAGCACTTTAGATGGCTATTTATATTCCTGTAAATACTGCGATTTCAGATCCCATGACATGACCCAATTTGTGGGACATATGAACTCAGAGCACACAGACTTTAATAAAGACCCAACCTTTGTATGCAGTGGGTGCAGTTTTCTGGCAAAAACCCCTGAGGGGCTTTCCTTGCACAATGCCACATGTCACTCCGGGGAAGCCAGCTTTGTGTGGAACGTGGCCAAGCCAGACAATCATGTGGTTGTGGAGCAGAGCATCCCTGAGAGCACCAGCACTCCTGACCTAGCGGGTGAGCCCAGTGCTGAAGGGGCTGATGGACAGGCAGAAATCATCATTACCAAAACTCCAATCATGAAGATAATGAAAGGCAAAGCTGAAGCCAAAAAAATTCATACACTCAAGGAGAATGTCCCTAGCCAGCCTGTGGGTGAGGCCTTACCAAAGCTGTCGACTGGAGAAATGGAGGTGAGAGAGGGGGACCATTCCTTCATCAATGGGGCAGTTCCAGTCAGCCAGGCATCTGCCAGCTCTGCAAAAAACCCCCATGCCGCCAACGGGCCCCTGATAGGAACAGTGCCAGTTTTGCCAGCTGGCATAGCACAGTTCCTCTCCCTCCAGCAGCAGCCCCCAGTGCATGCCCAACACCATGTCCACCAGCCACTGCCCACGGCCAAGGCCCTTCCCAAAGTGATGATCCCCCTGAGCAGCATTCCAACGTACAATGCAGCCATGGACTCTAACAGCTTCCTGAAGAACTCCTTCCACAAGTTCCCCTACCCCACCAAAGCCGAGCTCTGCTATTTGACTGTGGTGACCAAGTATCCAGAAGAACAGCTCAAGATCTGGTTCACAGCCCAAAGGCTGAAGCAGGGGATCAGCTGGTCCCCTGAGGAGATTGAGGATGCCCGGAAAAAGATGTTCAATACAGTCATCCAGTCTGTGCCTCAGCCCACAATTACGGTTCTAAATACCCCACTCGTCGCCAGTGCTGGCAATGTCCAGCATCTCATCCAGGCCGCTCTTCCAGGTCACGTTGTGGGGCAGCCAGAGGGTACAGGAGGGGGACTTCTGGTCACTCAGCCATTGATGGCCAATGGGTTGCAAGCAACAAGTTCCCCTCTCCCCCTCACGGTGACATCCGTCCCCAAGCAGCCAGGTGTGGCACCCATTAACACTGTGTGTTCAAATACAACGTCAGCTGTGAAGGTGGTCAATGCGGCCCAGTCGCTCCTCACGGCCTGCCCCAGCATAACCTCCCAAGCCTTCCTTGATGCTAGCATCTACAAAAATAAGAAATCTCATGAACAGCTGTCAGCTCTGAAAGGGAGCTTCTGTCGGAACCAGTTCCCAGGGCAGAGCGAAGTTGAACATCTCACAAAAGTGACGGGCCTCAGTACCAGAGAGGTGCGGAAATGGTTCAGTGATCGTAGATACCACTGCCGGAACTTGAAGGGCTCCAGAGCGATGATACCTGGAGATCACAGTTCCATCATCATTGACTCTGTGCCAGAGGTGTCCTTCTCCCCATCGTCCAAGGTCCCTGAGGTAACCTGCATTCCGACAACAGCCACACTAGCAACCCACCCTTCTGCCAAACGACAATCTTGGCACCAGACTCCTGACTTCACACCAACCAAATACAAGGAGAGAGCCCCTGAGCAGCTCAGAGCCCTGGAGAGCAGTTTTGCACAAAACCCTCTTCCTCTTGATGAGGAACTGGACCGCCTGAGAAGTGAAACCAAAATGACCCGACGAGAAATTGATAGCTGGTTTTCAGAGAGACGGAAAAAAGTGAATGCTGAGGAGACCAAGAAGGCTGAGGAGAATGCCTCTCAGGAGGAAGAGGAGGCTGCTGAGGATGAGGGTGGAGAAGAGGATTTGGCCAGTGAGCTAAGGGTCTCTGGTGAAAATGGCTCTCTGGAAATGCCCAGCAGCCATATCTTGGCAGAGCGCAAAGTCAGCCCCATTAAAATCAACCTGAAGAACCTGAGGGTCACTGAAGCCAATGGCAGGAACGAGATTCCAGGGCTGGGTGCCTGTGACCCTGAGGATGATGAGTCAAACAAACTGGCAGAGCAGCTCCCAGGCAAAGTGAGCTGCAAAAAGACTGCCCAGCAGCGGCACTTGCTGCGGCAGCTCTTTGTCCAGACACAGTGGCCAAGCAACCAGGACTATGACTCCATCATGGCCCAGACGGGTCTGCCACGGCCAGAGGTGGTGCGCTGGTTTGGAGATAGCAGGTACGCACTGAAGAACGGCCAACTCAAATGGTACGAAGACTATAAGCGAGGCAACTTCCCACCAGGGCTACTGGTCATTGCCCCTGGCAACCGGGAGCTCCTGCAGGACTATTACATGACACACAAGATGCTGTATGAAGAGGACCTGCAGAACCTCTGTGACAAGACCCAGATGAGCTCCCAGCAGGTCAAGCAGTGGTTTGCTGAGAAAATGGGGGAGGAGACCAGAGCCGTGGCAGACACAGGCAGTGAGGACCAGGGCCCTGGTACTGGTGAGCTCACAGCAGTTCACAAAGGGATGGGTGACACCTATTCAGAGGTGTCTGAGAACAGTGAGTCGTGGGAGCCCCGTGTCCCTGAGGCCAGCTCAGAGCCCTTTGACACATCGAGTCCCCAGGCTGGACGTCAGCTCGGTAAGGAGTCCACAGGGGCCATGGCTATCCTGTGTGGGTAAGGGGAGGAGGCACTTATGGTTGGGCACTGAATTTACTGCACAGGGGCATCTGCTGTCTCTAAGGCTGCCTGGCAGCAGCATTAACCGCCTGGCTGCTTCAGAGGACAACTAGCAGCAGAAGCCATAGGAATATAATATGATAAACGGTTGAGAGCTGTTTTTTGTTTCATGTGTTTTTAAAAACCTGCGCAGGGGAAGGAACATGGTGACCCTAAAGGGGTCCAAGCTTTTCTAGCCATTTCTTAGCAATAGGAGAACAGGTCAAAACATCCTCTGAGTCGGGCAGATCCACAGCCACTGGGTAGGAGACAGCAACAGGACATGAGTTGAAATTCAGCTCAAATTGATGAAAAGGAAAGAGAGCCTTTAATTGTCCTTAGATACATAATGTGCTTTTTTCTGATGATGAAAGTCTTGTGTTTCTCTGGTTATGCCTGATGTAGAAGAAATGTTTAGTATAATGGAAAATCACCTTCCTTCTTTGACATACATGGAATCAAAAGCTTGAATTTTGTTCCTCAGTTTCTCTGGATTGTACTCGAAAGCAAAATGTATCATAGAAGATTATTTTTATTTAAGACATAGTTTTGAAGCCACAGACAAGTCATGTTATTACGTGTTGATTTTCTAGGTTCCTGGTCACTGAGTTCCCAGCCTCTCCCTTCCCTCCTTACCCTTTGACATTTGTGTTCTCATTAGAGACCCCATCAGAGGGCAGCCAGAAGCTCAGGTGAGAGCCAGGAGGGCGGAGTATTGTAGAAGCTGAAGGGATTGGGGGTTCCAAAATGGCAGCATTGCTAGCTGAGTTGGCAATGTGGGAGGGGGTACAGGAGACACTATTTGTGGTGTTGGGCAATGTGATGGTTCCGTGGTGACTTTGGCATGAGCTGCCTCAGTGTGGGGCCTTGTGTTTGGTACCTCATCCCCAGGGCCAACCATAGTGGCCTATCCCTCAGAAATCCCACAGAATTTCCTGGATGGTGTTGCATTGTTTCCATACAATAGCCAACCATTGTTGTTTGTTTATTTTGGCCTGGCAAATCCCAGCTCCTCCACCCCAGTTGCTTTCTACTTAGGATGTCTTAAAAAGGACAAAATTCTTTTTCTTTCTCTGAATATTTTAAATTCATTTGAACACAACAGTTTGAAACATAGTTATGCTATTGTTTCTTTACTGAATTAAGGAAAAAGAGACTTCCTTTTTGGCCCATAATTTGGTGGGTTGGGGGCGGGGAGTACCATGTCATCCATCTGTTTAGCATTTGCAGAAAGCCTGTTCTTCTCATATTAACATACTAAGGCAAAATCCAGTTCCACAAAGCCCACAGTGAGAGCAAACACCTGGTGGAGCCCAAAGCCCTGGTCAGCACTTAGGGTAGGAGTACAAGGGCCACTGGCTCCCTTACAGCCTCCTCCAACTCCAGCCATGTTTTCAATACGGCAACAACAAAACACTCCCCTCCTTTGGGGCCCACAGCTCACAGCCTGCTTTATAAAGTAGCTGATGGCACACCCTGGAGTCAGAACAACAGGTTTTTATGGCTAGTTTAACTTTTTTATAATGCAGAGCAGGTAGTCTCTCCTACAAGTCTTTGTCCAAGTTTGTAAGTTGGTCCTTATATTATACCCAGCTCTGTGCTTCTTGTAATATACCAGTAGGCCAGGGTGTCATGCTCAAGAGAGATGAGGATGTTTGAACAAGTTGATTACGAAAGCTGACATGGAGAATGATGTTATGGAAGATGGCAGTAGCAGCACCAGGAATCTTTTCCTCCACCAAAGCAGTTGAGCTGGCAGTAATTGTCTCAAGCAACTGTTTTGGGACTCAGAAGTCTAGTTGAACACTTGCAACATCCAGGGAAGAGCTTGATGGAGAGGCTTACAAATTTTGATGGTTTTTTTTTGTTTCAGCATCCGCAAGCTCTGCAGCAGGCAACTGTGGAAAATGTTCCTGGTGCAGACTGTTGGTGCCAGGGTAGGCAATAACAACTTTGTCCTCCAAAAGTCAAGTTTTTGTGGCCAGGTGTGGTGGCTCACACCTGTAATCCCAGCACTTTGGGAGGCTGAGGTGTGGATCACTTGAGGTCAGGAGTTTGAGGCCAGCCTGGCCAACATGGTAAAACCCTGTCTCTATTAAAAATACAAAAATTAGCCAGGCATGTTGGTGAGTGCCTGTAATCCCAGCTATTTGGGAGGCTGAGGCAGGAGAATCACTTGAACCTGGGAGGCAGAAGTTGCAGTGAGCCAAGATGACACCACTGCGTTCCAGCCTGGGCAACAGAGTGAGGCTCCATTGCAAAAAAAAAAAAAAAAGAGTTTTTTGATTTCTGATTACTGCATTTAATCACTGAGGGGGCCAGTGCAGAGGCTGATCATTGTCTCAATGCCCTTGGGCAGAGGGAGCTTTCTAGCCACAAGGGGATTTAAAGAGACAGTACCTATTTTTTTTTTTCTTTATTCCTCCTTTTGGCAAGCCAGATATTTAAGGAAATCTTAGGTCACTGGTTAACCACAGAGATATCACAACAGAAACTTCACTGACCCCATACTGCAAAGAATACACACTTCACAAAAATAGTTGGAAAAGTCACAAATAGTTGGCTCCAGCCCTCAATAAGCAAAAATCAGCAATCTCTGAGGCATGACAGAATTAGATTCTCAGTTACCACAATGTAATACTCATAATGTCCAGTTCTCAACAAAAAATTACAAAACATAAAAAGAAATAGAAAACCATGGTCCATTCACAGGAAAAAAAATTGACAGGCACCATCCTTGAGGAAGTCCAGACATTGGAATTATTACCCAAAGACATTAAATCAACTATCTTAAGTATGTTCAGCGAGCTAAAGGAAAACATGGACGAAGAACTAAAGGAAATCAGGAAAACCATGCATGAACAAAATGAGAATATCAATAAAGAGATAGAAATTATAAAAAGGAACCAAACAAATTCTAGAGCTAAAAAGTATAATCCCTGAAATGGAAAACCCACTAGAGGGATTCAACAAAGATTTGGGCATGCAAAAGAAGAGAACAGTGAATTTGAAGAGAAAATAATTGAAATTATCCAAAGGAGAAGAAAGAAAAAAAATATTTAGGAAAAAAAACCTGAGAGAGCTGTGAGACATCATCAAGCATACTAATGTACTCATATATTCATATAGTTATTATATTCATTAGTATATTCATACTCATATACTCATATAGGAATCGCAGAAAAAGAAAAGGGACAGAAAGAATATTTAAAGAAATAATGATAGAAAATTTCCCAAATCTGATGAAAGACATGAATCTACACATCCAAAAAGCTCAATAAAATCCAAGCAGGATGAACTCAGATCCACACCAAGACATGTTATATTAGGATTGTCAAAACCTGAAGACAGGATTTTGAAAGCAGCAAGAGAGAAGCAACTCGTCACACAGAATTTTTGACAAGATTAACAGCCGATTCCTCATCAAAAATCTTGGAAGCCCAAAGGCAGTGAGATGACATATCTAAAGTCGTGAAAAAAAGAAAAAAAAAAAACCTCTAAACCAAGATTTCTGTATATGGCAAAACTATTCTTCAAAAATGAAAGAGAAATCCAGACATTTCCAAATAAAATTGAAGGAGATCATTATTAGTAGACATGCCCTACCAGAAATGCTAAAGGGAGTCCTTCATGCTGAAATGAAAGGATACTGAACAGAAACTTGAAGCCATAAGAAAAAATAGGCCAGGTGCCGTGGCTCACACCTGTAATCCCAGCACTTTGGGAGGCCGAGGCGGGTGGATCACGAGGTCAGGAGTTTGAGACCAGCCTGGCCAACATGGTGAAAACCCATCTCTACAAAAAATACAAAACTTAGCTGGGCCTGGTGGTGCTAATCCCAGCTACTTGGGAGGCTGAGGCAGGAGAATCGCTTGAACCTGGGAGGCAGAGCTTGCAGTGAGCCGAGATCGCACCACTGTACTCCAGCCTGGGTGGGGCAGAGCAAGACTCCATCACAAAAAAAAAAAAAAAAAAAAAGAGCACTAGTTAAGATAACTTTAGAGGTAAATATAAGAGCCAGTACTATTGTACTTTTGGTTTATAACTTTTTCTCTTTGTGCTTTATAATTTAAAAGACAAATTCATTAAAAAATTATAAATCTATATTAATGGGCATAGAATGTAAGATGTAATCTGTCTAAATAGTAAAACTAACAAATTAGTGCATTGTAAAAACAGAATCAAAACAGTACATTGTGAACAATCAAATAAATACAAAAGGAGGTAGTAATGGAATTGAGGAATCAAAAACATATAAGACATATTAAAAACAAATAGCCAAATGGCAGAAGTAAATCCTTGATCTGTAATCACATTAAATGTAAAGGGATTAAGCTCTTCTATTAAAAACAAAGATTGGCAGATTGGAGTTAAACAAATAGTGTTTATATGCTGTCTTAAGAGACTCATGTTAGATATAAGGACACAAGGAGGTTGAAAGTAAAAGGATAGAAAAAGATACACCTAGAAAATAGTAACCATATGACAGCTGAGGTGGCTATATTATCACCAGACAAAATAATCTGTTTTTTCTGGAGAAAAAAAATATATATATTTTAAATATATACAATTATATATAAAATATATTTAAAATATATACAATTATATATAAAATATATATTTTAAATATATACAATTATATATAAAATATATATGTATTTTAAATATATACAATTATATATAAAATATATATGTATTTTAAATATATACAATTATATATAAAATATATATGTATTTTAAATATATACAATTATATATAAAATATATGTATAACATGTTATATATATATAATTTAGAATTAGCCAGCAAGACTCAGCCAAGATGATCCCAGTTTTGTTGGCAACCTCAGAAGCATTGTAATCAGGAGCCAGTTGAACATACGCCTTCTTCTCTCCATCAGCCCTGATCAATGTGTTGACTTTGACCACATCAGTGTCATAGAGCTGCTTCACAGCCTGACCTGGTACTTTTTGGCTTTTAACATCCACAGTGAACACAGGTGTATTGTTGTCTTCTATCTAATTCACATCAGACTCAGTGGTCACTGGTTATTGGGAACTTGATGATGGCATAGTGGTCAAGCTTATTTCTCCTGGTAGTGCTCTTCTGAGGATATTGAGGCTGTCTTCAGAGTCATAATGTCTTGGGCCACAGGAAGGTGGGTGATGTGTGAATCTTTTTTTTTTTTTTCTTGGTGGCTGTGTGGATGCCTTTCAGCACTGCCTTCTTGGCCTTCAAAGCCTTCACTTTGGGATCAGCTTTAGGAGAGTCAAGAGCTTCCTTCTTCACCTCCAGTGTCCTCTTTTGAAAAAGGCACACAAAATAAATGTTAAATCAAGAAAGGTTACAAGAGACAAGGATATTATATTGATAAAATATTTATATATATAAATATATATATTTTTATATATATTATATATAATATATATTATATATAATATTTATATAATATATAATATATAATATATATTTATAATATATAATATATATTTATAATATATAAATATATATTATATATAAATATATTATATATAATATATATATTTATATAAATATATATTATATATAATATATAATATATATAAATATATATTTATGTTATATAAATATATATATTTATAAGATATATATTTATATATGAAATAAAAATATATTTATTATAAATATATATTTATTTTTATATATTTATTTATATATATTATATATATATATACCCCTAACAGAGCTCCAAAACATATGAAACAGAAATGACAGAATTAAAGGGAGAAAGACAAAAATAGTTGGAGACTTTAATATTCCATGTCCGATAATGGATATAGAAACCAGACAGAAGATCAATCAGGAAATAGAGGATTTCAACAACACTCTAAGCAAATTAGACCAAATAGACATAAGCAGAATACCACCCAACAACAGCAGAATACACAGTCTTCTCAAATTCACATGGAATACTCTCCAGGATAAACCGTATGTTAAGCCATGAAACAAGTGTTAATACATTTTTAAAAACTGAGATTATACAGAGTACATTCCAGTTACAGTGGAATGAAACTAGACATTGAAAATAAAAAAGTGGAAATACACAAATAGGTGGAAATTAACACACTATTTAAAAACTAATGGGTCAAAGAAATCATAAGGGAAAGTAAAAAATACCTTGAGACAAATGAAAACACAGCATACCAGAACTTATGACACATAGTGAAAGCAATCCTAAGAGGTAAATCTGTAGCTGTAAATGCATACATTAAAAGAGAACTTACGCTGGGCGCAGTGGCTTATGCCTGTAATCCCCACACTTTGGGAGGCTAAGGTGGGTGGATCACCTGAGGTCAGGAGTTCGAGACCAGCCTGGCCAACATAGTGAAACCCTGTCTCTACTAAAAATACAAAAATTAGGTGGACATGGTGGCAGGCACCTGTAATCCCAGCTACTTGGGAGGCTGAGGCAGGAGAATAATTTGAACCCAGGAGGCAGAGGTTGCAGTGAACTGAGACCGCACCATTGCACTCCAGCCTGGGCAACAAGAGCGAAACTCCTTCTCAAAAAATAAAAAATCTCAGTCGAGCATGGTGGCTTGCATCTATAATCCCAGTGCTTTGGGAGGCCAAGGCAGGAGGATCACTTGAGGCCAGGAGTTTGAGACCTGCCTGGGTAACAAAGTGGGATCCTGTCTCTACAAAAAAGTAAAAAATAAGCCAGGTGTGGTGGCATGTTCCTGTAGTGCCAGCTACTCAGGTGTCTGGGGTGGGAGGATTGTTTACCAGGAGTTTGAGGTTATAGTGAGCTATACTTGCACCACTGCATTCCAGCCTGGGTGACAGCGTAAGACCCCATGTCTTAAAAAAACTTTTTTTAAGATCTCAAATCAGTAAACTAAATGTACACTTTAAAGAACTAGAAAAGAGCAAATGAAACCCAAAGTTACCAGAAGGAAGGAAATAAAGGTTAGAGCAGATATAGAGAATCAATGAAACCAAAAGTTGGTTCTTGAAAAAACAAAATTGACAAACCTTTAAATAAGAATGAAAGAGAAGACTTAAATTACTAACATCAGAAAGGAAAGAGGGGATGTTACATTTTCACATGAATATAAGATATTTTCACATGAATATGATATTATAAGAGACTACTATTAACAGTTATGTGCCAATAAATTGGGTAACCTAGATGAAATTCCTAGAAACCCGCACTCTCCCAAAATCAACTGACAAATAAATAAAAAACCAAAATATATCAATAACTGGTAAGAAGATTGTTATCAGAAACATTCCAACAGTGACAAGTCTAGGACCCCTGGTGAATTCTTCCAAATATTGAAAGAAGAATTAACACACCAGTTCTCCTCAAACTCCTCCAAAAAAATTGAAGAGGAGTAAACACTTCTTAACTCATGAGGTCACCATTACCCTGACACCAGAGCAAGACAAGGGCACTACAAGAAAAGAAATCTACAGACTAATATCTCTTATGAATATAGATACAAAAATCCCCAACAAAATAGCAAGCCAAATTCAGCAGCATACTAAAAGGATTATACCTCATGAGCAAGAGGGATCTATCCCTGCAATGCAAGGATTGCCTGGCACATGAATATCAATGTAATTCACCACATTACAAGAATAAAGAGAATAAAACACATCATCCTAATTCAAGCAGAAAGAGCATCTAACAAGTCAACTTGCTTTCATGACAATAAACACTCAGTAACTAGGAATATGACAATATGATGAAGACCATATATGAAAAGCCCACAATTAACATCATACTCAACAATGGGGAAAGACCGAAAACTTTTCCCCTGAGATCAGGAATAAAATAAAGATGCCCAGTTTTGCCACATCTATTCAAAACAGCATTGGAAGTTCTAGCCAGAGCAGTTAGGCAAAAAAAATAAATAAAAGGATCCAAGTTCGAAAGGAAGAAGTAAAATTATCTTTGTTCACAGATGACATGATCATATATGTAGAAACTTGAGGCCAGTTGTGGTAGCTCACGCCTGTAATCCCAGCACTTTGAGAGGCCAAGGCAGGTGGATCACAAGGTCAAGAGATCGAGACCACCCTGGCCAACATGATGAAACCCCGTCTCTACTAAAAATACAAAATTAGCTGGGCATGGTGGCATGTGCCTTTAGTCTCAGGGTTAGGGCTGAGGCAGGAGAATCACTTGAGCCTGGCAGGCAGAGCTTGCAGTGAGCCGAGATCATGCCACTGCACTCCAGCCTGGTGACAGAGCGAGACTCCTTCTCAAAAAAAAAAAACAAAAACAACAACAACAACAAAAAAAAAACTTGAATCCACACACACACAAAAATAGTTAAGAGCTAATAAATGAACTTGGCAAAGCTGCAGGATATAAAAACAAAAAAAATCATTTGTATTTAGCTGGGCACAGTGACATAACTGTAGTCCCACTACTTGGGAGGCTGAGGCAGGAATTCAAGGAGGCCAGCCTGGGCAACATAGTGAGACCCTATCTGTCTAAAAAAATTGGTCGTATTTTTATACACTTGCAATGAACAATCTGAAAAGAAAATTTTAAAAATGGTATCATTTACAAGGGCATCAAAAAGAAAAAGTGCTTAGGAATACATTTAACCAAGGAGGCCAAAGAAGTGTATCTTGAAAACAACAAAATGTTGCTGAAAAACATTAAAGATAACCTAAATAAATAGAAAGATATCCCATGTTCATGGATTGATATTAAGATGTAGACGTGACCCAAAGCAAACTACAGAGTCAATGTAAAATCTATCAAAAGCATAGTCGCATTTTTACAGAAATAAGAAAATCCAGGAAGACCCAACCAAAATGGCTGACTAGAGGCATTTTGTACTCGCCTCTTCCATTAAGAACAAAAATAGAGAGTAGATAATCACACTTTGAATAGATTATCCAAGACAGAACACTGGAATTCACGGAAAAGAGACAGGAAACAAAGTAAGGAAGGAAAAAGAAGCAAGGCAGCCTGTTCAGCTGGGATTGGCTGGGAACTGAGAGAGACCCCCCAGCATGGGGAAAAGGTAAGTGAGAGACCCTCAGTGGTCCACATTTCCACCATGAAAGGATTCTGCAGTTCTAGCCACGGGAGAGCTCCTCAGCCCTTGCAGTCCCTGAAACTTAACATAGGAGGTGCCAGGAGATTGTTCAATGGAACTGCTCCAGAACGGAGCTCGCACTGGGTCCCCCACACTTCCTGAGAACAAAACAGCTACAGCAAGATGCCATTTAAAGCCCACCCCCCAAAAGACTGTACACTGTCCTGGAGTCCCTGAGTGCCAGGGCTGAGGTGTAAGAGAACTGCAGACTGTTTTCCCCAGAGCTGAGGCATAAGTGACTGGGTTACTGCAGCTGGGGCTGAAGCACTACAAGGCATGTGCTCCTGTTGTTGTGGCTGAGGTACAACTATGGTGCCAGCTACCATAGCAGGGGCTGAGGCACAAGTGCCACTGGAGCTGAGTGAGGTGTGAGTGGCACATGCATTCCCCACTGGCCAGCAACCCTGTGCTCTCCAATGGAAGGTAGTAGTACAGCACTGCCACTCCCTATCCAAGCATTCTGAAGGTGGCCTAGGGATTGCCCTGCACCTGCCCACCTTGGTTGGCACCTGCACACATCATAGGGAGCCTGAAGATGAGACTGCCCAGCCTGGCTTTACACCACCACCTCCGTGGCCAGAGCACACAGTCTAGGGGCTGGGGGATTGTCCAGCCTAGTCCACCACCATTGGCACTTGAATACTCCTCTTGGGTACCTGAGGTTGGGGCTTACCCACTTGGCCACTACTACCTGTATGTACCACTTGTGGGCCTGCAGAATGGGCCGCCCAGCCTGTTGCAGCCACTGCCAACACAAGCACATATCACTTGGGACCCAGAGGGTCATTTCAACACTGTCACTGCCATCTCCCATGCCACGCCAGCTGCCCAGGGGCCTGAGAACCTGATCACATGCCTGGGAACTGCTGCCACTACTGACATCTGAGTAAGCCACCCGAAAGCCCAAGAATCAGCCTGCTTGAACCCACTAACACTGGTGCCATTGTATGCTCCTCTGAGGTCCAAAGACAGGCATGCTCTGTCCACTGCTGCTACCACTGGTGCCTGGAGAATGGCCCACCTGGCATTCCAGTCCTTAGCAAAATTTTACCATAGCTTCCACTAGTAACTACTCAGCCACTGAGGAAATCACAGATACCACTGATGCTATTTATAGCCAAAGAAATCATACAGAGACTACACTACTGCACATACCAAGAATCAAAGCCAAAGTGTCCTACCCAAACAACACCATAGATACGTCTAGGAAAAAGTCCTCCCTTACAAATGCAAATGCAAAAAATTAGAAGAAACAACTGTTACACCAGATGTGCAGATATCAACATAAGGACACAAACATGAAAAAGCAAGGAAATATGACACCTCAGAAGGAACACAATAAATTTCCTGCAATAGATTCCAATAAAAAATAAACTCACAAAATCCCAGAAAAAGAATTCAAATTATTGAGTGTAAGGAAGCTCAATGAGATGTAAGAGAATGTGAAAAAGAAAAACAATTTGGGAAATGAATGATAATTTTATCAAAGAGATATATGTCATAAAAAAGCAAATGCTGGAATAGAAGACTTCATGAAACAAAGTACAGAATACAATTGAAAGCTTCAACAATATATTAGATCAAGCAGAAAAAAAAGTCTTAGAGCTAGAACACAGGTCTTTTGACATAACTCAGAAATAAAAAAGAATAAAAAATGAGCAAAGCCTTTGTGACATATGGGACACAATAAAGCAACTACATATCTAAATTATTGGGATCCCAGAGGGTTAAGAGAAAATGAAAGAGTGAGAAAACCTATTTAATGAAATAATATTAATAGGTGAAAACTTCCCAAATCTCACAAGAGATTTAGACATCTAGATATAGGAGGCCCTGATAGCCTCTAAATGGATACAGTGCAAAAAGGTATTCTCTATGGCACATTATAGTCAGACTCTCTAAAGTCAGATAATTCTAAGGACAGCAAGAGAAATGTGTGTAAGCAACTATAAAGGAAGCCCCATCAGACTAACAGTGGATTTCAGCAGAAACCTTACAGATCAGGAGAAAATGAGATAATATGTTGACAGGGCTGAAGGGGAAAAAAAGTAAGCCAAGGATACTATGTCTAGCAAAATTATCCTTCATAAATGAAGGAGAAATAAAGTATTTCCAAGACAGGCAAAAGCTGAGAGAATTGATCACCACTAGACTGGCCCTACAAGAAATGCTCACAAGAGTCCTAAACATGGAAGTGAAAACATGACATTTAACACTATGTAAAACACACAAAAGTATAAAACTCACTGGCAAAGCAAACACACAGATGAGGAAAAGACTCAAATGCTACCACTACAGAAAACTACCAGAGTACAATGCCAAACAAAAGAAAAAGGAAAAAAATATATAAAACAACTAGAAAACAACAGTATAACAATAACAAAACCTCACATATCAATAATCCTTGGCTGGGCATGGTGGCTCATGCCTGTAATTCCAGCACTTTGGGAGGTCAAGGTGGGCAGATCACCTGAGGTCAGGAGCTTGAGACCAGCCTGGCCAACATGGTGAAACCCTATCTCTAAAAATACAAAATTAGCCAGGCATGGTGGCACATGCCTGTAATCCTAGCTACTCAGGAGGCTGAGGCAGGAGAATTGCTTGAACCCAGGAAGCAGAGGTTGCAGTGAGCCGAGATTGCACCCCTGTGCTTCCACCTGGGCTACAAGATTGCACCCCTGTGCTTCCGCCTGGGCTACAAGAGCGAAACTCTGTCTCAAAAAATTATAATGCAAGGATGGTTTAACATACACCATTCAGTTAATGCAATACATCACATCAACAGAATGAAGAGCAAAAATCGTGTGGTCATCTCAATAAACAGAAAAAGCATTTGATAAAATTCAACATTGCTTCATGATAAAAAAAAAACACTCAGAAAACTGCATAGAAAGAAGATAGTAAAGGCCATAAATAAACCCACAGCTAGCATCATACTGAATGGGGAAAAGCTGAAAATCCTTCTTCTGAAAACTGGAACATGACAAGGATGCCCACTTTCACCGCTCCTATTCAGCATAGTACTGGAAGTTCTAGCCAGAGAAATCAGGCAAGAGAAAGAAAAGGCATCCAAATTGGAAAAGAGAAAAATTGTCCCTTTTTGCAGATGACATGATCTGATACTTAGAAAAACCAAAAATGCTCCACCAAAACTCTTAAAGCTGGTAAGCAAATTCAGCACAGTGGCAGGATATAAAGTTAACGTACAAAAATCAGAGTTTCTATACACCAATAATAAAATAGCTGAAAAAGAAATCAAGAAGGTAATCTGATTTACAATAGCTACCAAAAATAAAAAAAGATACTTACGAATAAATTTAATCAAGGAAGTGAAAGATCTCTGCAAGGAAAACTGTAAAACACTGATGAAAGAAACTGAAGAGGACACAAATGGAAAGACATCCCAAGCTTATGGATTGGAAAAATTAATATTAAAATGGCCACACTGTCCAAAGCAATCTACAGATTCAATGCAATTGCTATCAAAATACCAATGTGATTTTTTCACAGGAGTAGAAAAAAACCCTAAAATTTGTACAGAACCACGAAAGAGCTAAAATAGTCAAAGCAATCCTAAGCAAAAAGAACAAAGCTGTAGGCATCACATTACCTGACTTCAAAATATATCACAAGGCTATAGTAACCAAAACAACATGGTATTGGTATAAAAATAGACCCACAGACCAAAGGAAAAGAAAATAGAACCCAGAAATAAAGCCACATATTTACAGCCAGCTGATTTTCAACAAAGGTGCCAAGAACATGCAATGAGGAAAGGACACCCTCTTCAATAAATGATGCTGGGAAAATTAGATATCCATAAGCAAAAGAATAAAACTGGACCTGTATCTCTCACCATATACAAAAGTTAAGACAGATTAAAGATTTAAATATAAGACCTTGAATTATGAAACTACTAGAAGAAAACAGTGCAGAACACTTCAGGACATTGGTCTGAGCAACGATTTTATGGCTAAGACCTCAAAAACACAACTAAAACAAAAATAGACAAAGGGAACTATATTAAAAATCTTCTGCATAGCAAAGGAAATAATCAGCACAGAGACAATATGTTGAGTGGGAGAAAATATTTGCAAAACTATTCATCCAACAAAGGACTAATATCTAGAATATATAAGGAATTCAACAAAAAATCATATTAAAAAGTGGGCAAAAGGTGGGGCACAGAGGCTAACACCTATAATCCCAACACTTTGGGAGGCCGAGGTAGGTGGATCACTTGAGCCCAGGAGTTTGAGACCAGCCTGGGCAACATGGTGAAACCCCATCTCTACAAAAATTAGTCGGGTGTAGTGGCACATACCTGTAGTCCCAGCTACTCAGGAGGCTGAAGTGGGGGGATCAGTTGAGCCCAGGAGGTTGAGACTGCAGTGAGCCGTGGTTGTGCCACTGCATTCCAGAGCCTGGGTTACAGAGCGAGATCCTGTGTCCAAAAAAAAAAAAAAAAGGTGGGGGTGGGTGGGGGGACAAAAGACATGAATAGACAATTCACAAAAGAAGACATACACATGGCCAATAGGTATATTAAAGAACACTCAACATCACAAATCAAAAGGGAAATACAAATCAAAACCACAATGAGATGTCATTTTATCCCAGTTAGAATGGCTATTATTAAAAAGACAAAAAATAATAGAACTGGAGGTCATTATGTTCATTGGAATATCCCAGGCACAGAAAGACAAATACACGTTCTTACTCATATGTGGCAGCTAAAAATCTTGATTTCATGGAGATAGAGAATAGAATGATAGATAGCACAGGTTGGGAAGGGTGTGAGAGTAGAAGGGGGAAATGAAAAGAGGTTGGTAAATGGGTATAGACTTATAGTAGATAGAAGAAACAAAGTCTAATGTTAAATAGCAGACTAGTGTGACTATGGTTAGCAACAACATATTGTATATTTCAAAGTAGCTAGAATAGAGGACTTGAAATATTACCAACACACAGAAATAATAAATACTAAGGTGATGGATACCCTAAATATGCTGACTTGATCATTACACATTCTGTGCATGTAAAAAATATTCACATGTACCCCATAAATATGTAAACTATCAATTATAAAAGAATAATCCATCCTAAAGTTTATATAGAATCTCAGGGGACCCCAAATAGACAAACTGAGAAAAAACAAAGTTGAAGGAGTCACACTCACTTGATTTCAAATTGTACTACAAAGCTACAGTAATCAAAACAGTGTGGTACTGGCATAAGGAGAGACATACAAAACCAATGGAATAAAATAAAAAGCCCAGAAATCCCCACGTAATGGTCAATTGATTTTTGACAGGGGTGCAAAGACCATTCAATGGGAAAAGACAGTCTTTTCACCAAAAGGTGCTGGGAAACTGGATATATACATGCAAAAGTATGAAATTATACTCTTACCTTGTACTATATACAGAAATTTACTTAAAATAGATCAAAGAACTAAAAAAAGCTAAAGCTATAAAATACTTAGAAGAAAATAGAATCCTTCCAGATTTTTGATTAGGCAATTATTACTTTTTTTTTTTTTTTTTTTTTTTTGAGACAGGTTCTTGCTCTGTTGCTGGAGTGCAGTGGTACAATCAAACCTACTGCAGTTTCAAACTCCTGGGCTCAAGCAGTCATCCCACCTTAGCCTCCTGAGTAGCTAGGATTACAAGTGTGCACACCTGGCTAATTTTATTATTACTATTTTGTGTGTGGGTGTGTGTGTAGACAGGATCTTGCTATGTTGCCCAGGCTGGTCTTGAACTCCTGACTTCAAGCATTCCTCCCCAACCTCCCAAAGTGCTGAGATTACAGGTGCAAGCCACCCCATCTGGCCAGGCAATGATTTCTTATGTATGACACTCAAAGCATAGGCAACAAAAGAAAATAATAATTTGGATTACGTCAAAATCTAAAACTTTTGTGTTTCAAAGAACACTGTTAAAAGAATGAAAGAACCCACAGAATGGGAGAAAAGAGCTGAAAATCATACATCTGATAAGAGATTTATATTCAGAATATGTATAGAACTCCTAAAACTGAACAACAAAACCAATTCAAAAACGGGCAAATGATTTAGACATTTCTCATAGGAAAATATACAAATGGCCAATAAGTACATGAAAAGACGAACCTTTGGCATTAGGGAAATGCAAATCAAAACCACAGCGTGATACCACTTCACACTTAAGATGGCTGTTACAAACACACACCCAGAGAAAACAACGTGTTGGGAGGATGTGGAGAAACTGGATCCCTTGTGCATTGCTGGTGGGAATATAAAATGGTACAGCTCCTTGGGAAACGACTTTGTGGTTCTTCAAGAAGGTGAATATAGAATATTACCATGTGATCCAGCAATTTCACTCCTAGGTATACGCCCCAAGGACTGAAAACAGGGACTCACATATGCATGTACATCAGTGTTCTTAGTGGCATTATTCACAGTAGCCAAAAGGCGGAAACAAGTACTTACCACCAGATAAATAAAGAAAATGTGTGTGTACATACAGTAAGATATTATTCAGCCAAAAAAGGAATAAAATTCTGATATATCCTACAACATGGATGGACCTTGAAAACATTTTTGCTAAGTGAGATGTCAAGACACAAAAAGACAAATATTGTACCATTCAACTTACATGAGGTATCTAAAATAGGCAAAGGCATAGCGATAGAAGGTAAAATAGAGGTTACCAGGGCCTAAGGGGTGGAGGACATGGGGAGTTGTTGTTTAATGGATATATAATTTCTGTTTAGGATGATGAAAAATTGCTGGAAATAGAGTGATGGTTTTATAACATTGTAAATGTACTTAATGCTACTGAATTGTACACTTAAAATTGTCGTAATGGTGAATTTTATGTTATTTATATTTTACCATGGTTTTTTTCTTAAAGTCAACATGGAAATGTGATGAGTGGATTTGAATGACAAGCATTGGCTCCCCTCAGCTACTAAATCCAACACAAAGTGACATGTTGCTGTCCTTTGTGGGACAGAGCAGGAATGGCAGGGGGTGGCCATTGCCATTGGCATTGTTCTCTTCTGTCTGAGACAGGTAACTGTGGGTACAGGAAGGGCCAATCTGTTTATCTGTACCTGGTTTCTCATGGCTTTCTCAGCCAGCTGCAATTAAGGACCATTTCTTTATGAATCACAGATGATGAACCTCTCTGATATCAGCCTTACTTTGACTTTGATGTTAGGGTTGCAAGTTACAAATGAAGTGAAGACATCAGTAGAATACATATCAGAACTAGACCCAGCTGCTATTATATTGGAACAGTATGTTCTGGAGAGCCTGGAAGGAGAGGGCAGGATGAAGCATTTTAGGACAGGACTCCAGAGACGGTGGTGGCGGAAGCCTGGGGAGCTAGGGGGATTTAGTGGGCCTGGAGAGGCCAAACCACTGCTCCTGCTGCTAGGCCTAGGGTTTAGCAGGGTCTCTCAGAGAGTCTGATGGCCTTACAAGGTTGAGCCAGCATCCTGTCCTTAACCCACATTCCCTCAGGCTGGAGGGTGGGGGAGTGGGTGGCAGAAGGCCATTCATTGCTCATGGAATTAAGAGGTCCTCAAAGCCAGTGATGCCACCCTGGTATAGCAAGGACCAGGCTGCCTGGGGGGCAGGTGGTGGCAGCTGCCGTAGAGTGACAGGCATGTGTTTTCTTCTCAGAAACAGACTGAATTTGATCTGATTAATGTGAAGGACTGGCCAGTCTGGGAAACCGCCTGCCACGTGGAAGAGCCAAACCCGACTCTCTGCTGCCACATGCCGTTCCCATGCCCGGCTGCTGGGCACCTGGGAGAGCTTCCAGAATCCTCGCAGACAGCCCAGAGCCTGCCGCTACCCTCGGCCTGCCCACCACCAAGCAAGCAGCAAGCAAGATGGGGTTCTCATCAGTTCTTCCTCCCACAATGTAGGACCTTTCCTTTACCTTCCAATGGATAAAATAGTTCAGAGTTCATAGTCATATTCATAGACACAGAATCAAGCTTTTAACATATACATCCACCTCTATATGTTAAATAAAACATCAGATTATCAACACTGTCATTACGTAGAAACTTTGGTTAGCCAAGCAGTGCATTGTCAGTTACGTCATCTCTAAAAATGACCTGTGTCTGTTCTCTGGGGATTGCTGGGTCACAGGTGCCCCTCACCTTCCACAGTCAGGCAGGGAAGTTATAGGCACAAAGCTACGTCTGGAACCCCTTTGTGCCCCCTTTGTGTTCCTCAAGGAAGCAGTACCTTTGAAGAGATCTCTGCTGCATTAAGTGATGACCGGCTACGTTTCATGTCAGGCTTGCTTTGCCTTGTGGGCTACTCAGTGCAGAACCTGCTGTAACCCTCAGTTCAAAAAATGGACTGGCAATGTGATTAGCGTTGGATGCTTTACCATTCTCTTTAGTTGTTACCGTAATTCTGCTTTTTCATGGGAGTTTGAATCATGGACCATAACTTTTCAGTTATCAGATCAACTAAAGAAACATTTGTTGTTAAGCCTAATGTGCTGACCTATGTGCCTGCATTTTTTTTTTAATCTAGACATGTTTGGAGTGAGAGAAAGATGGAAAAAAGACATGGGGTAGGGACGTAAGTGGAAATCTATAGCCACAGCCTGAAGCTTTGACCACTGCGGTTTTCAGAGCCCTTTCTCCACACTCATTTCAGAGCCTCCTATGGTTTGGGAAGGAATAACACACTGGCCCATTAGTAAGGGTGAAGGCTGGAGGGATTTGTTGACTTCTTGGAATTATCAGAGGTAGGGTGGTCTTTAGCACAAAGACTTGCATGCAGAGATCCCTGGCAGAACACCCAGAGTGCCCGTGGCTCCCACCCCAGGGTCTGGCCGGTGTGCTGGATGCATGCCCAAGGGTGCTGGGCATCACTGGTCCTTGTGAGGATGCTTTTAAAGTTTTATATTTATGTCCCCAAACTTGGAAACAAGAACTCTACTTTAGCCTAACCCTCATGTCCTTTTTTGAATTGAGAAAATTACAGGAAATGGTGCCTTTGAAAATTAGAAAACTTGCTTACAGAGCTGTTCTAAATGGTAAATCCTCAATTTCCCCAAGACCGGTTGCTCTGAGAGTAGCTGGTAAAGAGGGGCGAACTAAAGACCTGTCCACCTGTAGCTCCGCTCATTTCTTAGAAACCACCTGCTTCCCAGAGTGCCAAGCCACAAGTACCAGGCTTCGTGGGCACAGACACCTCCTGGGCTGGGCAGAGTGACAGTGCTAGAAGACCCCAGAGAGAGGGCAAGGGCTTTGGGCAAGAAGCACTGGTGGTGTTTTAGGGACCGTCCTTCTCCCCTACCCAGGGAACTGGACCTGGCAGGGCACCGTGCTCATGTGGCTCCAAGGACAAGCATGGCGGTGGCCCCTTCTGCCTTCCAGGAGAGGTCTTGCTTTTGAAACCAAAATCATGTTCTTCTAAAGTGTCATCTTCTGCCCTCCCTGTCCCAATAGGGACCACATCTTATTTGTCTCAAACAGGGACTTGTGAGTACTTGGCAAGTTTTGCAGCCTATTTTTGTATTCTTAATTTGGGGAGTAAAGATGTTTGGTCTCAAAAACCTTTGAGGAATTGCCAAGAATGGCGAGTGATTGCTTTCCTTCAGAGAACAGACACTTGGAATTTCTCCTTTTAGTGTTTATATACGTGCAGATTAATTTATATATATATATATACACACACACATATACAGTATAAATACTCATTTGATTCTCGTAAAACGCGCATCTGGCGTGTGCAGTTGAGAAACTTGGTGGCACATGGGTGTTGGGGGAGTAGCCTGTGTTGGAGGGACACCAGTGCACTAGGCAGCTGGGGCGGCCCAGGCTGAAGCCATCTCCGGGTGTCTGAGAAACCACCCAGTGCCTCACCTCCAGATCCTGCTGGCATCACCTCCAGAGCCCTGCATGCACTGGCTGAAGAGTTGGTCTGTGGAGAGGATTTTCTTGGTTACTTGTATTCACGGTTAATTTACAACCCAAACAGCAAAACACAGTTGGTGGACAAGTTCATGCAGGACCTACAGTGACCCAGCCATGGGCACTAGCTCATCTTTCAGGTGGAAAAGTACAGTGCTGCCTGCCCTGGTATGTTTTTCTTATAGATGTTAGCCCTGCCCAACAGCCAGGGCTACACTACAAAAGGCAAGAATGCCCATGTAAGGAGCCCAGCAGTCTGGACAGATCCTTCTTCCTCTGCTGTTGGATGAGAGTGAGTGAGTATGCTCTGGACCTTATCCTTGAAAGATGATCAAAAGCGATGATGAGGGAGGCAGTCATCACGCAGGTGCTTAAAGGGACATTGTAGGAGGTACTCAAGGGTTTGGGGGCAAAACCCTGAATCCAGCCAGTCGTGCACAGAGACACACCCACACTAGCCCAGTGGCAGTGGGGGATGTGGGATGGCAGCAGCCAGGTATGTAGCCCTGTCACAGGACAGCTCACTGTGGTTTTGCACACTGCCTAAGGGTTAAATTGTGTTGTTGCCTTCAGTAGAAGGCATTTGTGGGCTGCAGAGTTGAGAGTTGGGTGAGGTTAGTCTCTCCTGAAGAAAAAGCCTATAAAAAGTGGCTAATCTTATCCCTTTTCTCTGTATGCAGTTGGACTCGTCAGAGATAGTAAAATCATCTTTTAGTGTTTTTTTGTTGCTGATGTCTTGTACCCATTTGTTTTTTACATGGGGTTGTAGATCGAGTTCTCAAAGGTGAAACCAGATGATCATTCTGATAAAGGAAATTTAAATTTGATACATATGCTTTGTATATTTTGATTACTTGTTTTCGTTTTTGACTATAAAGGAGCTTTTTTATTTTGGGAGGGGAGGAGTGTCATTTTTGAGAATCTTGGGTTCCTGAAAAAGAACGCCCTAGTTGGATGGCTTGCCAGGGCCTTGGGGTTTGGTAGTGATTGTACAACTTAAAGCTCCTTTCTCTTGGCTGAGTGACAGGTGGCTGTTCAGGTGGACCAAAGCACCTTGACACAAGGACTCCACACTGTGCTCTCTAGTAGCACAAGGAGGAAGTTGGACAGAACATTGGGTAGTGCCTTGCGGGCTCACACATGTACTAGTGGTCTCATCTCCAGCTAGCCTTGGGAGGCCGTCCCACCAGGAAATCTCTCTATTCCGTAGCCTGAGATGTGCCCTTGTGGGTTTTATCCTGCTCAGTCAGTGGCCTAGGGGCAGGTCCTGTGTTCTCTCCCTCTCTCTCCTGGCTCTGGGACATCTGTCCCTGGCTGCCTTTCATGGAGGAAGGACACTGGCCTTTCTGGTTGGATGCTGTGTGGATGCTCTCTGCTTGAGCCTCGTGGTCTCTTGTCTCTTTTTGGACCAATATCCTCAGATTGGTGCAGCTTTTTCAGTTCAGATATCACACCCCAAGTGGATAAAGGCAACTTGCAGGAGAGGAGAGCCAGCCAAGAAGAAAATTTTAAAACCAAACCTCGTTTAGGATTTTCCTAAAGTCATCTTCTCTTTTTTCTTGCTCAGAGTTTACCTGGGAGATTTCACCAGTTTGACTCACCATTTGCAGATGTGCTTTTGTATTAAATTTAAATTTTCACATATCACATCCATTCTCAAGGTAGTTATATGCTGGAGAAGAAAAATCCTCTAGACACATGAAGGCCCACATAGTCAAGTCTTCCAGGGCAAAGCCAGCAGCCCACCCAGGTCAGGTAGCCAGCAGGGCTCAGTTCCCCTCACTCCAGACACGGACCCTCCTCTTCAGGGTCTCTTGACCCAGCTTCCTTCTCTCCTTTTACCTGAGAGCACAGACCTCTCTCAGCCAGCCTGCCCAGACCACGGGGGGCTACTCCCATGTAGTTTGGGGAGCACTTGATCTCAGAAAAGCTCCATTGTCTGAGCAAATGGGCAGTTGTGGAGCTCAAGCCTTTCTCCTGTGCTCAAGTCCCTTCCCCAAGCAAGGCTTCAACCTCATCTACCCACCATGTAGTTTTCTCTGGCCATTTAAGTGGGGCGGCAGGGACATGGTTGGGCCATGCCACACCAGGGCTGGTGAGGCAACCAGTTTTGATTTTGACAGAGTGGCTGGAGGAAAAGTGGCAATCAAGGTGCTGCTTGGTTTGCTCTGAGTGCAAATGGAACCAACAGGTTTCTGCTGCAATCTGTGTGTTCCCAGTGCCAGGTCACACCAGGAGGGGTGGGGCAGGGCTAACCAAGTGGTCTCTGAACTCACCGAGCGTCTGCACTTGGTTGTGAAGTTAATGGGAGTACAGAGAGCGTCTGGCCTTGGAGAGGGGTTGAGAGCCTCCTTTTTGGTTCTTCATTCCTGAGCTCTTGCCTGCCCACAAATCTGACCTCTTTGAATGGGGACGCAGTCCTTCAACAGAGAAGTTTCTATGGCAAAGAAGTTTCTATTTAGCTCTAGATCCAGCAGAGTCATCCATTCTAACTGCCCTGAAGTCTAGAGCAGGGGAGGGAACCCAGAGGCTGGGGATGAGACTAGGCAGACCCTGGTTACCATATGGACAAGGACAGGGGAAAGCACCCCCTTCCTCAATTTCTGAAAGTTCTATCTTTGGGTTCGCAGGACTTTGAGGATGATAAAGAACATATAGGTACTAGCTTGTTGTTGCTGGTCCAAAGCTTCCACAGCCCTGAGAATTTGGCTTTCGTGGCTGCTCTGGCAGCTGAGCGAAGGGAGGAAGGCAGCCGCTCTGGTGGGGACTCTAGGCACCTTCCCTGCTGTCCACTTGGATAGGCGGTGAGCCCCAGGGTACTGAGAGGAGCCTGAGCATTTACCTGCCATTAGTGCCTCTTCCTTCAGGAGACTGGCTTGAAACGTGTGTTCATGTGCGCGTGCACACACACACATGAGCACCTGTATGTGTTAATGAATAGTTTTTCTTGGTTAATGCTTTTTAACTTCTGTTCCTTTCCGTAAGTGGATGATTCAAAATTAACGTGACTTGGCTGGGCGCAGTGGCTCACACCTGTAATCCCAGCACTTTGGGAGGCCAAGGGAGGCGGATCACCTGAGGTCAGGAGTTCGAGACCAGCCTGATCGGCATGGTGAAACCCCGTTTCTACTAAAAATACAAAAATTAGCCGGGCGTGGTGGTGCGCGCCTGTAATCCCAGCTACTCAGGAGGCTGAGGAAGGAGAATCACTTGAACCCGGGAGGTGGAGGTTGCAGTGAGCTGAGATCGTGCCACTGCACTCCAGCCTGGGCGACAGAGCGAAACTCCGTCTCAAAAAAAAAAAAAAAACTTAATGTGACTGGAGTTAAAAGTGAAATGTCAGGTTGTTTAGTCACTGAATAGAGAGCTACAAGTGCTTGGTCTTTCCCAAGAATCAAACCTGAGTAGAAATACATTTAAAAGAAAAATCTACATGGTACCTATGAATCCTGTAATTTGTTTAGGGAGATCTTGTCACTCATCCCTGGTTCCTGCCCATACTGTTTGGTCTCGTTCTTGCAGTTTGCTTGGAACAGGGCCAGAGCCCCACATGAGATTGTCAGCAGGAGTGAGGAGCGCCAGTCCCTACTCCTCAGCAGGGACCCAGCACAGCAATCCGGTTGTTCTCGGTTAGACTGGGTCGGGGCCAGGGGAGAAGCAGTCACCCCTGTGTAGAGGGTTCCCGCTGTGCTTCTGAGCAGTTGCTTTGTTCAGAAGTGTTAGGAGGGTCAGATTGTGCCATAATTGTTATTAAAGAGAAAACACGCCCACCTTCCTTTCTCCCCTGCTGGCCATTGTTCATTGAGTTTTACTGAGGGCAGCCTTTGTGGAAGTCAGGGAGGTTGCCAAAGGCCTGTAGATGCCTCCTGACAAGGTCTTGATTCCTGGTTTTCTAGCACCCATTTGCATTTTGGTCTTCAGCACAAAGCCTTGTTCCCTGTGGCCGGACTTCTGGGCAATAAGACTGGGGAGTGACTGTTGAGCAGTCTGCTGTCAGGAGAGATGGCTGAAAAGGTGATCATCTTGGTGCTAAACAAGTAAGAGGCAACTGCCCTGTTTTTGTTTGTTTTGAGGCACAATGAAACTTTAGCCAAACTCTGCAAGAGGGTCCCATCTCCTGCCATGGCCAGGTGTGAGAGACCAAACCGAGAAAACAGCATACTCTATCACTTAAGCCTTGGGTAGAATGGGAATTCTTTACCCTGGGTAAACGTTTTAACAAAAAAATGGAACTTAACTTCGGTTTGGACTGTGGTCGTGCTGAGGCAGGAGTGGGGTTGCCCTCTTGGGGCTGAATCTCCAGGCCTCACGAGGTCCCCTGTGGGGATGCTGCTATTTCTAAGATGCAAATTGCACATTTCCTAGATTTTGTATCTGTGGATTTGGATAAGGGAGGGGAACACGGACAAATTGCTTGTACAATTTGAAATGGGCCTCAATGGTACTTCAAACCTTTTGATTATTCCTAAATAAAAACATAAATATATTTCACATCTGCTGACTTATTTTGTGGGGGAGTCAGGAAAAAAGCCAAAAACATTTCACTTGTTCTTGCCCACTTCTGTGGATCTTAAACTCCAGTGGATGAGTGGGGCAGTTTCCCTCAGCTCACCAGAGAAGTTCCAACTCACTGTCTTCTGCATTGCTGAGATCACCACACTGGCTTCTACATGAGAAAACTATGATATTTTAGAAATTATGCTAAATAGACAAAGGCAAACAGTCAAACCTGGTATCATCTGGTGAGAGGACACTGGCAAGTTCTTTTCTGTTTCCTGTGAGAGTGCTGAAAAGCATAGCCTGTCATTTGCTGGGGCGGTGTCGGGGGTTAGGGAATATGCATAAGGACCCAGGGGCTTTCTGGAGGAAAAAGACTAAAGCCCCAGCTTCTAAGACCCAAAGCATTTGAATTTTGTTGGGGTGGCCCTGAAGGCCTGGGACAGAAGGAAAAAGGGTCCTTTGAAATGAAATCACCTACAGTGGAGCCAGGCAGTGATTCTGGACACCAGAATAGGAGTCCAGCTTATGTCATGGGGAAGCAGCTGTGTGTGTTGAATCCCAAAAACCAGGTCCTTGGAAACTAGACCAAACTGGCATGCAACTGGCAAAGCCAATCAGCTGAATGCTGTAGTGGGTAGACTCAGGCAGTGACTCACTTGGGATACTATGGGTGGAATTCGCAGGAGCGGCCAGCCAGGGGGGTTGCTGTGGGGTTCCTCCAGGCAGGGAACAGAATGCCTAGATTAACCCCTAAGCACAAGTCCCCTGGGAATTACTAAAGTACCCAGAGAAGACAGGAGTTGCAGTCTGAGACTGTGCTTGATCCATTTAATTAAAATGTGAAGAAGGCATGATCCTTTCATTCACCGAGTTAGTCTGGTGGGATAACCTGAACCTATTTGCTTTCTACCCACCCTCAACAGAACTCACATGGTGAGTGATGGGCTCAAGTTGAAAGACAAGTGAGTGTCTAGGTCCTTAGTGATGTTCAAGCTCTCAGGTGATGTTCAAGATGTGCTTGGTCAGGAGGCAGACCCCTGCCTTTTCTGCTCATGGCCACAGATACTCAACTGAGGTCAGAAACTGCTCCTGCCATCTTCCCGCAGGGCAGTCTTTAGTCCTGTGGCGGGGGCAGAATGCCCCTGACCTTGTAGGCTCTACTTTGTATGTGTACATGTCTGCTGAGCCAAAGCTGTTGAAAGTGAAAGGTCTGTCACTTTGAACCCAGTCTACTTGTCCCTGGTCTGTCAGCCAGAAGGTTCTACTGGTGATGGCAGGAGAACAAGGAGCCTGCAAGGGAGCCCATCTACCTTCTGGTACCACTGACTTCCCTCTCCCGGCCCTGCCTGCTCTTTTGGTTTGTGCTGCCAAAATCAGGGTTTTTCAACCCTTGTTACTCATTTAAATCACCTTGAGAGGTTTTGAACAATACCTATGCTAAGGCCCCGGGTACCAGTATTTTTCAGAAGCTCCCCAAGTGGTGCTAATGTGCTGTTAGGGTTGAGACTCCACAGGTCATAACCCTGAGCTGTCGCACTGTAGGGACACGGCCTGCATGCATGGGATGGGGCAAACAACTCCTGATGCCAAAGCATTCGGCCCCAAGTAAGGGTCTTCCCCACCAACAAACACTCTGCCTTCTGGGTCAATCAACATTTGTCAGGTCTGGAGGAATCTTGAAGTGAAAATGATCTTTAAATTTGCTTGAGAGTTGGCACGTTTTCCACTAGGAAGAACAATCAAAACATTTGCAGTGAGGCAAAGGCAATGTCTTACAGAGCCCAAGAGAGGTGAGCCTCAGGTCTACAAAGCTGCCTTAAGAAAGGCAGAGCTGTCTGTTCCCCAGGTTGTGTTCCAGAAAGACACTTGTTCAGCAAATAGAGATACGTATTGATGAAAACTAAAAGGGTCAACACTAACAAACACGCCAAGGACGTCCTAACCAACGTGGATGGGCCCTAACAGAAGGGCCTACACAGTCCTCTTCCTTCTCTGATAGGAAACCTTTCTCTCCAGGCCATAAAAACCTAGAGAGGAAACATGGATCATGAGGGCCCAGGTGAATTCCCACCCACCACCTTCTTGTGTATGGGAAAAAGCCACCCTCCTCTCTATGAACTGGGACTGTGAAGCTGTAAAAGAAAGTCACACAAGAACCTGAGCACTATCGCTGTTTGATACTGGCTATCATCAGTTCATGTCATCCACGGAACCGGATCTATCTTAAATTTTTTGTGTGGCGTCATTTTTGTTCCATCCCAGCACAGCCAACTATGGAAACAGAGCTTCAGGAAGAGAAGGGCCTTTCAACTGTGTTGAAAGGGCCCAGAGATTTCAGCTGCCAAGTCCTAGAGGCAATCAGAATGGCACCTGGCAGTGTTAACGAACTGAATGCAACATTTTTGAAAGGAGAGGTTTCTGTGGAACTGGAAAGGGGCTCTGGTTGTTTCCAGCTCACCACCAAAACTGGCTGGCCACAAAGAACCCAGGCAGGATGTACTCTGCTCAGACACACCCTCAGAGGGTGGGCAGGAGAGAGTGGACCCACAACTCCTGTTAGCCCAGAGGAGGGGTTACAGCTCTTGCTGCTTAACCTGAGAAATTTCCAGAAATTTCCTACCTGCTTCTACTGCAGAATAATCATCTGGCGACTGTTTCTAGTGAGCATGTCCCATGCAACAGGCTTTCCTGAGCCCCCGAAAGAGCATACAAGTCAAAGGAAAAAGGACATGAGGATGATTTATTTGGCAGTCAGATCTTAAGAGGGCAGCAGAACTAGCAAATGGCCAACCCTGAGCCCAAATGTGGGCAGTAGGTTTGTGTGTGCTGAATGCTGGCTATGCTATGAGGCACCTTTGCGCCCACGGGCCTGGACCCCGGCCTCTGTCCTCAGAGGTGAGGGCTGCCTTTCTAACCTTCCCATCTCCATCCCTGGATCTTTTTACCAGTTAGAAGCTGCAGCAAGGATGGCAGCTTCATTCAGCACCTAACTGCCTGTACCCCACCCACCCAGGAGTCAGGCAACTCCTCAATCCCTTTTTCATTCCTCAGGGAAAGCATACTGAGTCTTCTTTGACTTAAAAACAAAAAACCTCACCAAAATAGGCTCTGCTATTTCTTCTCTTCCCACCCTGGCCCGCCCCCCATTCCTGACAGTGCCTTACATCACAAACTAAGTCCTCTTAACACAGCAGGCAGCCCACCTGCCACTCTCCTCTCCAAGGTTTCCCTACAGGGGTGAGGAGCAGGAGGAGTAAATAACTTAGTTACAATACCATTGAGACGAAAAATAATACTGCTATTTTTAACATGATCCCCTGTATCTTTCAGGCTGGGTCATGTTCCCAGCCATGGGCAATGTGCCCTTGTGCTGTGTCCTCCTCCTCAGGCAGGGCAGAACCCTTCTCCATGCAGGCCCTACATTCCTCTGCCCTGGCTCCAGGGCCAAACTGCAGGGGCATCTAGCTTCTCACCCTGCCCAGCTGTGGTTTTAAAGCTACAGGACAATGTAAACTTTGTTTCCCTGGCCCAGCAAGGCTCCTCCTCCTCCTCCACTCTTAGGAATGTCAGTAGCTCCTTGGAGTCTCCTGTGCCACTGGCTGAGGCAGCCTCTCTCTCCAAGGGGCTTCGGCCATGGTCCTGGCCCCACAAGATGGAAGGATCCATCTCCAGAAGTCAGGGCCAGATGTGTGTGCTTAATGCGAAACACAGTACAGTTTTTGCCTTCATCCAGAGCTGGGGCATGGAGGCCCAAAACAGTAATAACATCTCATTAATGGCTTGGTTTCTGTCTAGCATTCACTGCTGGAATCCAGGCTTCAGGCTGCGAGACCCGGAAGGCCGCCACAGGGGGCTGCTTCCAAAGAACCCAGTTCGCGGCATTCTACAAGGCGCACAGCACCTGCTGCTCTCCAACGAGGCTGGGGTACAACTAGAGGCGGTTGTCTCCATTGACCCGAGTCCTTCTTGGGGCCCTGGACAGAAGGGAAGAGTGTCCTTACTGGCAGGCAGGGCCTTGCAGCCCAATGCCAGACAATATTACAACTTTTCTACCCAGGAGAAAGAAACACTGAAGAAGGAGGACCTAGCCACTGCCTTCCTGGCTCTAGCACCCCTCCATCTTCCTCACCTTCGTTCTCGACTGTCAAAATGGTCTGCGAGATGCTCCTGGGAGATGCGGAAGTCCTCAAACGGCTGCTGGTAGCGGGATTCAAAGGAGCCTTCCCGGGCTCGGCCATGAAACAGCTGGCCTGAGGCATCTGAGCCCCGCTCCCGCAGGGACGTACCACTGAAGGGACTGAGGTCACCATTCTCCTGCTTCAACGAAGCCAGGTGCACAAGAGGGTCAATGACTCCTCTGCACTTCTAGAGGCTGCTGCCTGGCTCTCCTCCCACCTACCCCAGGCCAGCCCACCCCTGCTGCAGATACCTTGGCAGGGAAAATGTCAATCTTGATCAGCAGGGAGGCCAACTCCAGGTCCTCACTGTAGTTGTTCTTCAAAGGCACTGCTCTGTATCCTAGGAGGAGGAAAAGCCTGGCCCTCAGCCCACGAGGGACAGAGCAAGGGGCCCAGCCCCACCCTGCCAGCAAGATTGCAGGGGCACTGCCTCCAGGAATGGTCCTCACCTGTCTTCAGGCCTTTTACTGGGAAAGTAGCCTGAGCCAGGAAATTCTGGTCACTAAACATGTCTTCCTCATACACCACGAAGCGCAGAAAGGCAAATTCAGGGTTACTGATCTGGAAGTGGAAGGGCTTGGCTGGCCATACAGGGTTGAGTCCATTGTCCACTGTGAAGGCAACGACAAAAGGCTTCAGGTCACCGTGGGAGAGGATGGGATGACTGGTGGGGAGAGGCTTGCAGTGCCCCAGCAGGATGAGGAGGATGACTGGGAAGACAGACTGACCCACAAACTCTGTCTTCTGCTTGGTGCTGTCATACTCAGCTCCAGCCACCTCAATCTCCACAAAAGGACACACAATGCCTCGGCCATTCTTTGGCAGATGTCGGGCCCCCAGCACCTGTAGGCAGACAAAGAAGGGCCTGGGATTGTCCTTCCTGCTCCCTCCAATTCCCCACTGCGGAGGCTCAGTCAGCATCTGTGGAGTGGAGGCAGCGCGCCCTCTGCTGGGCCCCCGGGACACTGCCCATGGAGTCCCTCACGACATCAGGGACCCTAAGCTGTCCAGAGCAGCTGCTGCCTGTAGTTTATCTGAAGTCTGAGCTTTAGCCAAAATTTCCATGTGAGTTTTGCAATCTACTTCATGTTAAATCCATTACTATTTTAACACAGAAATCTTTTAAATGACCTCCCCTTAGGGAAAAAAAAGATCTCATCAGAACAAAACAAGTCATCAGAACAAGTCACACCATGGCTCTGCACGTCCTAGATGCATACAGTGACTGCATGCTATCTTCACCCCTTCAAAGACTCAGCTCAGGCCCCACCCACCCTGACCACCTTGATGCCTGAAAATACCTACTTTTGGAGAACTCAACATAAACAGACTCCAACGGCAAGCAGCCCCTTTCCTACCCTGAAGCCCAGATGAGCAGCACCCACCTCAATAGAGATGGCACATGGCTCCAGCCCGCGGAGGCTGCTCTTGTCAAAGGGGTCGAAGGCCTCATCCCGCATGGTGCTTGGCTGCAGCACGTAGCCACAGTGCCTGCCCGTCATGAAGAGGGCCTGGTTCATCTGCATAGGCTTGTCTGGAAGAGGCAGATTATGGTGTATTCCAGTCCAGCTGCCCCACAGTGCCCCTCCTCACCCTCCTCACAGGGGACTTCCTCACCAGGGGTCTGGAAGTTGAGGGCCACAAGCTGACTGCCACAGATCCACATGGGCAAAGGATCGTAGTTGGAGGAATCCAGTCGCTGGCCCTTGGGGTAGATGCGGGAGAGCTGCAGTCGATTGTACTGAAGGAACTTCTTGCCTTTGGCCTTGTTCACGTATTTCTCAGCCTTGGTTTCCGGGAAGGATGACATGTCCCGGTAGCAAGCACGTTCTGTGCCAATCTCTGGGCCAAACAGGGAAAACACTTACAGAGCCCGCCCACCCAGGAAGTGTTGGGGGGATACCTAAATACTCTTTTTGCACCCACCAGGCCCTCCAGGCACATGCACACCCCGCCTGGGCCCTGGCCCTTACTCTCTTCATCAAAGGGAACAGGCCGGCAGTAGACGACAAGTTCAGAGAGCTCCAGGGCAATCTTCTTCCTCCGTTCCATTATCTTCCCTTCAGTGAGCTGGTGACACACACAAGGCCCTGTAGCCCCAGGCTACAGCCCTGCCCAGGAGAAGGAAGCCCCTGCCAACCTTGGGCATGCCCACACTGCAGGTGCTCTGGGCCCCTCTCCCACCTTCCCCTGTACCTTCCAGACACCACACCCAACAGTAAATGAGGGAGCTCTGTCCTCAGCCTCATCCTGAAATCATCTTTCCTCTTTTCTGTCCCAGAGGACACATTTGCCCTCCAACCCTCTTAGGGGGGGTGGGGGATACAGACTCCTCATCACCACCCATGTTCCCAGTGACCTTCCAGGGATCCTGGAATTGGCCACACTCCCAAATGACACTTTCTGACCATTTATTACCCAGCCTCATGCTGGGGTAAAAATGATTCTTCTGTGTTACCTGTGACTGCACTGGGGATACAGGCCCCTGGCTTGGTTTCCATCTGTGTCCTAAGGATGATCCTCACTGCCTCAGCGCCCCCAACTCAAATATAACCACCCACTCTTCATGGCAAATCTCCATGCCAAATCTCTACAGAAGCCCACTTACAAGCACCCCAACCCATCCTCTCCTGGAGGACTTTCTTTCAGTGGCTTTTTTTTTTTTTTTTTTTTTTTGAGACAGAGTCTTGCTCTGTCGCCCAGGCTGGAGTTCAGTGGCGTGATCTCGGCTCACTGCAATCTCCACCTCACGGGTTCAAGCGATTCTCCTGCCTCAGCCTCCCGAGTAGCTGGGATTACAGGTGCCGGCCAACATGCCCGGCTAATTTTTGTATTTTCAGTAGAGACAGGGTTTCACCATATTGGCCAGGCTGGTCTCGAAGTCCTGACCTCAAGTGATCTGCCCATCTCGGCCTCCCAAAGTGCTGGGATTACAGGCGTGAGCCACCACGCCCGGCCTCAGTGGCTCTTACATTCAGACTCTTCCCTTTTCAGCCTAGACCCCCAGATCCAGTCCTTCAACCACCTGGTATGCCAGCACCTTTTCCTTCTAGGGGACAGCCTGGCAAGCACCCTATCCCTTCTCTATTTGGCTTGCGGGTGCCCTCTCCAAAGCAGCTACAGACCCATCTACCAAATGCACTTGGTGAAAGGGCCACCAAGTAGGAATTCCCTAACCCTTGAGAATACTTCTCTGTTCCCCCAGGCTCAGGGGAAGAGGCCACCTTCTCCAGAAGGCTGGTCCTACCAGCTAAGCTTGGGCTCCATCTCCTCCCACACGCTGCTCGCTCCTTTCAGCCATCTGCATGAGAGCCTGCTCAAACCCCAGTCACCTGTTCTCTCCCTCAAGGACAGGCCCTACAAAGGCTCTGCTTTTGCCATTCCAGACTCCCTGCTGCCCACTGCCATCTAATGCCAGCCATGCTGCTGATGCAGCTCAAAAGTCTCACAAGGGCTATTAGCTGCTGCTGAATCCAAAGGGCACTTGCAAGTTCTTATCGTTCCTGTCTTTACCTCTGTAGCTCTCAACACAGCAGACCCTCTCCCTCACCAGTGGCCTGCAGTCTGTCTGACCTGCCTTTCCTGGGCTCCTTTCCTCGCCCATGCCTTCTCATATGGAGCTTCTCAATCCATCCCAAGTTCTCTTCCTATGCGACACCACCTCATCCCTTCTATGCCTCAGCCCCCACTCCACTCCTGCTTCCAGCCCAGGACTTCTCCTCTTACCTCTGGTCTTGTGTATCCAATTGCCCACTAAGCAGACCCACTTCAACGACCCATCAGTATCTCAAACTCAACACAACCTAAACACACCACATTGCATCTTATGTGTCTGTTTCTTCTCAATCCCTAGCTAAGGCAGGGGCTGTGGCCTATCTAGCATAGGCCATCGGCTGCCCCACTGCTCTGAGGGGGCCTGTGCTGGGAGCTGGAGGCCTCAGCTGCCTGACGGGCCCACACACTGCCCCCCAGAAGGTTCCAGCAGAATCTCACCCTGGCGTCTGCTGTCTGGGCCACTTCACGGATCTTTTTCACCCAGTCCTGCAGCTCCTCCTGTGAGTCGGCAGCAACATCCAGGGACCAGTGGGCCACCGACGCCATGCTGATGGAGAAGACGAAGAGCCGGTTGTTCTTGCCCTCAGGACGGATGGCTGGGAGGGCGAGAGCAGATAACAGCTGGGAATAGACATCTCACCCCCTCCACCCCACTCCACACCGCAGGCACTGGCTCAAATGAGTTCTATCTCATCCCATTTCCTCCTTCCCACACCCCATGAGGGGAAGGACTACTCTGCTGGCCCATTTGACAGATGACGACGCTACAACTCAAACAAGTCACTGCTGGTTGTGGTGGAGCCAGTGTTCCAACTCAGCTCTGACTCATGCTTCTTCCTCAGGCCGTGTCTCCCTCTCCACCCCATCTCCAAGCCTCTGTCACATCCCTGTGGTACAACCCATTAGGCCTGGGGATGTCAGCCAACCAGCAGCATCAACTTTGTTCTGCTGATTCTGACGGGTTCCCCAGTGCCTGGCATAGGTAAACATGCAGGGGTCAAAGCTGACAGTGACAAAGGGAGCCCAGGGTGTCAAGGGGATGTCCAGAGCATGGGGAGAGCTTGGAGTGAGGGCAGACTTTGGGGTTCAGCCATCAGCTTCCTCCCTAGGAGCAGGAAAGAGATACAAAGAAGAATCTCACCCTAGGGAACAGTGGGCAAGAGAAACAGATGGGAGCTCACCAATCTGACAAGCCGGCACATCCAAGACCCCCCGCAGCAAGTCCCCTAGGGGGCTGTTCTCGTCCAAGTGCTGTGGGAAGCAAAGCCCACCAATGGTCAGCATGGCTACTGCATATGTGTGTGAGGGGATATCCGTGTGCATGGGACAAATACATCTTGTGGGTGTACCTGTGACTGCCAAATGTAGCACAGGTATATGGGAGACTACGTGCATGGCCACATGGGCTGTGCGACCAGCCCATGTGACAGGTGTCTGTGCATGCACGTGCGTGCTTGGGACTGTGTGATGGGGGCATGCCAAGGAGAATCTGGGAATAGGGAATGCTGTTACTCAGGTGGTTCTGGTCTTACCTCCCTCTCCGGCTCCAGGGCCACGGGGTTGACCATCTCTTCCACGTAGTTTGATGGGAACCACAGCTGCTTCTTCCCTCCGTAGTCCCCTCGCCACCTGTGGGAGCCACAGGGTGCTGACCTCCAGCAACCACCCCGAACTCCCATGAGGAGGGTATCCTTTGGTAGGGGTTCCCATGCCTAAGCCAGGGTGAGGCAGGCACTGCTGGTGCACACAGGAGACAAGCACATCACAAATGCATGTCTTTGGGGCCCCAGCTCCACTGGGGCCCTTGGACTCTGGGCCTACCACACCACTGGCTTACCAGCCTCCCTCTTGCTTCTCCACATTCTGGATGATGGCGCTCTTGATGAAGGTCAGCTCGTCCTCCCTCTGGGCCTTGTAGTCAAAGAGGGCTTTGACTGCACACTGCAGAGGTGAGAAGCACCAGTCAGAGCAGAAAGGCTCTCCCTGCCACTGCCAACCTGGGGCTTCATGTGCACACACACATGTGCTTGGGCTTCCCTGCCTGGGGTCAGGCCAGTGGGAGATGACACTGCCATCAACAGGCCCTAGTTATAGTTCTTGTTACTGCCCTGCAGGGAAGCTCCAGGACAGATATGATCAGAGAGGCAGGGCCTCTGCCAGTGAAATACCTCGGGACCCAGGTGGAACCTTAAGCCCCACCCTGGGCCACAGGGAGAACCTTGAATCCGCTCCCAGGAGTCAGGGCTGGCAGGCCAAGAAGGCAGGGTCTGCAGTGGCCCTGAGTGCCTCCCCGGGACCTGGAAGCATATGGGGCCTGGATGGGACCCTACCACTCATCTGTGAAGTGGAAAGAAAAACTTCCTTCCAGGTCCCCTGGCTGTGGAGGGGAGGGGGTGAGAAATAGGGCCCAGGCCTTTTTAGAGAAAAAGGCAAAACAAAAAAGAACCTGTGTAACAGGGCTCCATGAGGCCGGGGAATGAGTGGCCAGTGTGCCTCCCAGCTCCTACCCCGCTGCTGCCCAGGAAGGAAACAGGGGTCACCCACAGGAGCAGTTTAAAGGGTCACTGCTGACTTAAGGGGTAGGGGCTAGGGAGTGGGTCGGCCCTGGGAGACCTGCGGTCGCTCACCAACCACACATCTCTCACAACCTCTTGGGCCTCGGAAAACCACAACCACCACTTCTCCACAAAGACCACAGATGGCCCAGAACACAGAAATGAAGCCCCAAGCAGCTGGGGACCCTCCCCAGCTTCCTATGCCCAGAGGCCTGAGCTGTACCTTGAAAGTTGGCATAGGGTTTGCCTCTACATAGAAGCCAGGGTTGCGTCCCTCATACAGGGCCCCGTAGTCAGGCTCCTGGAAACAGGACACAATGGGATATGTTAATGCCCCAGAGCCCAGAGGTAGAAAGCAGCTACTGGTTTCTGGAGCAGCTTCCCTTTCCCCCAGTGCAGCAAACTTGCACCTGATCCACAGGGATCCTTCGACCTCAGTAGAGACGGCTTCAGAGGCCTCAGGCCCGGCCTCACTGTTCCCTTTCCTTTCTTCACATTCTTACATGTAAGGCCCAGCCCAGGATTCTAAAATCTCTCAGGTCCTAAATGCCCAAACTCCCAAGTATTTCTGAGCTATGTGCAGGTGGGCCCTTCACAGACTACCCATATTCAGTGCTTTAGTTCAGTGGCTTGTTGGTTCACTGCTGAGCCCAAAGTCAGGAAAAGCCTTCCCACTCCCCACATTCCTCCTGCCGCTCCTCTCCATCACTTGAGTCCCAGGTGCCAGTGGACAACAGGCCTCTCTCTCCCCAGCCAGCCCTGTCTACTGACGACAGCAGTCTCTCAACTGATCTTCTGGTCCTAGACCCCTTCCTTCTGTCCAGGGCCCTTATCACCAGCTGTGCTGCCATGGGTCCTGACTTTTTCCCTCACTGGTCTCACCTCCTGTGGCTCTGCCCTCCATACCATCCACCAGGCGGAGGCTCCACAACCACTCTTGGGTAGCCTCATCTCATCTGCCCTAGGACAGAGTCCAGGCCAAGCCCAGGTGGATGAGTTTCCACTGTGTGCACCTCTCCCAGTGTGAGCCCCAGAACCTCCTCACTCCACATCTTGACTCATGAGGAACCCTCTGCTTATGTGCCTGTCCCCATCCTTAAAGATGCTGCTCAGATGTCCCCTCCTGCAGACACCCTCCTGGTACCCACACTGTGGCTCCCAGCTGGAGTCAGGGGCCCTCCCACGAACTTCTACAACACACCAGGTCTTGCTGTTACACACATCCAGAGACTGGTAAGATTCTGGGTCTCTCCTGCCTCCCCTGCCATGCCCCGTCTACCACAGCCCCCTCACAGCTGTGCCAATCTTCTCCAGTGCCTCCTCGTTGATGGGATAGCGCAGCTTCATCTTGCGGTATAGCGGGTGTTTCTCATAGTAGCTGATGAGGTCAACAAGGCTGTCGAACTCCGAGTTCCCTAGCATCACTGTCTGGCCCTCTTGCTGGACACGGCAATGCTTGATCTTGCCCTCAGCCCTTCACAAGGACAAAACAGTCACACAGGGTCAGGGCAGCTCAGACCCAAGCAAGGCCCCACAACCCAGTGCCACACCCCTCACCGGAAAGAGATGGCATATGAGTTGGGTTCATTCCGCTTCCGCACCAGGAAGGCCCCATCACGAGGGACGCGCATTAGCATGTGCTCAGCCTGTGCTCTGGTCAGGCTCGCGTGGTACCACCTGAGAACAGGCAGAGTCAGGCCCGGCCAGCACCACCCATGGCCCTGCCCTGCCTTGTCCGCCCCCAGGCCCTTCCCTCACTCTTTGCTCTCGTGGGCGTTGGTCTGTGGGACAGGCTCTGAAAGTCGCATCTCAAACTCATTACAGCGCAGGGGCACCTGCTGGTAGTGCGTGATGAGGTCATAGAGGGAGTCAAAGACGAGGTTGTCTGTCAAGAAGAACTTGGGGGTCCCAGCATCTTGCCGGGAGTGGATACGGCAGTGCTGGACTTTCCCGTTCCGCCTGTGGAAGACACAGAGTGAGGGAGGCTGGGGAAAACAGGCCAGGGCCCCAAAGACCAAGTTCCACCCCAAATGAGGGTGGAACTCAAGGAGGGAGCCTCAAGGAGGGAGGCCAATCTCCTGAGGAGCTCAGGTGTGGGCAGTCACATGAACCAAAGGTGTGGGCTTCAAATGAACCGAAAAGGGAGGGGTATGGGGGGGGGGTGAGACAGAGAGTGTGTGTGTGTATGTAGGTGAAATTATGTTCCATGTAAAGCCTAATTATTGTCCTGGATCAAAGGCTCAAATGTTAACTGATTATCTCTGGGTGATGTGATGTCTGTGTACACACGCTGACTGAACATACGCATCTGCATGGGAAGTGTTACCAGAAAGAGAGCGTGTAGTCGCCCACGAAGGTCTCACTCTCTCGCACGAGGAAGGAGCCGTCAGGGGCTCCGGTCTCGATGCAGTACTCAGTAAGCAGGCGCTCAGCGATGTGACGCCCGTCACGCCCTGCCCCTAGCTTCCCATGGAACCACTTCTCATTGGAGTGCAGCTCTGTGCTGCTGCTGACCTGTCAGGGGAAGGCAACAGCAAAGATACTGTGACCCTGGCCCAGGCCTGACCTGGCCCAGCCCCCAGACCTGAGCTGGTTCCTCACCTCCTTGGGCTCCTCCTCATCCTCGTTGCCCTGGTCACTGCTGGTCTCCTCAGAGTAGTAGATCTTGCTGCTGGTCAGAACAAAGTAGTGGGGATACCATTCCTGGAACAGACCAAAGAGGGACTTGTGAGCCAGGGTCCTCACACCCACTGGCCTACCACCCCCAGCCTGGCCCAGTCCTCACGTGGTTCACAGGGTCCTCCAGGTAGAGGATGCCATTCTTGATAGAGTTGCTGATGTCGTTCTCAGAGTACATCATGGATGTAGGCACCTCCTCGTAGGCACTGCCCTCAGCCAGCTTCTTGTGCTGTAGGGGCAACCAGAACAGGGCAATGCAGACCCCAGTCCTCACCCCACCTCCTCACCCAGGTTTAGGCCCAACAGCTGAAGCCATGGCCTGGGCAAGGCACTGAGAAGTGTGGGGCTTCCGCAATAAGCCCGCCACCCCACCTTGATGAGGATCTTCCTCTTAAGCTGGTTGGGTGAGGGGAGCCCGTCGGCAGAGATCTCCACGGGCTTGGTGAGGAGTGTGTCCCCCAGCACCTTCTTGAAGTATTGGGCCATGTTTCTCTGCTGGGCAATGCTGCAGTGGTCCTCAATGGACAGGATGACTGGGTACCTGCGGGATGGGGGACAAGCACAGTGAAACAGATTCTGCAATTCTCTGGGTCTAAGTAGCCCCTCACAGTGAGCTGTTGGAAGCCAAGGGCCTGGGGGCTTCTTGTCTGTAAAAACTATCCCAGAAAAGAGGCAGGCCATAGCCACTGGTGGGGCAGAGAGGGGTTCTACAGCTGTGGCAGCAGTGGAAACCAAAGGGTGGCAACTGATGCAGTCCCGAGCTGGCCCAATTATGGAGGCTGCTCAGCAGTGCAAGAAAAATGTTTCACACCAAAGAGGCCAGGAGAGAGGAGAAGCCTCCAAAGTTAGCTGTTAGAGCCCTGGTGAGCTAAGGGAGACCAGTGACCACAGTTTAAGCAGTAAACAGAATTGAAGGAATGGGACACAGGGAACAGAGACAATCTTCTGGGCTGTGAGGGCAAAGGAGTTGGCAGGACACTGGCCTAAAGAAACCAGGGCATGTTTTCTGAAGATGAGAAGAGCATGTGTTCTACAGTCTAAAGGACCCATGAAGAAGAGAGTGGGCCCAACACGTAGGAAACAGAAAGTGTAACTTGGGAAGCAACAGCTCAAGCAGGGAGCAGGTGACGAGGAGAGGCCAAGAGGAAGGACAAAGATGAAAGGCTGAGGGAGAGGGGACAGGGCATTTGAGGAGTCTTTCTGCCCTCTGTCCCTCTAGAACGAGAGACCTGGAGCCAAGTTAACCCCTGGGTCATCCAGCCTCCGACTCACTCTGAGGCCACAAAGGCATGCTCCTTGATGGTGTGCAGGACATCTGAGAACTTGATCTTGGTGGTAAGGGTGTGCCCATGGTAAATAACTGGCATCCCATCCGGGCCGTCCCAGCAGTCCACTGGGGAGCAACATCACCATGGTCAAGCGGGCAGGCCTCCCATCTTCCCTCCCCCAGCCCTGGACCCCACGCACACTCAATGCAGCGACAGCCCATCCGCAGGCAGCGAGCATAGGCTTCCAAGGAGGACTCACTGGAGAACTGGTCCCCGGTCAGGTACCTGGATAGGCAAGGAGAGGCAGGTAGGTATGGTCAGATGGGCCCTCCTGGGGAAGAAGCTGGGTGGGCCTGAAGGAGCCACACTCACGTGTTGTGCGAGGAGGAGATCCAGTAGTGGGAAAGAGGGTTGTTCATGGTGTCCGGGCATACTGCATCCAGCTGCGAGTTCCACACACTGTTCTCTTTGGAGAACAGGAAGGTGACAAACTGTCCAGAAACATGTGGAAGGGAAGAGACAGTGAGTCCCTGCCCTGTCCAACCCAAGATGGTAGGTTGGGGGTAGGAGAGAGAGTGCTCTGTCCCAACTGGGGGTGGGCAAGGTGCACAGTAGGTAGAAACAAGGTGGCATCCCTAAGGAGCGTCTAGCTCCTGGAGCCCGGGTGGGGTCCTGGTCACCCCTACTCATTCTCTTGACAAAAAATGGGTGAAACATCGGGCTCACCTCATCCAGGAAGAAGTATGGCTCCTCGATCTCTCGTAAGGGGTCTCGGAGGAAGCTGAGCATGAACTCCTGCACCTGGAGGCGATCAACAGCCCACAGCTCCTGATGGGGTAGGGAGGGCAGGGGATGAGAGAAGCCTCCAGTCAGGGATGAGCCCAGCCCCCCACAACCTACCAGCCTGGGCCAATGTCAGCCCAGCCATACCCCCTGGTAGTCAAGAAGGAACTGCTGGAACTCAGGAAGGGACACTCGGCAAAGCTCCGGCCGCTCCCCAGC